>NT_187614.1:1598374-1918049 GCF_000001405.40 Homo sapiens | reverse complement strand
TGCTTCCTCCTCTAGGAGATTCTATCAGTTCCCCCTTGCTGCTGTAACAAATTACCAAAAATGTGGTAGCTTTAAATAACAGAAATTTATTCCCTCACAGTTCTGGAGGCCAGAAGTCCAAAATCAGTATCACTGGACCAAAATCAGGCTGTCAACAGGCTGTCACTCACTCCAGAAGCTCGAAATTTAGGAGACTCTTACCTTGATTCTTCCAGCCACTATTGGCTGTCAGCAGTTCTTGGCTTGTGGCCACATCACTCCTATCTCCGCCTCCGTGGTCACATCGCCTTCTCTTCTGTGTCAAGTCTCCCTCTTCCTCCCTCTTATAAGGATACATGTGATTGTATTCACAGCCCACTGTGTTGCTTAGGATAATCTTCCTTAATTACATCGGCAAAGACCCTTTTTCCTTTTAATGTAACATTTACAGGATGGAGGCATTAGGACCTGACATCTTTGGGGGTCATTATTCAGCCTAATACAGAGACTTTATCACAAACCCACACATTCAAAGCCAGAAAAGAGAACTTAAGGTGACACTTTCTTTTGTACAACTTTTTCCATTATAATTCATCATTATTTTCATAAAATAGGTTGTCTTGTCCAGGAAACATGGATGGTAACAAGAAAGACACTTGTTTCTTAATCAATACAAAACCTACTTTCAGGAACCACACTTTGGGGCAATTGAATCAATAAGTCAATGAAAAACAAGCATGTTGCTCATGTTTGTATCATGGAGACAAAACAATAGGTTGCCACTGTAGTTAGGGTTAACCATTTATCTACTCATTTGTTCATCGAGTAAATATTTACTGCTGCCTTATAGAGTTGTGGTTAAGAGCTCAGAGTAAGGAGTAATTCAAATCTGATTTCAAATCCTGACTCTACCACTTACTAGCTGTGAGATCTTTGGAAGGCAACTTAACCTCTCTGAATGTTTCCTTACCTGAAAATGGGGTTGTCTGGGGATTAAATGAGATAGAAGATGCATAAAGCCCTTTGCCTGGTACATAAGAAAGGGCTCAATAAATGTTCATCATTAGCATCCAATTCAGGAATACAACATGAGATAGCACAATGGGCCCCTTCCCTACTGTCACTGTCTTCCTCCCACCAGAATATAGGTTTTGTGAGAGCAGGGATGTGGTGTTTTGTTCACTGGTTTGTCCCCAGCATCTGGTACCTGACACACATTGGCACTCGGTAAATATTCTTCAAATAAGGGAATGTGTGTATGTGTATCGTGGAGTTTACTAGTTTTATGTTTGGAAAATGACCCCAATACACACCTCCCACCACCACTATCACCATCACTCTCTGGGGCCTCCCAAGATTCAAAGAAAGAAGCAAGTCATTGGTATTACTTCTATTGCTGGGGATAAGGAGAAAGAAGAGATGAAAATGGCAGTCCTGGGTGGTGTTTTATGGCTAGTGTATTACTATGGATCGTTGGAAGTGTGACTTGTTTAGTACTAAACTAAAAGTCAAAGTTAAAACAACTGAGAGAGCTAAAGAAAAACAGGCCACCTCTCAAACTCATTTCAGCTTTGAGCTGGCACTAAAAAGGGGGGAAAAACCCAACACTTATGCCTAGCCATGGGTCCAATTTCTGTATACCACCTGCAAATACTCCTACTATTCACAGAAAGAAGATCAGATTGCAAACTTCTTAAGGACAAAGACCTTATGTTATGCCTATCAGCCTAACCCAGGTTCTTCATTCCTTTGACTATGTTCTTTGTACATTTTCAATATGCAAAACACGTAAGTGCAGTGGGGAGACACTGCACTTGAGTGTGAGTGCTCATTCAACAAACCTCTTTTGCACACTGACTTTGAGTCAGGCATGGTAGTGGGTGGTGGGGATTCTAAAATGCCCTGAAGGAGTTCCCAGCCTGGCTGGGGAGACAGACAACTTAGCAAGTGATTTCAATTACAGAGTGTAGGTGTTAGAAAGAATATTGATAGGACAATAGAGGAAGTTCTGCTTGGATGGCAATCAAAGTTTCCTTGGTAGATATGTAAACTGTGTCATGAAGAATGAATGACAGTTCACCAGGTGAATGGGGAGCAGAGGATAGTGGAGGAGGCATTCCAGACCCACAATGCAAAGCGAATGTCCAAATCAATGAGTTCATAGTGTTTCAGTCCAAATCCTCTGTCCTCATTGATTCCTCCAACCCAGCTCTGCATGCCTGAGACCCCTGCCTGAACTTCTCTTGCCCTGGCTCTGTAAATCATGAACTGACAGAGTGAAATGTGTTCTCCAGGCTGCAGGGTGTCAGGTCAAGGTAATGGGTCACTGGTCAGCCGGTGCCCCAGCAGAGTGAACCAGGGCCTGAGAATCAAATATGTAGCCCCCACATCTCAGATGAGCAGAGGTGGGGCATGGGGTAAAGCATGTGATGTTTACGTTCAGAAACTGCAAAGCCACTAGCTTGCAAAGTGTCATTACATCTGCAGGTGGAGGGTAATTTTCCTGTTACTCAAGGTCTCCTAATCAGGCTCTGATTGGTTTGTGGGGAATTGTTTTATGACCCAGAGCCAGGCAGCGATAGATAGGAGATGTGGTTTGGTGGGCAGCAGTTTACAAGGCAGGAAATTGCTTCACTGGGCACAACCATTCATAAGAAACACCTCTGGGAAAAGGAGACCCGGGATCCTGGCAGGTCCACCCCTGGCCATCTGTTTACATCAGCAACAACCCACGTTCCTGGTTACACAATGTGGCAGCGTCATTTTGAGTGGGGGATCTTTGCCCCTTGGAAGAATAAACACATTCCTCACTCTCAATAGAATTAGCAGACCTCACAGACTTTTCAATGACTCTCCTGGAGGCCTTAATGTCATAGGAAGGTGACTCTAAACATGATTAGCTGTACAACCTCATTCATTCCAAATTCAGCTGAATTTTCCTTTAAGGGCAGTGAAGGCTTAGATGAAGATACTCCAAAGGCGAAGGGCGGAAGTGATAATCCTTTGTCAGGATTGTCAGTTGCCAAAGCCATGCCAAGTTTCTTAGGAACAATCCAATAGGGCCGGGCACGGTGGCTCATGCCTGTAATCCCAGCACTTTGGGAGGCTGAGGCGGGCGGATCATTTGAGGTCAGGAGTTCAAGACCGGCCTGGACAACACGGCGAAACCCTGTCTCTCCTAAAAATACAAAAAAAAAAAAAAAAAAAAAAATAGCTGGGCGCAGTGGTGTGCTCCTGTAATCCCAGCTACTCAGGAGGCTGAGACAGGAGAATCCACTTGAACTCAGGAGGCAGAGGTTGCAGTGAGCCGAGATTGCGCCACTGCATTCCAGCCTGGGCGACACAGTGAGACTCTATCTCAAAAAAAAAAAAAAGGAAAAATCCATTCAGGGCTTAGGGTCATTGGTCAGTCTGGGGAGGAGGAGGCAGGGCTGTGGGTTGTTCGGACACGTTGCCCACATTTCCACTGTCCCATCAGCTCTGCAATTCCTTAGCTGAGTTCTAGAGTCCAGAGTTTTTAGCACCTAGAGCCATCAAATCCGTGTGCGCCATGGGGAGGAAAGATAAGGGGCAGTGGCAGAGTCTCCAGAACCACAGGGGTCTGTCTGGAGAGTCACTGGAAGCCTCCAGCCCAGCACTGTTCAGTAAAATCAAGAGATGCCAGGCACGGTGGCTCATGCCTGTAATCCTAGCACAAATTAGCCAAGTGTGGTGGCATGCACCTGTAGTCGCAGCTACTTGGGAGGCTGAGGTGGAACGATCCCTTGAACCCAGGAGGCGGAGGTTGCAGTAAGCCAAGAGCCAAGATCATGCCACGGCACTCCACCCTAGGTGACAAAGTGAGACCCTGTCTCAAAAGAGTCATGCCCCAAAGCTTCCTCCTCCCCACCCTATTTGTAAACTCCATCTTACTCCCATCCTGGCCAGGTGAGCTTCACCTCCCTAAGGTCTCAGGTTCTGTATCTTTGAAATGGAGAGAATCATGGCACTTAACTTCACAGCCCTAATTTGAGGACTAAATGAAATAATGAATTTCCTTATTCTTAAGTGTGTTTGCACACTTAAGGTTTGGTGCATTTTCTCTGGGGCAGTCGAGCAGGAGGAGGGACTTGGAGGTGAATTTCATTTTACGTTTGTTTTTACTTTCCATATGAGGAATCATAGACAATCTATTGTTATCCCTGACTTAGTCCAGGACCTACTAACTGTGTTCTTAGGCTATTGGGCAGAACATCCAGGAGCAGTCAGCAGAAGAAAGCCCTGGGCTTGCCCCATTTGAACTTGCTTTGTTTGCTTCCATGGAGACCATTTGTTTAATTTTGTCTCTCACTTGCAAATTCTAAGGGGGCCCAGACCATGCCATTCTTGCTTACCACTATATCTCCAGGACTTCATACAGTGCCTGAAGCATAGTAGGTTCTGTATAAAGACTTGTTGAATAAATAAGAAAATGCATTAATGTGTGAGTGAAAAAAATGAGGGCATCACACTTCTTTAAAAACTTAAAAAACACTAATACGGTGAATCCATAATAAACCTATATGGACTTGGGATCATAGAACTTCTCCATTACCAGATAAAATGTAGTCTTTACTCCGTTTCCTCATACAGATAAAGCAATTGTGTCAGGGAACACTAAACGGGGCATTGTACTAAAGCTACCAAGGCAGTTGTGAGAACAATCCCTAGACCAGGACCCTTTAGATAGATAATTAGTTCAAGTATCTGCATTAGCTGTTAGTTGTTTTTGTTTTTGTTTTTGAGACAGAGTCTCATTCTGTCTCCCAGGCTGGAGTGCAGTGGTGCAATCTCGGCTCACTGCAACCTCTGCCTCCTGGGTTCAAGCGATTCTCCTGCCTCAGCCTCCCAAGTAGCTGGGATTACAGGCATGTGCCGCCATGCCTCATTTTTGTATTTTTAGGAGAGACAGGGTTTCACCATGTTGGCCAGGCTGGTCTCGAACTCCTGACCTCAGGTGATCCGCCCGCCTTGACCTCCCAAAGTGCTCGGATTACAAGCGTGAGCCACCGCACCTGGCCGTGTTAGTTGTTGTGAACTCCCCTCAGGATCCCATGCTCACTGCTGCTTCTGCCCTACTCATTCTCTGTGAAGGAGACTACAAAAAGATTGATGGCCATTGCCCCAGACATCTGGGGAATATGGTCACTGGCCACCTGATCTCCAAACCCTGCTGTAGGGACCAGGATAAGCCGAGAGGTGGAGGGATGGTCCTGTGGGGTCTGACTGAAGGAGTGTGTGACCAGGGCAGCATAGGCCAAATCCAGAACAGTGTTTCCAGGTCACGGGCATGGACCATGCAAGTGTGTTAGAAATCCACTTTGGGGTGGCACCCTGAATGTGGTACATCTGGGCCTGATGTCCCAAAAGGCAAGCTTCTCAAGCTAGGGTAATAGGGCTGTGAGCCAGAGGTTGCAAGAAGTCACAGGAAAGATGGCTTATCTTCCTGGAATGTCCATTTTATTCAGATATAAGAAATGTTAACTGCATTTTTCAATAAAAGCAAACAGATGGATTATGGTAGAAAATAGAAAATTTAAATGTACTTTTTTTTTTTTTTTGAGACGGAGTCTTGCTGTGTTGCCCAGGTTAGAGTGCAATGGCGCAATGTCGGCTCACTGCAAGCTCCGCCTCCCGGGTTCACGCCATTCTCCTGCCTCAGCCTCCCGACTAGCTGGGACTACAGGCGCCCGCCACCACACCCAGCTAATTTTTTGTATTTTTAGTAGAGACGGGGTTTCACCGTGTTAGCCAGGATGGTCTCAATCTCCTGACCTCGTGATCCACCTGCCTTGGCCTCCCAAAGTGCTGGGATTACAGGCGTGAGCCACCATGCGCAGCCTAAACATACTTTTAAGACAAAACATGGGGCTTCGAAGAAAGTTTCTGTGTGCAGTGATCTAAAACCCCATGCCCCTTGTGAAGTGTGAATTCACTCTCTGCCACTAATGGTACTTCACATGAAAAGCTTCAAAAGCGCTGACTGCAAACAGCCACACAGAAAACACCACCCATGGACACTGCACCACACTGCCCACACATACACTGCTAGGCCCCCACTCCACACAGTAAAGGTCCCCTCCATGAGACAATGGCATTGGGATGCAACAGCCTCTCATATCATGTGGGCTGACTCTCAGTCCCCAAGAGATCAACTGGTTGTCCTTCTTCCCACAGGTTCTCAGAGATATCAGTCCCTGTCTGAAAGGAGGAGCTACACCCACGATGTTAATTTCTCTATTCCCACTGTCCAGCATGCTTGGCACAGATGAGGCATTCAATTAATGTGTGTTGGGATGAACTGAACTCCAGACAGATGCCTGGACCTCCTCGTTCCTTCCTCCTGAGGGTGGAGGCAGCTGTGGCCTCAAATCCACAGGCAGCCTAAACCAAATGGTATGGGGCAGAGCTAACAAGCACAGCTCCAGCTAGGGCCCAGTGGGGGCCAGTTTCACTTCTTTTCTTCCCAGAGCTAAAGGGCTGAAAAATCCATTCCAAGTGAAGATACTAGAAATTACTTTTATTCCCATTGTTGAGAGGAGGATACAAGTCACAAAGGAAAAGGCTCCACATGCTGTTAGTTGGCAAGTTATCACCTCCACTCTGGAATGTACCAAGACCAATGGTGAGTAGGTATCTGAGTCTCTGGCATCTGTGGTAAGTTCACTCTGGGCAAACTTTCCCAAGACCCTAGGCCTCTGGTTGTCAAAGCAGCTTCCTGGGGTCCCCAGATCCAGCTCTTCCTCTGACCTCTAGGGAAGTGAAGCTTCAGTGGGTCTCCCCGACTCCAGCATAAGCCCCTGAGAGTGGGAATGGTGTCCAATTAATCTTTGTATCCCTACTGCTTAGCAGGTTCGCTGCACATAAGATACCCTGAAGAAATATGTGCTGGTAATGATGACACCATTCACCTAGTCATTTAACAAATATTTATGTTCTGTGCAGTCTTTTGGGCCTAGGAATTCAATGATGAATCAGAAACAGTGTCTTCCCTTAAGGGGCCCATAGCTTAGTAGGGAAGGCTAACAACTGCCAACTGCAATATGGTGTAAACACAATGACAGAGGCCTGTACAGAATAAAGAGGCAGCACAAGGGCCCTCCAGCCAGTGCAGGTGCTGCCTGCTCTCTAGTTGGTAGACTCAGAAGCTTCAAGTGGGGACTTTTAAAGCCATTGAGGTGGGCTCAGTCTCCTGTAGCTGAAGTCATGGGAGGGTGGGGGAGAGGGAGGGTCATGTTCGAAGGTGGGCTTTCACAGTCACAGGAATGCCCAGCGTGGGCGGGCCAGAGGGTGACCTTCTCATCACCCTGTAGGAAAGTGAGGCCCAGCTAACACCTGTTGGAACAGGTAACTCCCATTTGCCCATTGTCCTGTGTTTGCAGAGGAGGAGCAGGGAACTCCTCAGGGAGTAAGAGGGACTGGGTCACAACCAGGTGAGCCTCCTTTTGGCACCACAAGCATTAGCACAGAGATAGGGCGGCCGCCCTGGGCAGGATTTATAACTCCAGATTTCAAGGTCTTATCATAAACAAGCTCTTTCTGAATTGCAACATGTCAGGGGCAGGGGGAGCAGGCAGACAGACAGACTAGAGAGCGGTGTTGGGGGTGGGGGGCATTAGAATGTGGCTGATAGGGAAATTGTGGGGGAGAGATGGAGCTATTCATGGCTAATATTGTATGGGACATGGAACTGGTTAATAATAATGCTTTGCTTCTTATCCCATTCCCATGGCCCAACCCTGAAAGGTAATAAAACATGATTTGGAACATAGTGAAATCCTGGGGCAAGGCAAGCCCAGAGAGGCGAGCATTGTTTTACGCAGGCTCCTGCTCTCTAGAACTTTCTTCCCCACTCCATGGATTCCTCATCAGTGCATTTTATTGAGTGTGAGTAGGGGGTGGGTGGGGAATGTCTCTGGTCATTACCTAAGGCTTCTGAGCTGTCGCTGGGAAATGGCAAATTGCCCACTCATGCTGCTTTGGTGGGGAGAAGGGGTGAAGCATGGGGCAGGAGTTGGGGAGGCACCTGGCAGAGGCGTGATTGGGGACCTCAGGGCAAAGTGGAGAGACCTGCTGTGGCCCCTTAAGGCACCAGTGCTGCCTCTGGATGCCTCTTTCTCTCTTCAAGTCTTCCCTTGACTTTCATTCTCACCGGATGCCACCTGAATAAAGACAATGACCAAGGGAAGCAGCCTGCTCTCCAACTGGCCCTGGAACACACTCCTGTAAACTACCTTGAAGGGAGGGGGACTAGGTGTCCCCTTCACTACAGGCCTGTCACTAGCCCTTCTGGACTTGGGCCTGGTTTTCCTTCTGTTCAGACCAGGTGGGATGGCAGGCTCAGCAGGGGCTGAAAGATGTCCCTCGGAGGACCCCCAGAGCATGCCTCCCTCCTCCTGCTTCTCCCGAGACATCAAACACACCAGGCCCGGGTAGGCAGGTGGAGTTAATAAACGCAGTGAGGCTTCAGGAAGGCATGGAGGCCTCTCCTTCAGACTCCCAACTCCAGCCTGAGCAAATCCCCTGTGACTTCAAAGCCAGCAGCTTGTTTGCCTGGCCACAGGGCAGCAACAATGCTTTCCCTTTTGACCTAAGAAAGCATCCTTGGGGCTGGGCGCGGTGGCTCACGCCTGTAATCCCAGCACTTTGGGAAGCTAAGGTGGGCGGATCCCCTGAGATCAGGAGTTTGAGACCAGCCTGGGCAACATGGTGAAACCCCGCCTCCACTAAAAATACAAAAATTAGCTGGGCATGGTGGCACACACCTGTAATCCCAGCCACCTGGGAGGCTGAGGCAGGACAATCACTTGAACCTGGGAGGCGGAGGTTGCAGTGAGCTGAGATCGCACCACTGCACTCCAGCCTGGGCGACAGAGTAAGACTCCATCTCAAAAAAAAATAATAAATAAATAAACAAACAAACAAATAAGCATCCTTGGCATCGTTGCTGGAGGACCGCTGGCCAGGGTGGGGAGTGGAGAGGTCACTGACCTAAACCCTGCTTAGGGGCTCTGAGGTAGGCATTCCTGCCAGCCTGCCCTGCTGATCCAAGACCAGGGGGATATGTTGGGCATGCCTGATAGAAACCGTATCCCCACACTCCTGGAAAGACTGACCCAGCCAGGACTCAGAGCAGACAGAACAGGCCCACCTCAACCCAGCAGGGCATGGCAGGCCACATCAATGCACCCAGGAATGGAGACCATACCATGCACTTGCTGGTCCCCTGACGGCACCCTTATTTCCAGGGATTCACACCATGAACGTGGCAGTACGTGTGCTTGTCTGTGCCAGGTGTATGTGTATGCATAGAAGTGTGCACATCCCGGCTGGGCGCAGTGGCTCATGCCTGTAATCCCAGCACTTTGGGAGGCTGAGGCGGGTGGATCACCTGAGGTCAGGAGTTCAAGACCAGCCTGACCAACATGGCAAAACCCTGTCTCTACTAAAAATAGAAAATTAGCTGGGTGTGGTGATGCATGCCTGTAATCCCAGCTACTTGGGAGGCTGAGGCAGGAGAATCGCTTGAATCTGGGAGGCAGAGGTTGCAGTGAGCCGAGATCATGCCATTGCACTCCAGCCTGGGTGACAAAGCGAAACTCTGTCTCAAAAAAATAAAATAAAATAAAATAAAATAAAATAAAATAAAATAAAATAAAATAAATGTGCACACCCCAGTGATCCCAGACATCACCACACGGTTCTTTAGGAACTATGCTCTTGACTTGCATCCTGAAAAAAAATAAAGCTATGCTTGATCTAAAAGCAAGGGCCTCCTATTGCTGCTATCACCAGTTTAAAAAATAAAATTAAAGCAAAAGCCAGAGAGCTATATATGAGAAGCAGTAACTTAATTCAACCTGTCAGCTCAAGAAATGAAGAAACCTATCTTAGGACAGGAGGCTTACATACCCTTCAGCTAACTTCTGCCAAGTTGATGATGAAACACTCATACTTTCGGGGATCCTCATATTGAAGTTTAAAAAAACCCCACATTATAGCATCCAGCACCCAGTGGATCTTCGACAAGATGCTTTGGTAATGATTATGATGATTTTTTCCCTGAAGAAGGGCCTCCATGTATTCTCTAGCCCATGAAAAAGAGGGTATGGAGAGTGTCTAAGCTCTTTCTGAATATTTGACCTCACCATTGTGACATTGTAGGTTAAGCGGAGGTGTCTGGACACTAAAGTCACCCTGAGCTGGGTTCACATTCTTGTTTCTGTCACTTATTCCCTATGTGACCCTGACTACACTAACACTCCGAGCCTACGTTTCCTCATCTGGAAAGGAGCTAAAGCCTGCTGGCAGTTCCTATCCTAAGAAAGTAATCATGTTCTTGGTTATTATAATTAGAAATCATTTGGCAAAGAACAGCTTATGGACGAAAACCCAGGACTGGGGCTGCACACCCCACACAGATATCCATTGCAGCTCCCTCCACAATTTAGTGAGACAGTGTAAGATAGTGGTTAAGAGCACTGGAGCTGGACTGCATGAACTCCAATCCCACTCTGCCACTTTTAGCCATGTGACCTTGGACAAACACTTAATCTCTGTGCCTCAGTTTCCTCAACTGTAAAACAAAGATAATAACATTATGTACCACACAGGACTGTTGTCCTTTGGATGAAATGAATTAACGTCATGAAATGAGTTCACATCTATAAAGTGCTTAGAACAGTGGGTGGCACATCACAAGTGCCACATGCTTGCAGTTTTTATTATTGCACTGTCAATGCTAGACACGTACAACACTGTCCTTGTGAATATTACACAGGCAAAGTTACAAGTATTTATTGAAGATGAGGAGCATGTGTTGGGGTGGAGGATGTCTATTGATTTGTAAGTATGAGTTTTTGAGCAGGATAGGCAGAAGGGAGATATGGGTAGCTAGGATTTCGGTCTCAAAAACATATCTCGAAGTTGATTTGTGCTAGTCAGATGGAAGGGTGGATGCCAATCCCACTAAACCAGGAGGTGTGAGACTGAGCTGAGGAGAGCACTCCTGCCGCCCCTTCCCTTCCTGTGGATCTTCCAACATCAAGTAAGTTTTTTAAAAATTCATGAAGTGGTTTCATGTAAGAAATTGAGGCTGGAAGTGGTGGCTCACGCCTGCAATCCCAGCACTTTGGGAGGCCGAGGCAGGCGGATCACTTGAGGCCAGGAGTTCAAGACTAGTTTGGCCAACATGGCAAAACACCGTCTCTACTAAAAATACAAAAATTAACTGGGTGTGGTGGTGCACGCCTGTAATCCCAGCCACCTGGGAGGCTGAGGCATGAGAATCGCTTGAACCCGGGAGGCAGAGGTGCAGTGAGCCAAGATTGCGCCACTGCACTCCGGCCTGGGTGACAGAGCAAGGTTCCATCTCAAAAAAAAAAAGAAATTGAATTTTAATTCTATAGTAAAAATCCCAATGTACCAGTGTTCTGAAATTTGAGGATGGTATTTTATTCTGTCCTGGGACAGCAGTCCTAATGACTTTCCCTACCCCTGACCAAGCAGGTGTTTCCTGGTAACCTGCTGCAGCCTCCAAGCTGCAGGTGCTGCCCCATTTGTCTCCAAAACAGAGTAGATTTCTGTCCTGGTTCCTTCCCCACAGACTTTGCTCTGTCTTGGAGAGCTCCAGAGTGCTGCAGGAAAGGGCATAGGGGATGAAAGATTAAAAACAAACAAATATACCTCCATGGCTTCTGGTCTGAATGATTAGGCAATGCAGGACAATTTGTCTTTGCATTCTGCAAGTGCAGGCCTCGCTCTATATACAGAAGGCATGCTTGATCACATTTATAGATGGCCAATTATGAAGTAACCACACAAATTATTAAATTTAGTGAGGATATATATAAATTCCTGTCTTCAGAAGCATTTTTCTTCTCTTTTTTAACATACAAATAGTATATTTTCAGAAATGCAGTTCAAATAAAAAATATATGGAGGGCTTAATTAACCCTAAACTCACCACAAATAAGCAGTGTGTCATAGCTACTAAAGACACAAATCTAGACAGCATCAATAGAAGTAACTGTGTCCAGATGATATGAGGCCCACTTTGTTTGCAATCCAAATACATCTTAAAAACCTAGCCATCATTTTCTTTACTTTTGTTTTCTTTCTTTTTTTTTTTTTTCTTGAGACAGAGACTCACTCTGTCACCCAGGCTGGAGGCAGCAGTGCGATCTTAGCTCACTGCAACCTTCCCCTCCCCTGCTCAAGCAATCCTCCCACCTCAGCCTCCCAAGTAGCTGGGACTAAGGTGCATGCCACCATACCCGGCTACTTTTTGTACTTTTTTTTATAGAGATGGGGTTTCACCATGTTGCCCAGGCTGGTCTCGAACTCTTGGCCTCAAGCAGTCCTCCCATGTTGGCCTCCCAAAGTGCTGAGAGTGCAGGCATGAGCCACCAAACCCAGCCCCATCTAATTTTTGTATTTTTTGTAGAGACAGGTTTTTGCCACGTTGCCCAGGCTGGTCTTGAACTCCTGAGCTCAAGGGATCCACCTATCCCGACCTCCCAAAGTGCTGGGATTATAGGCGTGAGCCACTGCACCCGGCCTAGGCAACATTTTCAAGAGGGACATTGGCCAACTAGAAAGCACTGAGAGGAGAATGACCAGGATAGTGAGAAGTCTGGAAACTATCTCATTCGGACAATAACTAAACCTCCTAGAGACAGGTAGTCTGAGAAACTAACAAACATGTGAAGAGCTGTCAGGTAAAGGAGAAAACAACTCTCTAGATCAGTGGGCAGATTGTGGATTCACATGAGAATTTATTCAACAGCTTGCTGGTGAGGTGAACCCGTCCCTGGCAGTTGGTAAATGCCGGAGGATGATCTGTCATGGAGGCAATACAGGGATAACTACATTACATAGTGGGTTGGATGAGACAAGAAGCCATTCAACTCTAAGAGTCAATGAATCTGTTTTTAAAAAATTATAAATAGGCAGAGTCTTCTGTTAAGGCAAAATACTTGCCTAAAACTTGCCTAAAACTCCCACTGTTAAAAACTCATTTAAATGGGTAAAAGCATTGTTTGTTCTGAAGTATCTCTTTTAAAATGCATTCTACGGCCAGGCGTGGTAGCTCATACCTATAATCCCAACACTTCGGGAGGCCATGGTGGGAGGACTGCTTGAGCCCAGGAGTTCACAGCTGCAGTGAGCCATGATCTGCACTCCAGCCTGGGCGACAGAGCAAGACTCCGCCTCAAAAAAATAAATAAGTAAATAAATAATAAGATAAAATGCAATATGTTATCTGGGATGGGCAACATATTAGCACAGATAGATTTATCAGGTAACTAGCTGGAAGGAAGTGTGGAATCATGGAAATGGCATTCAACTGGAAATCGGAAGATCTGGGTGTGAATCTCCCACTTATAAACTGTGTGGTCTTTAGCAAGTTACTTACCTCTTTGAGTTTCTTTTGTTTTTTAAATTTTTTGCAGAGACAAGGTCTCCTTATATTGTGCAGGCTGGTCTCAATCTCCTGGCTTCAAACAATCCCTTCTGCCTCAGCCTCTCAAAGTGCGGGGTTTACAGACCTGGTTACTTCTTTGAGTTTCTGTTTCTTTATCTATTAAATGAGAATAGAAATACCTATTCTCAAACACCAAAGGTGTATACATTTTGAACACCAAAGATACATACATTTTGCTGGTACAGGTCTGGCAGGCACAGCATAGCTCTAAAGCCAATAGCTCTGGTGATATATGCCTGTTAAGGTGGCATGTCCCTTTAACAGCTATCCGCTTTCACCACCTGCATTCATTTCATTGCATTTTACTGGCTATCCCAGCCAATGCAATAAGGCAAGGAAATAAACAGGCATAAGGATTGGAAAGGAAAAAATAAAATTGTTGCTATTTGTTGACAATATGATTGTTTACATAGAGAATCCAAGATAATGTATAGACAAGCTATCAGAACGACTGAAAGGATTGCTCAAGGTTGCTGGATTCAGAATCAATATACAAAAAGTCAGATGCATTCCTATACACCTGCAAAACTAATTAGAAAATGTAATCTTAAAGAGACCCTGTTACATATCTGCAAAAACTAAAAGGTATTAGCAATAGATCTAATAAAAGAAGTATTAACCCAAATGAAGAAAATGATAAAACTTTATTGGCGGACATAAAAGAAGCCCTAAATAAATAGAACAATATACCATGTTTGTGAACAGAAATACCCACTATTATAAACACAGTCAATCGTCCCCCAAATTTATCTATAAATTCAACGCAATACCAAAAAAAAAAAAAAATCCCAACTTGGCTACATTTATATTTATATATAGTATATAAAAAACTTACAAACTAATCTTCAAATATGAACTAGAAAAGAGTCAAGAATGGCTAAGACACTTGGGGGGGGTGGGTTGTTTTTGTTTTTATTTTGAAACAGGTTCTATCTCTGTCACCCAGGCTGGAATGCAGTGGTGTGTTTCTTGGTTTGCAGACAATTGCCATTTTGCTATGTCCTCACGTGGCCTTTCCTTGCTCGTGGAGACAGAACTCTCTCTCTTCCTCTTCTTAAAAGGGCACTAATCCCACCAAGAGAGTCCTACCCTCATGACTTAATCTAAACCTAATTACTCATTACTCCCCAAAGGCCTCACCTTCAAATACCATCACACTGGGGGCTAGGGATTCAGCATATTAATTTTGGGGAAACACAAACATTCCCTCCACAACAGTCTACCAGGTACCTCAGACGATAAGGATGAAGGTGGAGTGAAAAATATAAAGACTGATGGAAATCTTTTCTTTTTTTCTTTTTCTTTTGAGACAGAGTCTCACTCTGTTGCCCAGGCTGAAGGGCAGTGGTACGATGTCAGCTCACTGCAACCTCAGCCTCTCGGGTTCAAGTGATCCTCCCACCTCAGCCTCCTGAGTAGCTGGCACTACAGGCACGTGCCACCACACCTGGCTAATTTTTGTATTTTTAGTAGAGACGGGGTTTTGCCACGTTGCCCAGGCTGGTCTTGAACTCCTGGCCTCAAGTGATCTGCCTGCCTTGACCTCCCAAAGTGCTGGGATTACAGCTGTGAGCCACCACGCCTGGCCTGATGGAAATCTTTGAAAAACAGTTAGGTTCCCAGATTCCCTTCCTTGCTTCATGCAGCCAGACCTTTGAAGAGGGTGAAACAAAGTCTCTGGAAAGCAGAATAACAGAAAAGCTGAGCCCAGGTTACTCTGTCCAATCCATGAATCTCCCTTAAACATTCCTGACAAAGGGTAAGCCAGCCTTATGCTTGAACCCGTGCAGTGACAAAGAACTCCCTCCTTACCAGTAATAATAACAATAACTAACCCTTACTGAGTGCTAACTATGTGCCTGGCCCTTTAAGCCCTTCCCATATATTGACTCTTTGAAAGTTGGCTCATTCCAAATTTGGGCAGCTCTGTCTGTAAAAGGTTCAGACAGGCCTCTAAAGTTTCCCTCCTACCTTCATGGGTCTCTAAACTGAGGAGGAAGGAGGATTTTCATCTTGGGACGGCAGGCCCATAGAGATTATATATGGCAAGAGAAATGTTCATTGTGTTACATGTTTATCATCAAAAGCACAGTCTATACCGGGCTCTAAAGTAATAGCAATAGTCATAGTTATTGTAAAGCATGTACTCACTCTACATGCATTTACCTCTCTTGATTCACATAACAATTGTATTTTTCTACAAACTGATTCTTTGAAAGATTAAGTGTTCTAAGTTTACAGAGCTAGTAACTGGCGTTCTGGCCCAGTCTGTTTGACCCAGAGGCTGAGCTGTTAATCACACCAGTCAACACAAGTTTTCATCTACTATGTTTCTGAGAAATGTGTACTAGAAAAATCTCTGAATTTGGAGAAGATCTGAGCTCTGCTCCCTCCTCTGCTACTTTCCTGTGAGCTTGAGTAAATTGTTTTCTCTTTTCCTTAAGTATAAAACAAGAGAGCTGAACTAGATGATCTCAAAAGCCCAAATTTAACTCTAATCATCTATGTTCCAAGTTAAAGGTGTCTATAATCCTTCTCCATCTGGTAACATTTCTTGGAGCATCCAATTAACATGTGGAGATGATGACGATGATGATGAAGAATAAATGAATGAATGTATGAATGAATGAAGTGAAATCTTTCACATTTTCTTTTGCAAAAGGCTACCCCTGGTCAGATGTTCCTACAGGAGGAAAGAGAGTTCTTGTCTCCCTTTTCGGTTTTGGTTGCTTTTCACCAGTTGGCCTCAAATCTATGGTGTAAATAAAGCCAGCTTCACCCCCAGGCCTTTCTCTCAAGGCCCAGCTGTAGGCTAGAAGCAGAAAGTGAATATGCAGAGTGGCCAATTAGTTCACTGTGTGCCCTCATGACCTCTGACCCCTGCTGGGCCACCCCATCCATTAGCTGTCCTCTTCCCCCTCCACCCTCTTCTCTCAGTTTGAGTCGTTGTCCTGCCATTCTCTTTCAGCAAAGAAACATGCTCAGGCATTCGGGTAGCAGCCTCCACTTTCTGCTCTTTTGTCTCCTCCCTCTGTTGCCCTTGTCGCTAACCTGGTCACCACCCCTTGACCCTACTGTTCTCGCCCCTCCTGGGGCTGGGGAGGGAAAGTATTCCAAGACAGGGTTTGCAGGGAGGAAGAAGGCAAGCCCTTGCTTTTCCTTTTCACTTGGGTTTCATTCCACAAATGAATTTTGATACTACTCCTTATTGCAAGAAATTCCCCGTAATGCTTCCTCGGGGATGATGATTTCTTTCACAAGCAAGTGTTTTGAAAAGTCCATGTGGGCGAAGGCAGCAGTATGTTCCTTTGAGATGTTGGCTATTCCTTTATGAGGTTGGAAAATATATATACAGTATATAAACATATATATTATAAATTATACATATTCTGTTGATTGAGGAAGGAAAAGCTGTTCAAGATTATGGGTATGTGAGTATATAGTTGTGAAATATAAAGCAATCATCAAAAGAGAAAATCAACCAATTGACTTTATTACACTTGAAAAAAACAATTTCAAGTGTTGACAGCATCTGCTAAGTCTTCAGAATCTCAGCTCGGACAGAAAAGGAGCTGGTGGTGAGTTTGTTAGAAAAAGGCAAGTGCTTGAGAGTCAGACCCACTAGATTTAAATCTAAGTCCTGCCACTTGGCCACTAGGTGACTTCTGCTAATAATAGCAGCTTCTATTGTCTGACTGCATGCTAGATACCAAGCACTTTACACATATCATCTCCTTTCATCCTCATAATAAGCAGTGAGTGACAGATGATCAGTCATCATCCTTATTTTATGAATAAAGAAATGAAAGCCAAGAGTAATTAAATTATTGGCTCAGGGCTGTATAAACAGTAAATGGCAGAAAAGGAGGGTGAACAAGGTAACATGGCTCCAAAGTTCTTAAATCCAATGTTATACTTCCTTCAAATTACAAAGTACAGCACTTAAGTTATTTAACCTTTATGAGCTTTGGTTGCCTTGCCTGTAAGATGATCATCTATAAAATACCTACTAGCAATGATTAACAACTGAATGCTTATTATAGTCCAGGCATTTTTCTAAATGCTGAATTCTTTACTTCATTTAATACTTATGAAGTCCCCCAAAATGGGAACTAGTATCCCCATGCCACAGAGGAGGAAACTGGGGGCTTAGAGAGGTTAAGAAACTAACCCAGATCAGAGGAAAAGGAGTCATTATATGAAAAAGATACTTCCACATGCATGTTTTTAGCAGCACAATTTGCAATTGCAAAAATGTGGAACCAACCCAAATGCTCATCAATCAACGAGTGGATAAAGAAACTGCGGTATACATAGATGATGAAATACTACTCAGTCATAAAAAGGAATGAATTAACAGCATTCGCAGCAACCTGGATGGGACTGGAGACTATAATTCTAAGTGAAGTAACTCAGGAATGGAAAACCAGACATCACATATTCTCACTTATAAGTGAGAGCTAAACTATGAGGATGCAAAGGCATAAGAATGACTTTGAGGACTTAGGGGGAAGGGGTGGGAAGCGGTGAGGGATAAAGACTACAAATCAGGTTCAGTGTACACTGCTTTGGTGATGGGTGCACCAAAATCTCACAAATCACCACTAAACAACTTACTTGTGTAACCAAAGACCACATTCTCCAAAAACCTATGGAAATAATTTTGTTTTTAAAAAAAGAAACTAACCCAGATCACACACAACTACTAAGTGGTAGAGGTAGAGCTGGAATTCTAATTTGAGCCCGTGTGGCTGCAGAGCCCATGCTCTTTCCACTTTCCACTCCGTGACAATTGCCTCCAATAGGCCTACTGAGGAAGATGGAGGATATATACAGAGAAGGCTATGGGAACACAGGGATGGAGAAAAATTAATTCCAACTGAGGGTAACAGGGACAGATTTATGAAGAATGTAGAGATTCACTTGATAGACATTCACTTTAATGCCAGAAAGGCTCAGAAATACATCTGTTTAAAAAAGTTAGGCACACCCTAATTGTGTACTAATGTTAATGCCAAAGAAGCTAGGCCTTGCCATAAAAATGCCTCATAAATAGTAAAGCAGGGACTGTATCCTACTCATCTTAGTAGTACTACCCCGCACCCTTACACTTTCCCAGTCTAATGGCAACTAGAATAGTGCCTTGCACATAGTAGGCACTTGACAGATATTTCCAAGATGAATAAGTGAATGATACTTCAGGAAAGACTTGGTTTGGGACCTTGCTAACTTGGGGGATGCTGTAGCCCCCCAAGCTGGAAGACCCTTTTCCCTCTCATCTTTCTCCCTGCAGTTCCTCTGATGAGCCCATAGGCTGAGTGATAGGGGATCCACTGTACCGGAGATGATTTATGGTTCTTTGTTATACAAATCCCTTCACATTCCTCCCCATCCTCTTTTCGCAGCCAATTCATCATGATATTTAAATGAAACTTTGGTTAGTGAACTATGGCTCACCGCCCTGAAGACAATTATTCAAGATGCCATCTCTAAAAAAGTGTTTAAAAAGACCCGCGATCCATCTGGATTGTCTTAGATTTCCCTGCTTTTCCCAAGGACCCAGGGAAAGGCCTTTGCTTTTACCTTAGAGAATCCCAGGTACTCAGCTGGAGCAGTGAAAAGAAAGAAGGCAATGCTCTGTAATTGCTCCATAATTAAAATACTAGAAGCCCCAAGGAAGATATAACCACAGTATTTCAGCCTAGGCTACAGAATAACTTTGCAAAGATGCCTCAGAGATATTTTACTTAATGCTCTGGGAACCCCAGCTTTATTGAGTCAATCTGCTATCAAAATGATGATGGCAAAGTAAAATGAAACTTTCTGATTCTTCATGCCATTAATGCAAGCTGGTGTTACCCTAATCAAATGAAACCCCTTATCATGACTACAGGAGTGAAACAGAAGCAAGCATTTCCTCCATCTGTCATTAAGCTTATTTCAATCATATCACTCATGGGATATGATACATGCTGCCATTATCTTGACTGTGTCAGTACAGTCAATAGAACTGAGACAAATTCTTGGGCTAAAAAAATCACATATGTTAATTCTAATACAATATCGTGCAGAAATGGGTACTTTTATTTATTGATTTTATATAGCATCACTTTATTATGAAAATAATGGCTGTTAGATACTGATTACATGATATTTTCTAATAAAGATGAGTAGCTGGTGCCTTTTAATTTCCTACTCTGTGATGCCAAATAAACTCACTGCTTTTCTCTGTGCCTCATTTTCCCTTTATATATAGTAGAAGAATGTTTTGCTTCCCATACTTCTAAAAGACAGAAAACTCAAAATGCAACAGAACACAGTGAGGCATTTTATAAAATAATGTGTATTTTTAAAAGCTGGGCAGCTGGTCATGGTGGCACAGACCTATAATCCCAGCTACTAGAGAGGTTGAGGCAGGAGGATTACTTGACACCAGGAGTTTTGGTCCAGCCAGGGAAACAGCAAAACCACGGGTCTAAAAACATTTTTGTTAATAAAGAAATAAAACCTATTTTCTAAAAAGTTGGGCATCTATCTCAGTTTCAGTAATTTTTTTAAAGTAGGGCACACATCTCAATTTCAGTGAACCACATCATAATTTAAATGCATCAAAGCTGCTGGGCGTGGTGGCTCATGCCTGTAATCTCAGCATTCTGGGAGGCTGAAGCAGGAGGACTGCTTGAGGTCAGGAATTCGAGACCAGCCTGGGCAACACAGTCAGACCCCGTCTCTATTTTAAAATTAAAAAAAAAAAATTTAAGTATCAAAGAAACTCACATAATATTCTTTTGTAAAAATAATCAAGCCCCTTGTATACTAGTTTAGAACATTCAAAATTTCAAGTAATAAATTTGCTTAAAAGAGAGGTTCAACTAGGCCAGGCATGGTGGCTCATGCCTGTAATCCCAGCACTTTGGAGGCCGAGGCAGGCGGATTGCCTGAGCTCAGGAGTTCGTGACCAGCCTGGGCAACATTGTGAAACCCCATCTCTACGAAAATACAAAAAATTAGCTGGGCATGGTGGTGTGCGCCTGTAGTCTCAGCTACTTGGGAGGCTGAGGCAGGAGAATTGCTCGAACCCAGGAGGCGGAGGATGCAGTGAACCAAGACTGCGCCACTGCACTGCAGCCTGGGAGACTCAGCAAGACTCTGTCTCAAAAAAAAAAAAAAAAAAAAAGAGAGAGGTTCAACTAAACTTACGAAGTTCCTTGAGTTCACCCTATGTACTTGGTGGTATAAAATATTTTTATTACATATATTATCAGCTGAAACATTTATTATGTACTGTCCTTGCTTCCCACTCCTTGAATGCAAGCAGTTACCTTTGACCTATATGATGTTAACAATTTATTATTCATTCCAAATGAGCCTGTTTCTGTTTAATTGTCTATAAAAGTCTATCCCAAAGCAATTAGATAAAACAAAAAAGACATGAATTTAAATGAAGAGCAAGATTTTTAAGATATTAATTTTTTATACAATTTATTAATATTCACACTAATTATTAAGTAATATTAAAAATCACAATCTGATTTATATTTTTCCCAAAGAATTTTTTTTTTTTTGAGGCAAAGTCTTGCTCTGTCATGCAGGCTGGAGTGCAGTGGCACAATCATAGCTCACGGTAGCCTCAAACTCCTGGGCTCAAGCGATCCTCCTACCTCAACCTCCTAAGTAGCTAGGAATATGGGCACATACCACTATCCCCAGCTAATTTTTTAATTTTCTGTAGAGACAAGGTCTTGATATGTTGCCCAGGCTGGTCTTGAACTCCTGGGCTCAAGCAATCCTCCTGCCTCGGCCTCCCAAAGTGCTAGGATTACAGGCGTGAACCACCACATATGACCTTCCCAAGAATTTTGTCCCCAAAACTGAAAAAACAATGCTGTGGTAGAACCACAGTTCCCAAACTGTGTCCCAAGGAACTCCAGCTTGGAACAGCAGCAAGTCCATAGAGCAACACAGAATATTTCAAATGTTCAAGGACAACACAGTGATACTCAATGTCTGTTGAAAATCACATGAACTACTAGTATGAGATAGCCATGGTTTCAACATTCAAATAGTACCCTTTTGGTAATGTCAGATCATTGCAAAGCTGAGTTTTCTGTGGTTGCTGGGATGAAAAACAAGTACTATGTGAATATCAATGTGAATCAGGAAATGAGTGTGGCAGTGTCCAATCTGAGCCCAAGGTTTGAGAAGATGTGCAGCATCCAATAAGCTTGTACTGCAACCTTATGTTATAGAGCCTTTTATTTATTTATATTTATTTATTTATTTATTTTGAGAGAGGGAGTCTCACTCACTCTGTCACCCAGGCTGGAGTGCAGTGGCACGATCTTGGCTCACTGCTACCTCTGCTTCCTGGGTTCAAGCAATGCTCCTGCCTCAGCCTCCCGAGTAGCTGAGATTACAGGCACCCGTCACCACGCCCAGCTAATTTTTGTACTTTTAGTAGAGATGGGGTTTCACCATGTTGGGCAGGCTTGTCTCAAACTCCTGACCTCAGGTGATCTGCCCGCCTCAACCTCCCAAAGTGCTAACAGGCGTGAGCCACCATACCTGGCCTACATTATAGATACGATTATTAGACTCATTTTATAGTTGAAAAAACCAAGGTTCCCAAACTTTATTGATTACTGTGCTTTTAGTGTCTGGGTAATTTTTGTTTTTTTTGCAACTCTCATTAGCAAGTAAGTGTAATTATTTTTAAATGAAATACAATTTTTTTCTTTAAATTTATATGTATGGCCTGGGGCGGTGGATCGCGCCTTTAATCTCAGCTTTTTGGGAGGCCGAGGCAGGAGCATCACTAGAGACCAGGAGTTTGAGATCAGCCTGGCCAACACAGCAAAACCCCGTCTCTACTAAAAATTCAAAAATTACCTGGGTATGTTGGCGCACGCCTGTAATCCTAGCTACTTGGGAGGCTGATGCATGAGAACTGATTGAACCTGGGAGGCAGAGGTTGCACTGAGCCGCAATCATGTCACCACATTTCAACCTGGGCAACAGAGTGAGACTCTCTCAAAAAAATAAAAAATGTTTTATATGTATTATTTTTTCAAATGGCTACTAAGTTGTAAAATCATAAATATATATTAAGATATTTGGGCTTAACTTAATCAATGGAATTATTAAGTATTTCTTTGAGCCTGAGTTGTGAAAAAATTACTGAGACTCTAGGAGCACAGTTACCAAGAAAGTTTGGGAACCTTGGTTTTTTCAAGTATAAAATGAGTCTAATAATAGTATTTACAACATAGGGTTGCAGTGAGATTGAATGAGTTAATTTACAAAAAGTATTCGGAATAGTATAGGCACCTTGTATTAGTAGTAATATTACCACCTCATTACCTAGGACAGTTCTCGTCAATGATCTTAACACTCACTTCTATGTGATCGATAAAAGAGTTTTGAAGTACATCTGTATCAGTAACATTAAAACTTTATAACTGCCAACATAATCAGAAGTTGTTTTTGTTTTGTTTTGTTTTTTTGAGACAGAATCTCCCTCTGTCGCCCAGGCTGGAGTGCAGCGGTGCTATCTCGGCTCACTGCAAGCTCCGCCTCCTTGGGTTCACGCCATTCTCCTGCCTCAGCCTCCAGAGTAGCTGGGACTACAGGCGCCCACCACCATGCCTGGCTAATTTTTTGTATTTTTAGTAGAGATGGGGTTTCACCGTGTTAGCCAGGATGGTCTCGATCTCCTGACCTCGTGATCCAACCACCTCGGCCTCCCGAAATGCTGGGATTACAGGCGTGAGCCACGGTGCCCAGCCATAATCAGAAGTTTTTATTTAAATTTACTATCTGGGAAGAGAACAGAAATTACTCTATTTCTTTATTTTTTGCTCTCTTAAATTTTTAGGTCTTCTGGGATTAAAATTTTCATTCTATTTTTTTTAAAAACTAGAAACCCAGAATTTCTATTACAGAGTTTAAAAAAAAAAAACTTCAAAAGTCTTTCATTTGAAAAAACAATTTTAAAAAATTGTGTTCATGCCAAGGGTGGTGGCTCACACTTGTAATCCCAGCATTTTGGGAGGTCGAGGTGGGAAGACTGCTTGAGGCCAGGAGTTCAAGACCAGCCTGGGCAACATAAAGAGACACCATCTCTACAAAATAAAAATAAAAGTAATTAGCCAGGTGTAGTGGTGGGTGATGACAGTCCAAGCTACTTGGTAGGCTGAGGTAGCAGGATTGCCTGCACCGAAGAGGTCGAGGCTGCAGTGAGCTATGATTGTAACATTGTACTCCAGCCTGGCAACAGAGCAAGACCCTAGCTCAAAAAATAAAATAAAAATTGCGTTTAAAGAAGCATCTAATAAGGTATTTGCCCTCTTCTCACTCCCCACACCCCAACTAAGACCTTCTATAAGCTGTTCTGCTAGGAAGGTGAGCAGAATTTACTTGCTACACATTGATTACAGCCTTTATCTTCCTATAGCTTAGTAATCCTTAAAAGTGTTTTACTTATCTCTTTCTTTTTATTTCTTAATTTCAGACTTACAGAAAAGGTATAGAAATTGTACAAAAAAATTCCTGTATATTCTTCACCCAATTTCCTAAATATTGCTATTTTACCACGTTTGCTTTATCATTTTGGTCATTTCGCTAACATAGTATCTGACATATTTCTCCACTCTAAATTTATAATTTTTCTCCTTATAATTAATACATATCTTGTGGGGGGGACATACTTTGTGACTATGTAAATATCCCATTTCTCAACCAAACTTGACCTGCTAGTTTTCCTATCCATCGATGATTCAATTATTACCACGATGGTTGCTAGATAGTGATTTCCTAATTCCATTATTCCTTCTACATTTATTAGTTGATATTGTACAATAAGGACTCACTTTTCCTTCTCCCACATTTATTTACTCTTATTTATATGCCCACATGTTATTCAATGAGTTATAATACATTACTATCATTATTTATTTTTATGCTTAATTCTTCCAGATTTGGCCAGCAGCAATCCCTTCAGGATAACTCTTGGACATTTTGAGATGCCTGATCCTATATTTTTAAAGTACTTTCTAACTTACTAGCTTAATAAAATGTGCAAGGCTCATCCTGTACGTCCCCAGCCCTAGCCTCCCTGGAATTGGCCAAATCCTCAAGGAGCTCTGGTTCCTTTAAATAGTGAACAAAATTAGAAATCATGATTTAAGTGACAGGTGTGCTCATTGCTCTTGGGGTGTCATTGTGTCTGGGATTTCTCAGTGAATAGAGCCAGGGAATATATACATGCATATATATATGATTATATGTACACAATAAAAACATTCTCATACCTTTCTTAAAAAACATGAGTTTTATACTGTCATTCCAAGTCTAATCCAACACTATACGATTCATTCTACTTTTGTCCTGTTCTAATTTGTAACTCTCTTCTCTCTGTGAGGAAAATGAATTCCATTATCTATAATAAATGTACTTATTTGCCCAATTCCAGAATACACAGAAGTAGTTTTAGAACTGCTACCAAAAGACACCCTCTAGTGCAAAAAAAAAAGTAACTAAAATTTAATATTCATTTGCAGTTCATTTAGTCTTTAGTCTGAGAGTACACAGTTAAAAAAAAAAAATTATATTCTGCAGTTGCTTGGATTGGGTTAGTCCCCCCACCAACATACCCGCTCTTCAGGGTGATTATATTATTCACTTGAAACTGTTAGGTTGATTTGTTTGTATTCCATTTTAGGATTTCCCTCCCCATTTGTGTGTGTGTGTGTATGTGTGTTTTAGTATATGAACATTAACATGGTTCCAAAAGTAGACCCATACAAAAAGAAATATTCAAGAAAACTGTCAGTCCCCATCCCCTCCACTCAGTCCCCAGCCTCCTCACCCTTTCCTCCTCATTTCCACCCACTTCCTGTAGGTAACCAATCTCATTACTTTCTAATTTATCCTTCCCGGTTTTCTTTTTTGGTCAAAAAAGCAGACACATGTATGTTTTCTCACTCCTTTTTTTTTTTTTTTACACAAAAAGTAGCATACTATAGATACTGTTTTGTACTCTACCTTTTTCACTAAATAATATATCCTAGAAATCATTCTATATTGGTTCACAGACATCTTCATTTTTTTTTTTTTTTTGAGACAGAGTCTTGCTCTGTCGCCCAGGTTGGAGTGCAGTGGTGCAATCTCAGCTATGCAACCTCTGCCTCCTGGGTTCAAGCAATTCTCCTGCCTCAGCCTCCCAAGTAGCTGGGATTACAGGCATGCACCACCATGCCCAGCTAATTTTTGTATTTTTAGTAGAGATGAGGTTTCACCATGTTAACCAGGCTGGTCTCGAACTCCTGACCTCAGGTGATCCACCTGCCTCAGCCTTCCACAGTGCTGGGATTACAGGCGTGAGCCACTGCACCTGGCCCCTCATTCTTTTTTATAGATTTATAGTACTCTATTATGTACTTGTACTGTAGTTTATTCAACCACTCTCCTCCACAGGAGACTATTTTTTTCTGAGTCTGCTTGCTAGAGAACCATATGGGAATTTAGATTTTCTCAATTATTTCCCAAATACAAACAATGCTGCAATACATAAACTTGTGCGTATGTATTTTCATATTGCCGTAGGTGTATATTCAGGATAAATTCTTAAAATGATTACTGGGCCAAAAGTAAACACATTTGAAGTTTTTTTGAAACCTATAATGTTTTAATATAGAGATTTAAAGTAGTTTTGTAATAATATTATTTGTCTATATAGGTGTTTTGTTTTAGATTTTGAGTCACCAGACTTTGTCTTTTACACAGCACAATTATACCTTAACGAATATGTGCTGGTGACTATAAGCAATTGAATAACAAAATTATTCCTAAGTAGTATTAGATTTTGTATTTATTTATTTATTATTTTTTATTTTTGAGATGGAGTGTTGCTGTGTCACCCAGGCTGGAGTGCAGTGGCACAATCTCAGCTCACTGCAATCCCCACCTCCCGGGGTCAAGCGATTCTCCTGCCTCAGCCTCCCGAGTAGCTGGGATTACAGGCACGCGTCAAAACACCTGGCTAATTTTTGGATTTTTAGTAGAGACAGGGTTTTGTCATCTTGCCCAGGCTGGTCTCAAACTCCTGAGCTCAAAGTGATCCACCCGCCTCAGACTCTCGTCAAGTGCTGGGATAACAGGTGTGAGGTACCATGCCTGGCCTTATATTTATTTAACTAGTTTAGTTCTGAGAGTAATGCTGTATAAAAATAATGGGGTAGGGGGAAGAGCCCTTAGATATGAGAAATAATAGATACATAAGGATAGATCACATTCTGCCTGTGGGAATGGTTGGGGATATATTTTCACATCTCTAAGAAGGACGTATTTCCTCCCAGCAGAGGTGATGATCTGAAGTTGCTGGAAACATGATAAATAGTGAAGGGAGCCGGTCTGCCTGTGCTACAGGGCCTGGTTAATTACACTGTAAATCATGCAAATACTGACATGTTGAACAAAAAGCTTCTCCAGACATCTTATCCTTCTCACTAAAAGACAGTTCTTTTAAAAAATAGGCAGATTGGTAATTATCTCAAGCTGAGAATATACAAAATGCTGATATTAACCCCTAGAGATGCAGAAAAGTTTTAGGGCTTTGAAGTCTGTAAGGCATTAAAAAATGCTTAACAAATATGATTTACAAATCATACACTCTTGATTAAGCATTTTATTAGTAGGACAACCAACTCCCACTCCCCATAGCCTACAATCAGTACTATAACATTATTCTAGAATTTTATTATTTGTATCTTTCTTTTGGGAGCCTTCCCTTGTATACTGTCTAGGATTCACGAATAATTCTCTACCCCTTAGAAATGTAAATATTTCATTTGGAAATCTTTGTGCGATCTGGGCTTTCACAGATGGAGATCAAAGATAGGAATTAGTCCTCTACTCCACTCCTGACCAGTGTCAGCAAATCCTCCCTTGTCCCTTTGTCTCTTCCACAATAAAAGCAAAAGAATATGACCATGGTGTACATATTGATATTTTACCACTTTTATGTTACCATTTATACTGTGACCATTTCATTCACATGGTATCTTCCAGGTTGCTCCACTGTAAATTTTCAATTTTTCTCTTCGTAACTAATCAATACCTTGTGGGACACACTTTGTGACTATGTAAATATCCTGTTTCTCATATGTGGCAAAGAGTTTCATGAAGAGGACACAAATTCACAATAGGGGCCCGCATTAGATCTCCTTAAATATGATATTATTTAAACCACCTCATGCCAAACAGTCTATACCTGAAGAAAACCAAGTTTCATTAATTGCTGCTTTTATCTTGGCATCAATAATAAGAGGCAATGCAGCCTTGTTTAAAGAGCGCAAGTTTGGGGATCACACAGATTGGGTTCAAAACCAAGTATGGCCACTTACTACCTATATGATGTGAGAGGCAAGCTACTTAATGTCTCTGAGCCCTAGTTTCTTCTCAGAAAAATGAGAACACTGTAGTATCAACCTCATAGAGCTATTGTGAGTTCAATGAGCTCATATAATATGAAAAGTACCCTGAACCCAATGTGGCACATAGCAGGCATTCAATAAATGGTATCCATTAATAAATAATAATGGTGAAATTATTTTGGTTACTTTTGAACCCTGATGAAATTTTTTACGGATGGAGACATTCGGGCATACTTGACACCTATTCTATTGATCCAGCCTTACGTCAGAGCTGATTTAAAAACAGAAAAGCAAAGTCCTTGGTAGATTCTCTTCAGGAAATTAAACTGTGGGGTCTATGGGCCCAGAGTTCATGTCAACTCTTCACTTCAATGTGGACTGTCCATTTGGAGGTCAATAAGATGAGTCCAGAGAGCCCTTTATTCGAAGACTGGAGTGCCACCGTGAGGTCAGCATTGGTCCTTGCGCTATTTACTTCAATTCTGTCCTAATTAAAAGAATATTTGAGTAGTTACACTTACATTGCATTGTAGCCTAAAAGTACACTCTGTTGACTATTGGTGGCAAAAAAAAAAAAAAAAAAAAAAAAACTGTAAGAATTTGGATTTCTTGAGTACTTGATTTGGATTTCTAAAGTACTAGACTATTGGTAAATCTTGAGAATTTGAAGCTGGAAACTCAGCCTCGGGGAAAGCAAGGTTTTTGTCTCACTGTGGGAATGGCTTCCGGATGTTATCCATAGCCAATCACCCTCTCCTCAACTCACTTTTAAATTAAGATCCTGAAGTTACAGTTCAAAAGTTCCTAGCTCCCGTTGCAAAGAAATAATAATTCCTACTTTCAAATAACCATTAGAAACTTCATTCAAATGTCCCACAAAAATCTCAAACTCAACGTATTCAGAATTAAACTTACTATGAATATATAGTCCTCACACAAACCTAGCCCTTCAGTATTCTCCCTTTCCGTGAAAAGGCTCACCCCTACTCAGTCACCTAAGTTTGAGACCCGGGAGTTATTTTAAGTTTCTCCCTCTCCTGCTATCCTCCCACATCCAGTCACTTTACCTCCTTAATGTCCTTTAGATCCGCTCCTTTCTCCTCTTCCTTCCTACAGCCACTGCCTTCTTTCCTCACTAGACTGCTATTTCAATATTGTCCTGGTCTCCCTGACTCCAACTTGCCTCTCTTCTGTGTTGCTGCTAAAGTGATGTTTTAAAATTAAAAACTGCCAGGCACAGTGGCTCATGCCTGTCATCCCAGCACGTTGGGAGGCCGAGGCAGGTGGATTGCTTGAGCCCAGGAGTTCAAGACCAGCCTAGGCAACATGGCGAAACCCCATCCCTACAAAAAATGTAAAAATTAGCTGGGCATGGTGGTGCATGCCTGTAGTCCCAGCTACTAGGGAGGCTGAGGTGGGAGGATCACCTGAGCCTGGGGAGGGCAAGGCTGCAGTGAGCTACGATTGCACCACTGCACTGCAGCCTGGATGACAGGGTGAGACCCTGTCTCTAAATAAATAAATATTAAATTAAAAACTTTATATCAGTGGCTTAACATCCTCTAATGGCTCTCAGTGCCTACAATATCAGGTTCAAAGTCCTCAGTATATACAAAAGGCCCGTCACAAGCTGGTCCCTACCTACCTGTCCAGCTCCAATTCTTGCTGCAGCATCCACTTCCAGCTTTGTTGAGCCACTAGTAGTTCCCCAAACACAACAGCGTGTTTCATCCCTCTTTACATTTGTTGCGCTGCTCTCCTCTCTACTTAAATACTTTTACCTGTGTTTTCTAATTGGTCAACACTTTATTTGTTAAGGCTATGCCAGCTTTGTCTTCTCTATAAAGTCTTTTCTAACTTTCCACAAAGCCCACTCCATCCTGCCACCCTTACTCCCTCACTTCCTACACTTATACTGCAGTGCCTAGAGAATTTCCTTGCTCTGTTTGCAAACAGTTCTCTGTCCCTTGCAAACTCAAAGCTACTTGAGACCAAGGACTGTGTCTAGTTCATTTTTGGATCCCTAAGCCCTAGTCCATGCCAGAAACACTGTAAAAACAACCACCACCAAGTTTGTTGAATGATAAATAAGGAGTGGAGAAAAAGTTTTCAAAAACATACTCTTAGGACATAGAGTGATCACTCTATTCACAACAAGTTATCCCAAATAGCTTTTCCACTGCAGTGTTATACAGACTTTGTGTTCTCACTTGCTACAGCTGAGAAACCATGTGTGTCTACCAGTCAGACCGTACTGGTTTTTAGAGAAATTCCAGTTATACAAAACCATGATTCAGTTTCCTCACCACTTTTGTTGACAATGCTTTTAAGTTGTTTTGTTTCGTTTTTTCCCCAGGAGGAAATGGTCCTTTAATGAGTCAGCTGGACATTGTGAGGGTATGAAATGGTCTAAGTCTAACAGTTTCTATTTGTCTTCTTTCATTCATTCATCTAAAATTTATCACAAAGCACCAAGCAAAAAACATAAGGTCCATTCCAAAATTCATTGAGGTTGGCAGTTTCAGGGATCTTTGTCTATTTCATTTCACTTCATTAATTGGACAAGATTACTGACCACTTACTGTGAAACAGACTCCATGAGAAGCAAACAATATGAAGATAAATGAGATGTAGGAACAGCCCTCAAAAAGCTCAAAGTCTGTGGACATACATGGAAATATCATTTCAATGCTATAGGAAAAGAGCTAAAATAGAGGTACTTATGAAGTGGCATGAGAACTCGAAGAAAGATGGACTATGTCAAGGAGGGGACATTCAGGGTAAGTTTCACTCAGGAGAGGACATGTAAACTGAGTATTGAAGAATATAAGGAGTTATCCATGGAGGAAAGGAACAGAGGACATTCCAAGAAGAAAAAAAAAATAAGTACAAAGGTTCTGAGTTGGAAGCAAAGCTGAAATGAGGTGAGAAAACTAAAGCTTAGAGAGGATACGTAACCACACAGCTGGTTAAGTGATAGGACTGAGAGTTGAACCCAAGCTGAAGCTGTTTATGGCAGGGAGTCATATTTCTTGAGAATGCTGAAGCAGATAAAATGTTGAGACCCACTGCTTAGGGACTGACATACAAGTTATAGTTCAGACTACATTCAGCAGACAATGGGGAATCAAGAGAGGTTTTTAAGCAGAGAAGCAACATGGTCCACATTTGGGCTTCAGAAATATAATTCCAGCAGGTGGATTCTTAATGTTGACTACAATTAGAATCACTTGAGAAGCTTTCAAAAATTACAGGCTAGGGAACCAGTATAGAACAATTAAACCAGAATTTCTGGGGGTGGGAATCAGTTTTCTTTTGTTTGTTTGTTTTGAGGCAGGGTCTTGCTCTGTTGCCCAGGCTGGAGTCTAGTGGTGTGACCATGGCTCATTGCAACCTCGACCTCCCAGGCTCAATTGATCTTCCCAGCTCAGCCTCCCTAGTAGCTGGGACTACGGGTACACCACCACACTTGGCTAATTTTTTAAAAATTGTTTGGTAGAAATGGGGTCTCCCTATGTTGCCCAGGCTGGTCTTGAATTCCTGGCCTGAAGCAATCCTCCTGCCTTGGCCTCCCAAAGTGCTGGGATTATAGGTGTGAGCCACTGCACTTGGTCACTTGTTTCATAAGTTCTTCAGAAGATTCTATTGTGTGGTTAGGGTCAAGAACTATTGCTCTAGAAGGAAGAACTGAAAGATGGGAAAGAACTACTATTGCTTAAGAACCTACTATGTGTGAGATTTTGTTCCAAATGCTTTATACAATAACTACAGAATATATATATCTATATATCTATATATCTATCTATCTATATATATATATATAAGGATTTTATACATATCTAGTATTCTGACCCATCTCAACCATTTTGAGCCCTGTGTGGTGAAAAGTTATGCTACTCCTAACCTCAAGGTAGATATTATAATCCTATAATCACTATTTTACCAACAAGGAAACTGAGGCACAGACCAGTGAAATAACTCATTTAAGATTATCAAATTACTAAATGACACAATTGGACTCAAACATTAAGTATTTCTGATGCCCCAAACCTACACTCCTTCCACTACACACCACTGCCTATGAGCCTAGCTTAATCTTCAGAACGATTCCAAAGTAGCTATCATGATCCTCATTTTACAAACAAAGAAATTAGTCCCAGAAAGATTAATGTGACCAAATCACAAATCACAGCTAATAGGTGAAGAGGCTGGGAGAATTTAAACTCAGCCCTATTTAACTCCAAGTCCATGCTTATGAAGGTAAATAATATAGTACATATTCAACACTCAATATAATTCTTCTTTCCTCTGATCGGAAAGCAGCAAGTTGAGTTATTACTATAACACAGAGTATTATTCCTAGTGGCTTCCTCTTCCTTCTTCGGTCCTAGGTGGCTAAACTTCTATTGAACTATCAATCTCAGGTGCTTTTCTTGTTGGAGTGGGGAGGACAGAACTCTGCCATAACCTTCCATGATATTAACCTGGAAAAAGTTTAACCCTGGCCAAATCTAACACTATACACTTCACACCCTTATTTAAGTGGCTGAATCATGCTAATTTGTCTCCTTTTACATTAATTGCCCTGAACCTCAAATGGGCATTTATTGCCCAGAATTATTACCGCCTTTCTTCAGTAAGTTCATTTTCCCACTGTTAGAGAATATTATTTCACACCACTTCTCTTCTCAGCCCTCCAACACACCCTGACAAAATTTCATCCCACCCCCATCTCATAATTCTCCCTTCTCTGTTGCAGCAACAATTTATACCTTTCCACTGGGTCATCCCATATAATTTACAAACATCTCCTAGCACTCATATTTAAAAACATCAAAAACCAAAAGCAAAACCCTCCTTTGAATCCACATCTGGCTATAGCTACCACCCCACTTCTCTGCTATCCTGCTCAGCTAAATCTTTGGAAGAGTGGTTTCATCCATCTCCATTTCACCACCTTCACCAATCATCTCTATTCACCAATGTCCCTGAAACTGACATTATCAGGGGCTCTAGTGACCTCCACGTTGCCAAATGCAGTGATCTTTTCTGTCTTCAGCCTCTCAACAGCCTTTGAAATAGCTGATCACTACCTTCTTAAAACTTCTGTCTGGCTTTGGTGACACCAAATTCCTGGTCTTCCTACCTCACTGCTTGCTTTCTACTTCACTTGCTTCTTCTCAGACTCTTGTTTTACAGGTGTCTCCTCCTCCACCTCATCTCCAAGCATTAGAGTACCATAGGGTCAGTCCTGGGTCCCCTTCTCTTCTCCATTCACACATTTTCTCTAAGTGATCACATTCATGCTCATGCTTTTGGAGATGGGTTTGTTACCACTTACATAGGGATTAGGTTCTAAATCAGCTCATAAAGAAAAAAAAAATCTCATAAAGTTGAATTTTTTTTTAAATTCCCTAAGTCATCCACAAAGTATGGTAGTTGCCATTTCATACATATTAATTTTATATATGGCTATGGCCATATTTATGTGCCAAACTGAAGATCAACACACTAATATTGAGTTTTTCCTCTTATGTTGAAATAGATTAATTTTATTTATTTTTGAGACAAGGTCTCACTCTGTCACCCAGGTTGGAGTGCAGTGGTGCCGTTACAAGTCACTGCAGCTTCAACCTCCCAAGCTCAAGCAATCTTCCTGCCTCAGCCTCCCAAGTGGCTGGGACTATAGGTGTGTGCCACTACACCCAGCTAATGTTTTAATTTTTTGTAGAGATGGAGTTCCGCCATGTTGCCCCGGCTGGTTTCAAACTTCTGAGCTGAAGTAATCTGCCCACCTTGGCCTCCCAAAGTGCTAGGATTACAGGTATAAGCCACTGCGCCTGGCTGAAGATAAATTATTTTTATTGAACAACAGATGAAGTACTTGGGAAGTTCCTATTTTTAAAGAGTAGACACACTTGGGACAGGAAGACCACCCCCCCACCCACTGTAATAGGGAGTAAGGGGCTGAATTCATCTGAGAAACCGCAGATTCACCTCCCCCATCACATGCTCACCTCACACCTGCTTTCCTTGATTGTAAAGGACTCACCCATACAATTTCAAGTATGTTTCATTCTCTTTGGTCAAATACATATAACTGAATTTTTATAAGTTAAATGCTTATATGGTACAACTCCTTTGTATCATTTATATGTTGATGACTTCCAAATTAATTTCTCTAGCCCTAATTTTTGTTCCTGAGCTTCAGATTCAGAACCAACTACCTACTTGGATGTCTCCACTTAAAGTCAACTAGGTAGGCATCTTAACACGTCCAAAACATAACAATTGATTCCATCCTCCGTATCTCACTTGTACCAGAAAGCCCTTCTTCTCTCAGGCTTTCTTAGCTCAGTAAATGGCATGCCATCTACTCAGCCAAAAAACTAGGAGTGATCTTTGATTCCTCCCTTTCTCTCACCTCTGCATAAAATCCGTCAGGTACGTTTAGCTCTACCTCCAAAATACATGCCAGATCTAATCCATTTATCTCTCTCAGCACAGATACCAACCTAGACAAGCCATGATCATCATTCTACTTTGACTAACCTGTTTCCACTCTTAGCTTTTCTATGGTCCATTCTCCAAATAGCCAGTGTAATCCTTTATGAAACATCCACGCATTCATTCACCAAAGTGCACAGAAACTGGGGATACATAACGAAGCAAAGTATATCCCTGTGCTCAGGGACTTACATTCCAGAAGAGGGAGAGGCAATAAGCAGTAAATAATTTCGTACAGATGTAATAAATATAAAAAATTAAATGTGATAAACTAAATCATGTTCTTCTCTCCATAAAAATTTTCAAATAGTTTCCCAAGGTGGAAGTCCAAATTCCTTACTATGACCTTGTTACAAGATTCTGTGAGATCTGGCTTCTGTTTGTCCCTCCAACCTTATCTGTACTACTCTATCAGACTGCAACTTGGCTCTAGTCGCACCGGCATTCTTTCTATTCCCTCAAGGTTCCAATTTTTTTCCCTTCAGCCACGTGTTTCCCCTATCTGGAATGCTGTTCCCAGATCTTGGACAGGTTGCTTCCTCTTAGCTCAAGTTTTCACTTCAACAGAGTGAATTTCACTAAGTCAGCTCCCTCATCATTTTCTCTATCAATTACACCTTTTTGTTTTATAGCACTTATTACTTTACAGAGATTTTGCTTATTTATTTGTTAACAATATCTGTTGTCCCTACTAAAATGTAAGCTTCGTAAGAAGAGGAATCTTAAGATGTTGTTTACTATAGTATCCCTCAAAGTCTAGAACAGTGCCCAACATAAGAGGATACTGATAAATATTTTTTAAAAGAATTTACACACGCCTGTAGTCCCAGCAGTTTGGGAGACCGAGATGGGAGGATCACTTGAGCCCAGGAGTTCGAGGCTGCGATTGCGCCACTGCGCTCCAGCCTGGGCGACAGAGAGAGACCTTGTTTCAAAAAAAAAAAAAAAAGATAAATAATGACGGAGTACACGATAATAAAATAGCCTCGTTTCTCACCCAGCCAGGCTCCGCCTACAGGAGCCAATTATGCTCACGCCCTCTTCCGACGCTGCCCGGGGCCTGGGAAGTAGTCTGCGCAGGCGCCGTAGAACTGTGGCGCTTTCTGGGTAAAGATGGACGTCCACGATCTCTTTCGCCGGCTCGGCGCGGGGGCCAAATTCGACACGAGACGCTTCTCGGCAGACGCAGCTCGATTCCAGGTATTGTGCCCAAGGGACCGAGGGCCGAGTAACTGAGAAGGAGCAGGAGCCCGGGAATGAACCCGCTGCTGGGGGAGGCCGGCGCACATGGACACCCGTGGCCTGGCTCTCGCCACCCTTGGGGTATTTTGCTTCCTTTTGTGTTCGGCTTGCCTGCACGGCTGCTCGGTTCAAGCCTTTTGAATAAGCTCTTTAACTATCCTGTTGTAGACCTAGTTGGGCCTGGCACGGAAACCCTCTTTCCTCCCTCTTATTCAAAGCAAAGTTGGAATCCTCCTTTCAAAAGGAACTTTTTCTCCGAACCTAGAGGAAAGGAATTTCGAAAACAGAAACAACCAAAGATGGAGAAAACAGATTCTCTTACTATAGTCTCCCCAAGTTTGGCTTGGCATGCGTATAGTTGTACTGGGCGTGATTCTTTTTATTGCTTCAACCCCATGGCTTAAGTAACCAATGAGAAGAGCGATTAAGAAATGGGGGCTCTTACCTAGAGAAGTAGTGAGTGATACATCGGGGGAGGTCAATTGGGGCCCAATTCTGGAAAATCTTGAATGTCTACTTTGTTGTTTGGATGTGTATATGCGTGTGACATGTGTTTCTTCTTTCTCTAACTGGTGAGTATGAACTCTGGAGCCAGATTATCTGGGTCTAAATGCTAAGTCTGCCAGTTACTCATTTTTAGACCTACCTCAAGTTACTTAATTTCCGAATGCCTTGGTTTTCTCATTCGTAATACTGCTATTTACCTTATAGAGTTGTAAATATGAAGCAATTTAATATGTATAAACATGCTTAGAAATCTGCTTGACATTTAGTAAGCATATATGTGTTCATTGCTAATATTAATTTGTTACTATTATGAGGTCAGAGAAGGTCTCTTCAGATTCCATTTGTCCAGACACCTGTTAGCTCGACAGATACTTGGTGAAAGGGTAGAAAAGATGAGGAGTCATTGAACAGTCTTGCTTGAATGAAAGCAATGGTATTCTGTCAGTAGGTTTCATTTTACATTTTTTGGGTTTTAGATAGGAAAAAGGAAATATGACTTTGATTCTTCGGAGGTGCTTCAGGGACTGGACTTTTTTGGAAACAAGAAGTCTGTCCCAGGTGTGTGTGGAGCATCACAAACACATCAGAAGCCCCAAAATGGAGAGAAAAAAGAAGAGAGCCTAACTGAAAGGAAGAGGGAGCAGAGCAAGAAAAAAAGGAAGACGATGACTTCAGGTTAGTGTTTGATTTCTGTCATGTTTTTTCTCTTTAATTTTTTTCAGTTATAAAAATAATACAGGCTTATGGCTACAAGTCAGACAATAAGGTCATTTGTCAGCTGATGGCACTCAGGTTGTTTCCAGGTATTTGTCATTAGAAATATTGTTACAGCAAAGGTAATTTTAAGTAAAGATATTTATACATAAATCCTTTTGTACAGGTACTGTTATTTCTGCAGAATACCATCCGAAAAGTAGCATCATATGGTGAAAGGGTATGTACCCTTTCTCTGAAAAATACTACAAAGTGACTTCCCAAGTCCTTGTCAGTGCTGAATATTATTGGTGTTAATTTTTTTGCCAAGCTAATGAATGAAACTTTTTTTTTTTGAGACAGAGTCTCACTCTGTCTCCAGGCTGGAGTGCAGTGGCGCGATCTCGGCTCACTGCAACCTCTGCCTCCTGGGTTCAAGCAATTCTCCTGCCTCAGCCTCCTGAGTAGCTGGGACTACAGGTGCGTGTCACCACGCCTAGCTAATTTTTGTATTTTTAGTAGAGATGGGGTTTCACCATGTTGGCCACGATGGCCTGGATCACTTGACCTCGTGATCCGCCCGCTTTGGCCCCCCAAAGTGCCGGGATTACAGGCCTGAACCACCGCGCCCTGCCTGAAACAATTTTATATTTTACTGATAACTGGTGAGGTCGAGCATTTTTTTTTTTTTGAGATGAGTCTCGCTTTGTTGCCCAGTCTGTGGTGCAGTGGTGCAATCTCGGCTCACTGCAAGCTCCGCCTCCTGGGTTCACGTCATTCTCCTGCCTCAGCCTCCCAAGTACCTGGGACTACAGGTGCCTGCCACCACACCTGGCTAATTTTTTGTATTTTTAGTAGAGACCAGGTTTCATCGTGTTAGCCAGGATGGTCTCGATCTCCTGACCTTGTGATCCACCCTTCCTCCGCCTCCGCCTCCGCCTCCTAAAGTGCTGGGATTACAGGCGTGAGCCACCACACCTGGCTGGTCAAGCATATTTTTGTATGCTTTACTGGACATTAATATTTCACCTTTTGTGAATTGTTTCTTCTTACTCTTTGCCCATTTTGACAGAGGTTTTTGTTTTTTTGTTGTTTGTTTGTTTGCTTTTGAGACAGAGTCTCGCTCTGTTGCCCAGGCTGGAGTGCAATGGCATGTTTTCCGCTCACTGCAACCTCTGCCTCCCAGGTTCAAGTGATTCTTCTGCCTCAGGCTCCTGAGTAGCTGGGACAGGTGTGCCCCACCACGCCTGGCTAATTTTTCTATTTTTTAGTAGAGACGGGGTTTCTCCATGTTGGTCATGCTGGTCTTGAACTCCTGACCTCGTGATCTGCCCGCCTCGACCTCCCAAAGTGCTGGGATTAAAGGTGTGAGCCACCGCGCCTGGCCTTTTTTTTTTTTTTTTTCTTGTACTGTACTCTAGGGCTGTTTATATTTTTTTAATCTATAATATTAAGTTTCCTAGTCATTTACCTTTTTTTGGTAAACACTTGAGTTATACAATGATGAAAAGTAAAGTTCCTTCCTACTGTTTCTCTCCAGTCCCCTGTTTCTCCACACGCAGCTACTGTTAATCAATTTCTTTTGTATTTTTCTGGGGACACTATTCCTATGTATTTATGCCTGACTCAAAAAAAAACAAATACTCCTCATACTTTGTTTATATACTTTGATTATTTTATATACACTCTGTTGGGAACCTCTGCTACTACCTTCCCCTTTTTTAAAAACAATGTATCTTGGAGGTTGTTTGGAATCAGTAGGAAGTACATTGCCTTGTTCATTTTAACACAGCATTGTATCCCATTGTGTGTATTGCATAATTGATTTAACAAGTTCCTGTGTGATGGATAATTATAGTTTGTTTTCACATTTTTGCTGTTGTAGTTTTGCAGTGTCATTCTACTTATCTTTGCATGTATATGTGAGTATATCTGTCCCATAAATTCTTAGAAGTGGAATTGCAGAGTTAACAAATAGATGTATCCACCAGAAACACTGCATCAGTAGGAAGTACTTTGCCTTGTTCATTGTAACACAGCATAGTAGCCCATCATACATTGTAGGGATGCCCCATGATCAATTTGACATGTTACTGTGTGGGCATTTAGTACATTGTTTGCATGCTTTTGCTGTTAAGTGCTGCAGTAAAAGTCATTCTTCCCTGGCTGCAAGGAAGTTTGATAAAACCTTTACCAATAAGAAAGACACGCCACAAACTTAGGAAAAGGATTCAAATTTTGGGCCACCAGAAATATACAGCTATGTACTGTAACCATTGTGGCAACAAATGTATTTAGGCCGTAGATCTATGATAAATGTGTAGGCATGTATCAATTTTTTTTTTTTTTTTGAGACTGAGTCTCACTCTGTGGCTGGGGCTGGAGTGCAGTGGCGCGATCTTGGCACACTGCAAGCTCTGCCTCCTGGGTTCACGCCATTCTGCTGCCTCAGCCTCCCGAGTAGCTGGGACTACAGGTGCCCGACACCACGCCCAGCTAATTTTGTTTTTGTATTTTTATTAGAGACAGGGTTTCACCATGTTAGCCAGTATGGTCTCGATCTCCTGACCTCGTGATTCACCCACCTTGGGCTCCCAAAGTGCTGGGATTACAGATGTGAGCCACCACGCCCAGCCAGGCATGTATCTATTTTTAACTGGAAAATTGAATAGCTTGTGAATTAGTAATGATTTGGGTCATTTAGTACCAACTGTCTCATAAAGGGAACAAAATTTTTTTAAAGTTATTCTACTTTGCGATGCCTTCCAGCAAGGTATGAGACTTTTCTCTTTTTGTAAATTTGTCTCTTCGTGTACGTTGTACCCTTATTGTATTACATTGTTCCCTTATCATATTACGTTCTTCTGTTTCTTCTTAATTTATTAAACCTCATATATTGAGGAAATTAGCTCTATGTCTGCCATATTATGTTTACAAATATGTTTCCAGATTGTCATATGTCACTTGTCTTATTTATTTACTTTTTGGCCTTCTGCGCATTACGTTTTTTTAAAATTCTAGGCTGGGTGCAGTGGCTCACTTCTGTAATCCCAACACTTTGGGAGGCGGAGGCGGGCTGACCACTTGAGGTCGGGAGTTTGAGACCAGCCTGGCCAACATGGTGAAACTCCGTCTCTACTAAAAATATAAAAAAATTAGCCAGATATGGTGGTGCACGCCTGTAATCCCAGCTATTTGGGAGGCTGAGGCAGGAAAATCGCTTGAACCCAGGAGGTGGAGGTTGCAGTGAGCTGAGATCATGCCTCTGCATTCCAGCCTGGGTGACAGAGCAAGACTCTGTCTCAAAAAAAAAAAAAAAAGAAAAAAAACAACTTCCATGTTTTCTTATTTGTAGTTTCAATTTGTTATATTAAAATCTTTGACCCTGTGAAATTTTATTTGGTATAAGGAGTGAATAGGGAACTAAAATTTTTTTCAGATGTCTGAATAATTGTCTTAATAACATAATTGTCTTAATACCATATGTTGGTGTTTTATCTTATGTTGACTAATTGTCTTAATACCATATGTTGATAATCCGTGTTTTCTCTATTGGACTTTAACGCAACTTTAATTGTATACTTATTTTCCATATACATTCAAGTCTGTCTCTGGACCTCTTCTATTCTGTTTCTGTATTTGTACACCAATACTAGCTTGTTTTAAATACTATGGCCTTATATGTTATAAAATCCAGTAGAGTGGAGAGGCATACCAATATTTTAGGCAACTCAATGTTTTCTCCCTACAGTGATCTACAGAATCATTGCAATCCCAATTAGAATTCTAGCAGAATTTTTTTTGTAGAAATTTCTACTAAAGCTTTGGCTAACTTTCTTCAGACACTCTCATAATAAGCAGATACTACTCTTTGGCCTTCCAGAAAGTCAACAAGTGAAGTGCCTTGAGCATCCAAAAAACCTGTTGCTGTTGCCTTTGCTCTTGACTGGTCAACTTTTGCTTTGACTGGACCACTTCCACCTCTTGGTAGCCATTGGTTTAATTGTGCTTTGTCTTTATGATCAAACTGGTAAAACCATGTTTCATCTTCTGTTACAGTTCTTCAAAGAAATGCTTTAGGACCTTGATTCCACTTGTTTAAAATTTCTTTTGAAATCTCTGCTCTTGTCTGCAGCTGATTTGGGAGCAGTGGTTTTGGCACCCATCATATGGAAAATTTGCTCAACTAATTTTTCATTAAGAATTGGTGGGAAGAAGGCTGGGCGTGGTGGCTCATGCTTGTAATCCCAGCACTTTGGGATGCCGAGGTGGGTGGATCACCTGAGGTTAGGAGTTCGAAACCAGCCTGGCCAACATGGTGAAATCCCGTCTCTACTAAAAATACAAAATTAGCCGGGCGTGGTGGCGCATGCCTATAATCTCAGCTACCTGGGAGGCTGAGGCAGGAGAATCGCTTGAACCTGGGAGGCAGAGGTTGCAGTGAGCTGAGATCACGCCATTGCACTCCAGCCTGGGCAACAAGAGTGAAACTCGGTCTCAAAAACAAACAACAAAACAAAGAATTGGTAGGGAGGCCAGGAGCAGTGGCTCACCTATAATGCCAGTGCTTTGGGAAGCTGAGGTAGGAGGATCAGTTGAGGCCAGGAATTTTGAGACCAGCTTGGGCAACATAGCAAGACTCCATCTATACAAAAAATAGGGCCAGGAGCAGTGGCTCATGCCTATAATCCCAGTACTTTGGGAGGCTGAGGTGGGTGGATCACCTGAGGTTAGGAGTTCGAAACCAGCCTGGCCAACATGGTGAAACCCCGTCTCTACTAAAAATACAAAATTAGCCGGACGTGGTGGCGCATGCCTGTAATCTCACCTACCTGGGAGGCTAAGGCAGGAGAATCACTTGAACCTGGGAGGCGGAGGTTGCAGTGAGCCGAAGCCGAGATCACACCACTGCACTCCAGCCTGGGTGACACAGTAAGACTCCAAAAAGAAAAAAAAAAATTAGCTGCACGTGGTAGCACATGTCTGTAGTCCCAACTACTTGGGAGGCTGAGACAGGAGGATTGCTTTAGCCCAAGAGTGTGAGGTTACAGTGAGCTGTGATCATGCCTGTATACTCTAGCCTGGCTGACAGAACAAAACCCTATCTTGAAAAAAATATATATGTGGTGTAAGCCAAACCATATATATATATTTGGGATTACAAGCATGAGCTTGTAATTGGTTATATACACTCAGATGTCTGTGGTGTTGGCTATTGTTTCTGCTGTTAATCAACAGTCCTCTTCAATTAGGGCATGAACAAGATGAATTTTTTCCTTATAAATTGATGCGGGTGGTCTGCTGCTACAGACTTCCATCTTCAATATTATCTTGTTCCTTCTTAAAACAAGTTATCCATTTGTAAACAGGTGATTTCTTTGTCCCCATAAACTTTTCATAAAGCATCAGTGATTTCACTATTCTTCTACCGAAGCTTCACTGTAAATTTGGAGTTTGTTCTTGCTTCAGTTTTAAGCAGAATTCATGTTGCTGTTTTCAAACTGCTGTCTTATCCTTCTTAGTGTCTCAGACTAGATCCAGTTCACCCGTATTGTAACAAGTTGGTATGAGTTTATTTTGGTGCAAAAAATTTTGAAATTTTTGCATAGTTTCTTCATAATACGGATTTTCCATGAACTTTTTGAAGACCCCCTTATATATAGATCAGTGAAACAGAACAGCTAGTCCACAAACCCATGCATATATGGTCAATTAGTTCTCAACAGAGGTAATAAGGTAATTCAGCGGGGAAAAGAAAGTCTTTTCGACAAACGGACTGGATCCATGGGGAAAAAAGTGAACATCAAACCTAACTTTATATTGTAAGCAAAAATTAACTTCAAATGACTCAGACTGAAGTTTTAAAACTATAAAAGTTCCAGAAGAAAACAGGAAAAAAATCTTTGTGGCCTTGAGATATGTCAAAGTTCCTTAGCACAACAACAACAAAATTCTTTAAAAAGAAAAAATTGATATATTGGACTTATCGAAACTAAAAATTTTCATTCTTCAAAAGATAACATTAAGAAAATGAAAAGGCAAGCCACAGATGGGAAAATATTTGCAAAATGTATATCAAAGGACTTGTATCTACTCACTAAAGAAGATAATACACATGGTGATAAGCACATAAAAGATACTCAACATCAGTAGCCATCAGGCAAATTAAAACCACAATACAGTACTACTACATACCCATTAGAATGGCTAAAAATAAAAAAGAGTGACCATACCAAGTATGGGCAAGGATGTACAGAAACAAGCTCTCACAGTGTTGATGGTAAAATGGTACAACCACTTTGGAAAATAGTTTGGGACTTTTTTTTTAAGTTAAACATATATTTACCATATTACCCAGCTATTCCACTTGGAATATTTACCTAAGAGACAGGAAAATATACATCTTCAGGAAGACTTGTACACAAATTTTCATAGCAACATTGCTTATAGCCAAAAGCTGGAAATGACCCAAATGTCCCTCAACAGGTGAATGATGAACTGTACATCCATTACAATGGAATACTACCTAGTAATAAAACGGTAAGTTGTTGATACATGGTGCAACATAGGTGAATTTCAAAACAACTATCTTGAGTGAAAGAAGCCAGACAAAAATTAGTACATATGACATGATTCCGTTTATATAAAATTCCAGAAAAGGCAAACTAGTCTATAGTGGCAGAAATTAGATTGGTGGTTGCCTATGCATGGAGTGATGGATTATAAGGTGTCATGAGGAAATCTGGAGAAGTGATAGAAATAACCTTGAATGTGGTGATAGTTTTTTGGGTGTGTAGATATGTCAAAACTCAGCAAATTAGATACTTTAAATATATGCAGATTATTGTATATATTTATGCCTCAGTGAAGTTGAAAAAATTAAGAAATTAGAACTAGTCTTTGCTAGTTTTAGAACTAATTTAGAAATTAGAACTAGTCTTTGCTTTGTAGAACTAGTCTTTGCTTGTTAAACTTAAAATGTTTTTAGGTTAGGCCAGGCGCGGTGGCTCACACCTGTAATCCCAAAACTTTGGGAGGCTGAGGCGGGCGGATCACGAGGTCAGGAGTTTGAGACCAGCCTGGCCAACGTGGTGAAACCCCGTCTCTACTAAAAATACAAAAATTAGCTGGACATGGTGGCATGCCTCTGTAGTCCCAGCTACTCGGGAGGCTGATAATCACCTGGGAGACAGAGGTTGCAGTGAGCCAAGATCATGCCACTGCACTCCAGCCTGGGTGACAGAGCAAGACTCCATCTCAAAAAAAAAAAAAAATTTAGGTTAGTCTTACATATTTATTCTCCCATACAAATTGTTAAGTCAGCTGATCTAGTCACCAAAACAATTCTGCCATTACTTTTAATTGGCTAGTGTTCTTCATAGATTGAGGGAGAAAGGCTATCTTTATAATACTGAGTAGTTCAAAGTATTGTGTTATGTTCATTGCTATTTATTTATTTAGAGACAGAGTCTTGCTCTGTTGCCGAGGCTGGAGTGCAGTGGCACAATCTTGGCTCACTGCAACCTCCACCTCCTGGCTTCAGGTGATTCTCCTGCCTCAGCCTCCTGAGTAACTAGGATTACAGGCACCTGCCATCATGCCTGGCTAATTTGTGTATTTTTGTAGGGACAGGGTTTCATCATGTTGTCCAGGCTGGTCTTAAACTCCTGACCTCAGGTGATCCACCCACCTTGGCCTCCCAAAGTGCTGGGATTACAGGCATGAGCCACCGCACCTGGCCGTTCATTGCTATTTTAAGTGAGATCTTTCATTATATTTATTTTTTAGTTGTTGGTTGTTTACATATAGAGAACGTGGCTGCCTTATTGAAATTTCTCATTTGGCTGGGCACGGTGGCTCACGCCTGTAATCCCAGCACTGTGAGAGGCCGAGGCGGGCGGATCACTTGAGGTCAGGTGTTTGAGACCAGCCTGGCCAAGATGGTGAAACCTCGTCTCTACTAAAAATACAAAACAAAATTAGCCGGGCATGGTGGCGGATTCCTGTAATCCCAGCTACTTGGGAGGCTGAGGCAGAGAATTTCTTGAACCAGGGAGGCAGCAGTTGCAGTGAGCCGAGATCGCACCACTGCACTTCAGCCTGGGCGACAGAGCAAGACTCTGTCTCAAACAAAAAAAAAAAAAAAAAAAGGAAAGAAATTTATCATTGTTTAAGTTGCTTTTCAATTAATCCCCTGTTGTTTTCAAGTATACTAAGTACACTGCTGAAACAGCCAACAAAGGGAAGATAGTAAGCTTCAGAACTCTGATCATACCAACACAGAACTTGCCTTTTCATTTCCATTTTTATACATCCTATTACTTTCTCTTATCTAGTTGGATCAGCTGTACTTTTTCCTTTTTTAGTGTGAAGGTATGGCTTTCTTGCTACACATACATCCAAGATTAAAACCTTTTTTCTTTTTTTTTTTTTTTGAGACAAGGTTTTTCTCTGTTACCCAGGCTGGAATGCAGTGGCATGATCACAGCTGTCTGCAGCCTCAACCTCCCAGGCTCAAATGATCCTCCCCACTCAGCCTCCTAAGTAGCTGGGACTACAGGCTTGCACCACCACCCACCCTTGACTAATTTTTAATTTTTTTTTGAAGAGACGGGTCCTCACTATGTTGCCTAGACTGTTAAAATCTTTTACTTTTTAAAAATATATTTTAGAAATTGCTTCCCAAGAAGAAGGTGCTACTATACAGTGGATGTCATCTGTAGAAGCAAAGATTGAAGACAAAAAAGTTCAGAGAGAAAGTAAACTAACTTCCGGAAAGTTGGAGAATCTCAGAAAAGAAAAGGTTAGAAAAATATTTTGGGGCCAAAAGTATATATATTTTCTGACCTAGTGACTTATTCGCTGGATTTGGGTTATTCTGTTGTTAATGTGAATATAGTTTTGTTAAGATAGAAGGTTAATTACATTCATTTAGATTTTACTTTAATGAAAACTTAAAGCAAAGTAGGCATTTGTGCTGTGGGTGAACATTTTAAAGTTTAAATTGCTGATACATATATAAAATTCTTGACCTGCTCAAGTTTCAAGATTGATAGTATGTTTAGAATTAAATTTTTAAAATTTCGTAACTGCTTTCGATAAACAAACAAAATTTGGCTCCCTTTCTTCTCTGTTGAGCTCACCGGTTTAGAAGGATTTCCTCTGACACAGATTAGAGGGTTAGAATTCTTAAGAAAGGTATTTTATGACTTGGGAATAAGAGGAGTAGGATATGGAAGAAACAACAAATATACCTTTTTTGTGTCTGCTGTACACCTGCCGTATTCCTGATGGAGAGGTGTATTCAGCTCACTTCAGGGATTACTATGGCAATGCTTCAGTAACCCAGAAACCAGAATTTGGCTGTCTCTGGTCCAGAGAATGGGGAAACAAACCAAATCAACACTACTAGACTCCACTTTTTGGCACTCAGTTTTAATAATCAGAGTTTTAGGGTAAATCATCAAAAAGCAATGATACTTGTATGTTAACCACCATATTAAAATAGTAGATGGGTTCAATGCCTGCCTTCTAAGAAGTTTATTTAAGGTTAGAAGTTATGACTATGACAATAACACATTAATATGAAGAAAGCATAGACATTTTATGAAGGTTTTCTATGAAAGGGCATGAAATGTACCTAATATCTGTGATGTTTTGATTCTTGGATTTAACCAAAAAGTTTCATATGCTGCTAAAGGTTATCCCAGAAACTGTTAATGTTGCTTTATAACATCTGAGAATGTATTTATTTGGCCATATCCATGGTGGCCTCTTTACTTCACTTTTCAGATAAACTTCTTGCGGAATAAACACAAAATTCACGTCCAAGGAACCGATCTTCCTGACCCAATTGCTACATTTCAGCAACTTGACCAGGAATATAAAATCAATTCTCGACTACTTCAGAACATTCTAGATGCAGGTTTCCAAATGCCTACGCCAATCCAAATGCAAGCCATCCCAGTTATGCTGCATGTGAGTATGAAGATCTAGAATGCCTGTAACATTCCTTCCTCTGTGTGTTTGCTCATTCTCTTCCCTCTCTTCTTGAACTCTTTCTTTCCACCTTATCTCCCCTGTTAAAATCCTTCACTTCCTTTTAAGGTTCATCAAATGCCTGTGCCTCCATAAAAGTTGTCTTGATCACTCCATCTAGATGTGATCTTCTTCCTTTTCTAGTACCCTTTCCCCCACACTGCAGTTCTTCCATGGTATTTGGTGTGTTCTTTTCCTTGCAACATTTATTTTACATTTTAAACTACTTTGTATTCGCACCAATCATATTTATCTTTTTCATTTTACTAGTGTGTAACCCCTTGGAGAATGGGGATTATGTTCTATTCATTCATACATTCATTATTTAGTTTATAATGCCCAGGAACTACTCCAGAAATACAAATGCTTTCTAAAGTTCTTGTACATAAACTGACTTATTTTTCCGAATACTTTTTATTATTAAAGTATACTTTACATACAATAAAATGCATAGATTTTTAAGTGCCCAGTTTAGTGAGTTTCAGCAATGCATGCCCTGTGTAACCACTATTCCAGTGAAGATAGAGAACATATGTATTACCCCAGACAATTTTCTTGTGCCCTTTCCATTCAGTCCTCACCCTGCCCCTGCTCAGAGGCAACTGCTATTCTGATTTCTACTGCTGTATATTCCTTTTGCCTCTTCTAGAGTTTTATATGAGTGGAATCACACATTAATCTTTTATTTCTGGTTTCTTTCACTTTGCGTAATGCTTTGAGATTCTTCTGTATTACATAGAGCAATAGTTTGTTACCAAGTAGTATTATGTTGTATGAATATACCACAATTTGTTATCCAGTCACTTGTTGATAGAGGTATGGATTAACTTAGGTTTTCGGACGTTAAGTTTTTCTGAGGTTTGTTTCTGTAGCAATAAGAGTTGGGTTTTTTCCCCATGTAACCGAGATGGCCTTCAGTTCTGGTTTCCAAAGGATGTAAGATACCTTTTCATCTCTATACTAGTCCTTTTCATTTTCTTTGAGAGATGAAATGAGAATACATTCATACATTTAAATGATGCTGTTGACTTATGTTATAGTAAATTTGCTTTTAATTTTTGTTTAAGATTGTTTCTGTCATGGCTTTAGCTTAAAGCTTAAAAAATCACAGTGGGCCAGGTGCGGTGGCTCACGCCTCTAATCCCAGCACTTTGGGAGACCGAGGCGGGCAGATAACGAGGTCAGGAGTTCAAGACCAGCCTGGCCAATATGGTGAAACCCTGTCTCTACTAAAAATACAAAAACTAGCTGGGCATGGTGGCGTGTGCCTGTAATCCCAGCTACTCGGGAGGCCAAGGCAGAAGAACCACTTGAACCCGGGAGGCGGAGGTTGCAGTGAGCCGAGATCTCGCCACTGCACTCCAGCCTGGGTGACAGAGTGAGACTCTGTGTCAAAAAAAAAACAAAAAAAAACACAGTGAGTTTTTGAAAATTGTCTCCTGTAAATTACTCTGCCCTCAGGTCATTGCCATTTTTTATTTCTTCAGCCATTTTGTTGTTCAATAAAACCTTCCCTAGTGATTGAACAATACAGATACCAGGACAAAAAGTTGGTTTTATAATTTTATTTTGACAATAGTTTAGTGGAAAAGAAAAATTGAAATAATGGATATAACTTAGGTTATGGATTATCTTTGGGTTTTAGTTACCCGTATTCTTTACACTCATTCAAAGGGAATTTAAGGGCAATGCTCAGAAACTTTGTTGGGGTGATGGTGGCATGGATGGATGATGTTAGGAAAGCAGATATGACTTGAAAGATTAGATTCATTATGTAAAATTGTATTTGTTTTTTTCTATGGCTGGTAGCGTTATTTGACCAGGCTCTGAAAAATTTATGTACTTTCTTTGTAGTATTTAATATACCCTATGTTTTTAGGGTCGGGAACTTCTGGCTTCTGCTCCAACTGGATCTGGAAAAACATTAGCTTTTAGCATTCCTATTTTAATGCAGCTGAAACAACCCGCAAATAAAGGCTTCAGAGCCCTGATTATATCACCAACACGAGAACTTGCCAGCCAGGTATGACTTGTAGCTTTTGAAGAGTATGCGATTGGTTTTTACTTCAGTGATCTTTCTTATTTGAAGGTAATAAAAAGATCTTAAAAAGCAAGGCCCACGTCTTCTGTCATGGTCAAGTATCCTCTACACAGCACAGTGCTCCGGATCTTACTCCATGTGGGCAAGTCTTTTAAGTCTTTCTGTAAGTTTCTAAAACACAGTGATTTTAATATTTACACTTCTTTGGTAAATGCTTTAAGGTCTTTGAAGTTGAAAGGCTAATTAAATATAGCCCTGCTTGGACATTTATTTTTCTCATCTAAAAAAAATGAATACTCATCTTAGTTTTGGTTTTTATTTATTTATTTGTTTGTTTTTTAGCCACAGATTCTTACTCTGTTACCCAGGCTGGCATGCAGTGGTGTGATCATGGCTTACTGCAACCTCGAACTCCTGGCCTCAAGAGTTCTCCCTCTTCAGCCTCTTGAGTAACTGGGACTACAGGCACATGCCACTGCGCCTGGTTAATTTTTTTCTTTTTGTAGAAACAAGGTCTCCCTATGTTACCCAGGCTGGTCTTGAACTCCTGGGTTCAAGTGATCCTCCCACCTTGGCCTGCCAAAGTACAGGGCTTACAGGCATGAGTCATTATGCCTGACTCATCTCAGTTTGTTTTTTTTAGAAGGGAAAAGTATACAGTGATCTGTTCTACCCTCCCAATGTGCTTAATATGAAACACATATCAAGTATGAAATAGTCTTGTAATAGTACTATGTGTGTGTGTGTGTGTGTGTGTGTGTGTGTGTGTATTTTTTCTTGGGACAGTCATGCTCTGTGGACCAGGCTGGAGTGCAGCGGCGCCATCTCGGCTCACTGCAACCTCTGCCTCCCAGGTTCAAGTGATTCTCCTGCCTCAGCCTCCCAAGTAACTGAGATTACAGGTGCGCACCATCACACCTGGCTAATTGTTTTTGTGTTTTTAGTAGAGATGGGGTTTTACCACGTTGGCCAGGCTGGTCTGGAACTCCTGGCCTCAAGTGATCCACCCACCTTGGCCTCCCAAAGCGCTGGGATTACAGGTGTGAGCCCCCACACCCGGCCAGTAGTACTGTATTCTGAAAACAATACAAAATAGGTTAGTTTTATCTCTGGGAACTAGTTTATTCCACCTGAAGAAATTATTGAATCTTATTAGGCATTGAAGTTTCAAAATGCTGAGATTTCAGGTTAATCTACAGATTGTTATGAGTTTAATTTCAGATATTCATGGGTTGGTAATAGATTTATTTCATTAATCATGTAAAAGAGTATACATCTTGTCCAAGTATGTTAGCAGCTAATGTTTTTAATCTTTTTTTTTTTAGATTCACAGAGAGTTAATAAAAATTTCTGAGGGAACAGGATTCAGGATACACATGATCCACAAAGCAGCAGTGGCAGCCAAGAAATTTGGACCTAAATCATCTAAAAAGTTTGGTAAGGAATTCATACATGGGATGTAGATAGAGCATGTAAGGAATCTGGAAATTATAAATATCCTAATTGCTATGTAAGTGTTGTTAAAGTATAGTCATGTATGTATAAAATTTGAATTTTAGAAGAACTAAAGCGATCCCCTTCTCACTCTACTGAGAAGTTATACATAAATATATACCAGTAGTTCTCAAATAGAGACAATCTTGCCCCCCACCTTTCACCACAGGGACATTTGGCAATAATTTGGAGACATTTGTAGTTGTCACAACTGGGGAGAAGTGCTACTAGCCTGTAGTTACTAGCCTATAGCCAAGGATGTTGTTAAACATTCTGCGGTGCACAGGACAGTCCCCTGCAACGAACACTTAGTGGCCCAAAGTGGTAACAGTGCTGAGGCTAAAAAATTCTGATTTATACCATTGATTTTTAATCTGCCATGGAAATACTCTGGCAGACAGGAATGGCATGCATAGCTGGGTGCAGTGGCTCACACCTGTAATCTTCTCCATACCTATAGCTATGGAGAAGCTGAGGTGGGAGGATTGCTTGAGGCCAGGAGTTTGGGACCAGCCTTGGCAACATAGCGAGACTCCATCTCTAAAAGAAATTTTTTAAATAAAAAAAAATTAGCCAGGCATGGTGGTGCATGCCTGTAGTCCTAGCTACTTGGGAGTCTGAGGTGGGAAGATCACTTGAGCGCAGGAGTTCAAGGCTGCCATGAGCTATGATTGCACCACTGTACTCCAGCCTGAGCAACAGAGTGAGACTCCATCTTAAAAAAAACAAAAAGAACGGCTTACATCCTCACCCTTATATCAGCCAGAGAATCTGCTTTCATTTTTTTTTTTTCTTTTTGTTTTTTGACATTGTCCACTTGGAGATAAGCTTTCATCTGTTTTGTTTTGTTTAAATCTTGGGCCTCTGCATAAAATTCCATGTAAAAAAAATGATTTTCCTGGGGGAAAAAAAGATTTGAAAATTAAATTGTTCTTTCCTCTTAGAAATTGAGAAGAGGCTGGGTATTGTGGCTCATGCCTGTAATCCGGCATTTTGGGAGGCTGAGGCAGGGAGATTGCTTGAGCCCAGGAATTCGAGACCAGCCTGGACAGCATAGGGAGACCCTGTTTCTACAAAAATAAAAGTAAAAAAAAAATTTACCATCTCTACTAAAAATACAAAAAATTAGCCGGGCGTGGTGGCGGGCGCCTGTAGTCCCAGCTAGTGGTAGTCCCAGCTACTCGGGAGTGAGAATGGCGTGAACCCGGGAGGCAGAGCTTGCAGTGAGCCGAGGTTGTGCCACTGCACTCCAGCCTGGGCGACAGAGCTAGACTGTCTCAAAAAAATAATAGTAATAAATAAAAATTAGCCAGGTGCAGTGGCATGTGCCTGTAGTCCCAGCTACTCAGAATGCTGATGCCAGAAGATCTCTTGAGCCCAAGAGTTTGAAGTTGCATGCAGTGAGCTATGATCACACATTGTACTCCATCCAGGCTGGGTGACAGAGCAAGACCCTGTCTCAAAAAGAAAGAGAAAGCTGCTCAGATATATTAAAAGGAAAGTAGGGATATAATAGTTTTGTGTTGTTGGCTATGACTACTTCCCACTTCAGGTTATTAACTGAAGTTGAGGAGGCTTAATTCCTAGTTCAAGAGGGATAAATCCTGTTTTTGCAATTTCTACCATTTGTTTTTCCTATAGATATTCTTGTGACTACTCCAAATCGACTAATCTATTTATTAAAGCAAGATCCCCCCGGAATCGACCTAGCAAGGTATAGATGATATTTTCATGTCTTTCGTGTGTATTTTTAATTTAGTTAATTATATTTTGTCCTCTATTGCTTGTATTTTTTGTCTTTGGAGCTTGCTGTTTGCCACCTTCAGTCAGTGTTGGCACTGAGAATAATGGTTTTTTAAAAAAATTCATAGAAAAGAAATGGAACCTCGTATCTTTGAGGCTATTGGAATAGGTACATTAAGCTATGTTTATCTTCCTTTTACCTTTTTCCTGCTGTGTTAGTCCGTTTTCATGCTGCTCTAAACAGCTACCTGAGACTGGGTAATTTATAAAGAACGGAAGGTTTAATTGACCCACAAGTCAGGGCATGACTGGGGAGGCCTTAGGAAACTTACGGTCATGGCAGAAGGGGAAGCAAGACATATCTTACATGGTGGCAGATGGGGAAGAGAGAGAGAGAGTGCCCCCATGAGCCGGTCACCTCCCACCAGGTCCCTCCCTCAACACGTGAGGATTACAATTCGAGATGAGATTTGGGTGGGGATACACAGCCAAACCATGACACCTGCTTGTGTTTCTTATTTTTTTTTTTTGGTATGATAAAGTGGATCTGAGAAGCAGCATTATAGTTTGACTTCCTCATGTGTCCACTGTCCCCACAGTTTAGTGAAGTGTCTTGGATCTTTCAGTTCAGTATCCACAAGTTGTTTTGTTATTTCTTAGTGTTGAGTGGCTTGTAGTAGACGAATCAGATAAACTGTTTGAAGATGGCAAAACTGGGTTCAGAGACCAGCTGGCTTCCATTTTCCTGGCCTGCACATCCCACAAGGTCCGAAGAGCTATGTTCAGTGCAACTTTTGCATATGATGTTGAACAGTGGTGCAAACTCAACCTGGACAATGTCATCAGTGTGTCCATTGGAGCAAGGTATTTAATTGTTTCTCAACATTATCACACTGATTTTTTTTTTAAATACAAGTCTTTTTTAAAGACTGAAGGAGATAGGTTTCTTGGCCTGAGACTAGCAAGGGAGAGAGTTTTACTGATTGAAATGTGTTCTTTTAAGCCAAGATTGTTTAAGGATTTTCTATTTTAGAGTAATCTAAAAGAAGGTTTTTACATTGTCATATTAACATTCCTGTCATCATGCTTTTAGGTGTTTTTTTCCATCCACAGAGTATAACATGAGCTCTGTGGCCACCTAGAAGATTTAGTTTCTTTGATGGCTTAAATAAGTGGACCACAGAGGAAGAACCTGATGTCACTGAGCCACTTGATATATATTTCCTTTTAAAAAATATTTTGGGGAGCATTTTATGCTAAATAAATGCTCAGTGACAGAAAAAAGTTTAAAGAAATTATGATACTGCTACCTGATGGATTATTATGTAACCCCTGAAATGATGTAGGAAGACTGTAGCTATATGAAAAAGTGTTTGTAGTACCATATTAAGTGAAAAAGTAGCCAATGGAACAGTAAAGAATACCCTATTTTAAACCTAAAATTCCTGTTTATAAGAAGAAAGCAAGGTTGGGTACGGTGCCTCACACCTGTAATCACAGCACTTTGGGAGGCAGAGGCAGGTAGATCGCCTGAGGTCAGGAGTTCGAGACCAGCCTGACCAACATGGCGAAACCCCATCTCTTCCAAAAATACAAAAATGGGTGTGTGCCTGTAATCCCAGCTACTTGGGAGGCTGAGGCAGGAGTATTGCTTGAGCTTGGGAGGTGGAGGTTGCAGTGGGCCAAGATCGCCCCACTGCACTCCAGCCTGGGTGACAGAGTGAGATTCCATCTTGAAAAACAAAAAAAACAGGAAAGCAGAATGAATTCACCATAAACATAATTTCAATGGGAAATTAAACATATTTAAATATGGTTAATGTATATTTAAATATATTTAGATAAAAATAATTAAATGGGAAAAATATTTATGATACAACACAGTACATTGTAACATCTTACAGAGTATTAATAAAGTCTTAATATATCTCACCCCTAACTGTTGGTCTATAAATAAATCTTTGCTAATCATTATGAAAAATGTTTAACCATGTGTAATAACAACCTTAAAAATATTTTTATTATTTTACTCAATAATTTTACAGTTAGAAATTTTTTATAACTAATCAAATACCTGAAAATTTATGACTGAAACATAAGTTTTAATGGGTGGCATTTCAAGATATTTTTAAAATTAGAAGAAAGCATTTAAAAATAACAATTTTGTCTTCAAGTTAAAGTATAAATAATTCAGTACTTATTAATATTGACAGTGGAAAAATTGATTTTGTTGGAGTTGTGTGTAAATTTTTTCATTTATTTAGAGTTCAGGGGAAAAAGCAAAAATTAACTCTTACAAACTACAAGGTATATTTTCTTCCCAGGAATTCTGCAGTAGAAACTGTAGAACAAGAGCTTCTCTTTGTTGGATCTGAGACCGGAAAACTTCTGGCCATGAGAGAACTTGTTAAAAAGGTATATTTGTATTACCTTCTTGAATTTTGGTAAAGTTTGCCAAGTCTTATATTACTAGTGGGAGGCTATTACAGTGGTAGCACTGTATCATCATCATCTTGGCTCGTATTCAGTAATCCATTGGTAAATTGATAAGAAAGTACATTGTGCTAACTATATGATCATCCTGCATCGTATTTAGTAATCTAGGAGTAAATGGTTAAGAAGCGTGTTGTCCCAGCTCTTATCCCAAGGGACAGAAGCTTGCCTCTCAGAATATGGTAAGTTGTCTTTTCGCAGCTCAGATTAGGCTAGGAAACGATCTATCTGATGCCCTGAGAATCTCATTTTTCCACATTTGCCTGCTCCATCCCTCCTCTGGTTTCTTATAGAAGAACTGGGGTGTTGTAGGACACTGAGTGGGGTTTTCTGTTTTTATCCTTTCAGTAAGAACTGAGTAGAAGCCATAGTTAAAAAGTACTGAGGTGTCAGCACTGGACAATACAAGAAATCTCCTAAGCCCTGCCCCTGGAATTTAGTCTTGTTTAGAGGGATAAAATAAATACACTTGTGTAAGATAGTCTCTGATAAAGTGTCATAAAGGGCTAAAGAGTACTTTTTTAAGCATCCATATAGTCATAATGGGGCCACCAGGGTGAGCCAAATTGGTTGAGCCTTATAGAAGAAATGCTACTAAACTGATCCTTGAAGGATTTTCAGGATAAAACGTGGAGGGGAAGAGCATTGACGGCTGGGGGAGCAGCTTGAGTAAACCCTTAAGAGGTGGAAGTGAACACCATGTGTTTGAAGACTAATGAAGCAGTTACCTGTCTAAGGCAAACAGTTTATGGTATGGAATTAAAGAAAACCAGGTGGGACAGGAAAGCTGGGGTCAGGATATTTTTGAAGAATGTGACTACATAATTTTGTTTTTGTTTTTGAGATGGAGTCTCGCTCTTTCACCCAGGCTGGAGTGCGGTGGCGTCATCTTGGCTCACTGCAAGCTCTGCCTCCTGGGTTCACGCCATTCTCCTACCTCAGTCTCCCGAGTACCTGGGACTACAGGTGCCTGCCACCATGCCCGGCTAATTGTGACTACATAATTTTTAAGGAAAATTAGTTAAACAGTAATATGTAAGGTGAATTGTAATGGGAAAGATGGAAAGTAAGGAAACCAATCAGGCTTTTAAACTGGGGTAGGCAGAGATGAGGAAGAAATAAGGGCAGCAGCCTTAGTGGTGAGACATTAAGTATAGTTGGAGGCTAGAAGGGAAAAGTTTGCAAGTACCTGGTGACTATAGAATGGTTTGCTTTAGTGGTTAAGACCATGGACTCAGGAGCCAGGCTACTTGGGTAGTTCTAGCTCCACCACTATAGCTTTACACAACTTAACCTCTCTTCCACATTTTCCTTGTCTGTAAAATGGGATAATAATATCTACCTCATAGAGCTGTTTTACTATTAATTCATTAGTACAAGCATAGTACTTATTATATAATAGTGCTTGGCACATAGTAAATGCTAAATGTATTTTATTAATATTCTTAAGAGAATCATTTGGTACTAGGAAATTTAAGGTTTTCCAGGATATTCCTTGGAGATTATACACCAGAGGTTTTCAGCCATGTTTGAGCTTTGGGAGGTCTGCAAACCCTCTAAAATTATACGTAAGATTTTTGTGTGAATGAGTAGTTACTTATTAGAAAGTTTCTTAGCTTTCATTAGATTCCAAAAGAGATGTTTAAGCCATCATAAAAAGGCTAAGAAACTCGGCCAGGCGTGGTGGCTCACCGGTGTAATCCCAGCACTTTGGGAGGCCGAAGCGGGCGGATCATCAGGTCAGCAGTTCGAGACCAGCCTGACCAACATGGTGAAACCCCATCTCTACTAAAAATACAAAAAAGTTAGCCAGGCGTGGTGGTGCACACCTGTAATCCCAGCTACTCAGGAGGCTGAGGCAGGAGAATCGCTTGAACCTGGGAGGCAGAGGTTGCAGTGAGCCAAGATTGCACCACTGTATTCCAGCCTGGGCAACATAGCAAGACTCTGTCTCAAAAAAAAAAGAAAAAAAAAGGCTAAGAAACTCTAATATGAACAGTTAAAAAGATAGCTGGTTTGAGAGAGAGTAAGGGTTTGATAGTGTAAATGTAAAAATAATTTGTTTAGATTCACAGACATCAGATGTAGTAAAAAAAAAAATGTTTACTTAGAGATAGTAGTAGAGATTCAACTCAGTAAAATAAAGATTATATTGAAAGAACTGAGAACCAAGGACTAAGCTTGGGGAGAGCACCAGAGTTAGGATAAATAATGAGTTAATGAGGGATGAAGTACCACCTGTGGGGTTCAGTGTACACCATTGGGGTGATGGGTACACTAAAAGCCCAGATTTCCCCAGTATGCAATATATCTGTGTAACACAAATGCACCTGTACCCCTAAATCCATAAGAATAAAAAAATTAATTTCACCCCAAAAAACCCAATGAATTAAAAAGATAATTATTTCATTTTAAGCAGAATAAAAAAAGGTTTTGAGGCACAGAAGTCAAGAGATGATTATTTCAAAGTTGAGGCATCTGTTACCATAGTGGGGTGTAGGGGGATTGATTAGACAACATTATTGGAATTAGCAAGATGGAGAATATATTTCAAGTTGAGTGGAAATAACCAATTGGAGAGAATGGTGACGAAGATGGAGGCAGAATTAGACCACTAGCCCAAGAAATTTGGCCAAGAAAGTACACTAAATTGAATTGGGTTCTTAAAAGCTACAATCAAATTATGAAATAATGACCAATTGTATTCTTGATTGAGTTATGTATGCCAATTTTTGTCTTCTTTTAGGGTTTCAATCCACCTGTTCTTGTTTTTGTTCAGTCCATTGAAAGGGCTAAAGAACTTTTTCATGAGCTCATATATGAAGGTATTAATGTGGATGTTATTCATGCAGAGAGAACACAACAACAGGTAAAGTCAAATATATACTTTGAAACTCAGAAGAACTACTTGATTTTAAACTATTGACATTAAATTTATGAAGTACCTGTTTTCATTCTAAAACAATTTAATATATATTCTGTTAACCAGAGAGATAACACAGTCCACAGTTTCAGAGCAGGAAAAATCTGGGTTCTGATTTGTACAGCCTTGCTAGCAAGAGGGATTGATTTTAAAGGTGTGAACTTGGTGATCAACTATGACTTTCCAACTAGCTCAGTGGAATATATCCACAGGATAGGTGAGTTGTCTTTTTTTTCCTTCCCCTCTGTCACCCACTGATCTGTCTTAGGACCCCTGCTATTCCCTGCACATATGCTCACTTCTTAGTGCTGTGAAAATCCAGTGACTTTTATAAATGAATTTTGAGAGCCTCCTTCCCCCCAAAATGTGTTTTTTAATGGTCTAATTTTTCTTAGGTCGAACTGGAAGAGCAGGGAATAAGGGAAAAGCAATTACATTTTTCACTGAGGATGATAAGCCATTATTAAGAAGGTAAATTAGAAAAAATAACCTAGTGTTATTGGCAAAATTGCTTCATTATTCTTATATGTATATTCAATTAAGAGATAATTACAAAATGGCTATGTCCCAAATTCTACTGATAATGGTGTTAGTTGACCAAATTTTAGCCATGGGAAAGGAAAAATGATCAAAAGGCCTTGTTTTTGCCCTTCCGTTATTAGAATTTGGAAATACATATTCAAAATGGAATGTTCATTGTAAGTTTCAGACTCAGGACTCTTTCAATGGTTGATGTTAGATTTTAATGTAGAAGATGAGTTTCCTGCATTTTGACTGCCTATAGTAATTTTTGGTTGATGATGATTAACACTTCACATTTCTAGCTAATCTAGTTTTGGCCAAAGGAGGTTTGTACTTAGATCTGTTTATCAGTTTTGGTAAATATTTTGGTTGTGCTTTCTGAGCTTTGGCTCTGCCACCTGTCAGCCTTTATATCGCTTTAAGCAGATTCAAATGTGCGTGTGTAGAGGGGTATATTCCAACAACCTAGATCCACCATAGGCCTCAGCAACTCCAAGCATGTGAATCCCATGACCCAAATATTAGTGTAAAACTATGCACCTCAGTTTTCCATCTGTGAAATGAGGACAGTGATAGTATTTACAACACAGGCTTGTTGTGAAGAGTGAAGAAGTTACTATACACAAAAAACTTGGCAACGGTGCCAACCCCATAGTAGGCACTTTCACTTAATGAATTTAAGCTTGACTCTGGCTTCAGTCAGTGCTTCCTCCAAGATTGAGTTTACCAGTTTTGTAGGGCTTGATAAATGTTGAAATAGCTGCTATCTATAGTTATTCATCAGTGCATTAATTTCAGCCCAGTGGATAGTTCTCTCTGTAATCCAATGTGCTTACATCAGGTAATAATTGATAATATATCAGAACACTTTGTGGATTACTTTGTGTAGTTTTAGTTCCCTGTAAGGTTGTGCAGAGGGTTTACATTCATAAACATCAATTTAGCAAAGATACAAGTTTATGTTTATGGGTTTCTTTTTCAGCGTTGCTAATGTTATACAGCAGGCTGGGTGTCCTGTACCAGAATACATAAAAGGTTTTCAGAAACTACTAAGGTACAATCTTGAATTTACCTGTATCTTTGTCTGTCTCTTTGTATATACATTCTTTTTTTTTTTTTTCTTGCTCTGTTGCCCAGACTGCAGTGCAGTGGCATGATCACAGCTCACTGTAGTCTTGATCTCCTAGGCTCAAGTGATCCTCCTGCCTCAGTCCCCTAAGTAGCTGAGACTACAGGCATGTACTACCATGCCTGGCTATAATATTTTTTAGATTTTTGGGGAGTAGAAATGGGGTCTTGCTGTGTTAACCAGGCTAGTCTTGAACTCCTGGCCTCAAGTGATCTTGCTATCTTATATCCTTGCCTCCCGAAGTACTAGGATTACAGGCTTGTGTCACTGTGCCCAGTCCAAAACTGCTTGTGAATATTACATGTTATTTCCTTGCCAGTTTTTTATCCTTTATTTATTTATTTTTTTCCTTGAGATGAAGTCTCAGCTCATTGCAACCTCTGCCTCCCAGGTTTAAGCAGTTCTCCTGCTTCAGCCTCTCAAGTGGCTGGAATTACAGGTGTGCGCCACCATGCCCAGCTAATCTTTGTATTTTTAGTAGAGATGGGGTTTCACCATGTTGGCCAGGCTGGTCTCAAACTCCTGACCTCAAGTGATCTGCCCACCTGGGCCTCCCAAAGTGCTGGGATTATAGGCATGAGCTACTGCACCTAGGCTTATCCTTGAAATGTGAAGTATTCAGATTCTTTTAAAAGTATTCAGTATAAGTAAAATATGCTGAGAATTATTTTAGTTCATAAAGCTGGTAAAAAACTTAATTGATCAAAATCAAACTCTGATGCTTGTTGACACAGGATATAAGGTTGGCACAGGACATATTTTAATCACAGTCAGTAGCTTTCTAAAAGGTTGATTGAATTTATCATCCCTTTGAGTTAGCTCTGTAAATCCTATTAGGCGATCTCGTTTATTAAAGTAGTTACAGCCCCACCTTAAACCAGTAAATGGTTTTGTAAAATGAATTTTGTGGCTGAGCGTGGTAGCTCACGCCTGTAATCCCAGCACTTTGGGAGGCCGAGGCGGGCGGGACCTGAGGTCGGGAGTTTGAGACCAGCCTGACCAACATGGAGAAACCCCATCTCTACTTAAAATACAAAAAAAAATTTAGCCGGGCGTGGTGGTGTATGTCTGTAATCACAGCTACTTGGGAAGCTGAGGCAGGAGAATCGCCTGAACCCAGGAGGCAGAGGTTGCAGTGAGCCGAGATTGTGCCATTGCACTCCAGCCTGGGCAACAAGAGCAAAACTCCGTCTCAAAGGAAAAAAAAAAAATGAATTTTGTGATCAAGGATCAAAACTAATTTTAGCTTTAACTCTTCTAATTGAAGTTGCACTTAATTCTTTTCCTTTTTTACTTTGTAACTTTCAGCAAACAAAAGAAAAAGATGATTAAGAAACCATTGGAAAGGGAGAGCATTAGTACAACTCCAAAATGTTTCTTAGAAAAAGCTAAGGATAAACAGTAAGTATGTGGTAAGAAAAATGGCTGTTTGACACCATCATAAAGTTATAGTAGGCATTATTTTTCCTTAGGTAAATTTTTAGAAGTAGAATTGATACTACAGTCTGTTATAAAACGTTATAAAAATAATATATTTTAGGTTGCCTATAATTGGGAAATTTGTTTGTTTGTTTTTTTGAGACAGTGTTTTGCACTGTCGCCCAGGCTGGAGTGCAGTGGCGTGATCTCAGCTCACTGCAACCTCTGCCTCCCGGGTTCAAGCCATTCTACTGCTTCATCATCCCAAATAGCTGGGATTACAGGCTCCCGCCACCACACCCAGCTATTTTTTTTTTGTATTTTTATTAGACACGGAGTTTCACCATGTTGGCCAGGCTGAGCTCAGGTGATCCACCTGCCTTAGCCTTCCAAAGTGCTGGGATTACAGGCGTGAGCCACCATGCCCAGCCAGGAATTTGTTTTAATATTGGAATTTTTCTGTACCAATATGTTGATGATCTGTTTTTTTCCGTCTTGGAAAATATTATTTCAATTCTCTATAAATTCGAATTATACTGCCCACCTTCTCTACACAGCCCACATTAGGACATGCTACTAAGGCCAATAGTTAGGACCATTGACTTACATGGATCTAGTCTTCTTTGAAGCTCCATATTCTGGGCAGGATTTCAATATGATCTCAGGCTTACGCAGATGCACATTGTAACACCTGTAAGAAGTATTACTTAGGTAAATTTGTGCTAGCTTAGCTGAGTTTTATGAGAATATTAAAGTATAGTTTTTTAGCATTCATACAGGCTACCTTATTTTGCCCAGTAATACTAGGAAGCTTTATATTTTGAAAAGGATAGGCCAAGATATTTTGAACAGTTATACTCTATCCACTATTTAAGGAAAATGGCACTCTTCACATTCTACCAGAACCAGGTTATTATATACTCTAATAGAATTGTTCAAGTCTATAATTTATTGTTTTTTTCTCCCCTGAGAGTGCTATCAATGGCCTAGGATATTACCATTGTGAAATATGCTAATGCTTATATCCAGTTATCTCACATCTGTTCTATAGAAGTCATTAGAAAAAAACTGTTTCCATCAACCAGTAGGCATTTACCAAGTTGTTCTGCAAGGTACTTGGTGGTGGTAGTGTATACAAATGAATATAAAATGAGATCCTTTCCTGAAGTTAGGTAAAGAAGATTCGTGTACATGACAGAAAATTAGAGACTGGCTTTTAAATAAAATAGGAGATAAGAGAAAGATGATTGTGAATTGGTGTGGTTACAGAAGTTTCAACAAAGTAGAACTATCTTTAAGGATAGGTAAAATTTAGGCATGGAGAAGGGAACAAGATGAATAGAGGCATGAAAATTAGAGTGTGCTTTGTAAATAAGTGAACAAGAGTTTTCACATGTTGGTATTGTCTATGAGGAATAAAAGTCGGTTCAAATATACAGTGTATATATAGTGTCTCAAAATTTTATCATACTTTTAATAACTTGGGAAGGATAAGTGCTACAAACTGAAAAAAGTATATTTGAATAGTCAATCAATCAATAAGTACAAATTCCATTTGTACTTATTCAGTTTTGGGAATGCTTCACAATCACATTTACTTTTTTTTTTTTTGAGATGGAGTCTTGCTCTGCCACCCTGTCGCCCAGGCTGGAGTGCAGTGTCGCAATCTCGGCTCACTGCAACCTCCACCTCCCAGGTTCAAGTGATTCTCGTGCCTCAGCCTCCTGGGTAGCTGGGATTACAGGCACCCGCCACCATGCCTGGCTAATTTTTTTGTATTTTTACTAGAGATGGGGTTTCACCATGTTGGCCAAGATGGTCTCGAACTCTCAAACTCCTGGCCTCATGTGATCTCCCACCTCGGCCTCCCAAAGTGCTGGGATTACAAGTGTGAGCCACTGCACCTGGCCAACATTTTTAAATTTTAATTTTCTGTCGCAACAGTTTCTGGGTGACACTTAGACCAGTGGATTGGTAGCGAACCTTGTTATGCTTGGCCACTTTGGTCACCTAATCTGTCTTAATAGACTTGTTGGTAGGAGAGGAGTGGGTCACATCAGAACTGTTGTGTATGTGTTACTCTTTGGATGGTCTTAAAGCCAAGATAACAAATGCAGTCCTTTCAGGCACTGAGCAGCAACTGATGAAAGTTTTTACAAAGGTCAAAAATCAACTAGAACATAAGATGGTGGCTATGTTGAATTTTAATAAGATACATCAGTATTTTAAATAATTATACTTTAAATGCTGATTTGTTTTTGTTTTGAGATGGAATCTCTGTTGCTAGGCGGGAGTGCAGTGGCACGATCTCGGCTCACTGCAACCTTCACCTCCCGGGTTCAAGTGATTCTCCTGCCTCAGCCTCTTGAGTAGCTGGGATTACAGGCACACACCACCATGCCCAGCTAATTTTTGTATTTTTAGTAGAGACGGGGTTTCACCATGTTGGCCAGGGTGGTCTTGATCTCCTGGCCTTGTGATCCGCCCGCCTCGGCCTCCCAAAGTGCTAAGGCATGACCCACCGCGCCCAGTCTAAATGCTGATTTTTATAAGTTTATAGCATTTATACTTCTGGGGTTTTTTGTTTGTTTTTTGAGACAGGGTCTCAATCTGTCACCCAGACTGGAGTGCAGTGGCACAATCAGGGCTCACTGCAGCCTCGACCTCCTGGGCTCAAGCAGTCCTCCCATCTCAGCCCCCTGAGAAGCTAGGACTACAGGCTTATGCCACCGTGCCTGGCTAATATTGTTTTATTTTTAGTAGAGATGGGGTTTTGCCATATTGCCCAGGCTGGTCTCAAACTCCTGGACTCAAGCGATCTGCCTACCTCTGCCTCCCAACATGGTGGGATTACAGGCATGAGCCACTGCACCTGCCTTCTTCTGAGGTTATTAAAACTTAATTTGTACTAAGACTTCGAAGACACTTGATATAAATCTTGTCATATCAGCCCCCTGCTTAAGGTGCTTTGGTTGTGTCTCCATTTTCTTCATATGTAAAGGCCATACTACTTAACATAGCATACAAGCAAGACCCATCATGATCCAACTCTGGCTTACCTCTATGCTATAGATGTTTCCTTAATGATCCCACCCATGCCTATAGGCTCAGCTCATATTTCTGTGCTGATCGCTCTTAAGGTCGTTATCTTCAGCCCCAACTTCCCCATTGAGCTACAAACCTGAATCCTTGCTGCCTAGTGGACCTCACTTCAGGCATCACAAACTCAGCCCCATGCAGTGAGTCGGGGAGGAACTGGATTTGGAGCCAGAAGAACTGGTTCTAATATCTACTTCCCTGTGTAGAGTTGGGATTTGGGATTATATGAGTTAATATACACCAAAGAACTTTGTATTACTATAATAATAGTTTGCAAACATTGATTATTTTCTCAAAACTTTTTTCCTTTGTCTGTTACCACTTAGTTAATGACATTCAACCTTCACTAGGCTATAGGATCAGACTGATAGGATTCGTGTCTAACATGGATTACCAGTGAGTGATGACTGGCAAGTCAACCACTCTGTGCCTCATTTTCCTCATCTGTAAACGGAGGATAATAATACAATACTCCTCATAAGTTGTTAGGAAAATTACCCGAGTTAATACATGTAAAGCACTTAGTAACCGTTTCTAGCATGCAGTAAGCACTGAATCATTGTGAACTCATTAGGTCAGGATCCGAACCTATGTGTCATACCATGTAGTAATGTAGTTTACTGTGATGGTTCTGCCTCACTTAGGTGATTGTGATTTTCTAAAGGGCAGAGACCATGTCTAATGCATCTTTGTGTTCCTAGTGCCTCATTATTTGATACACAGTAGGTTTCAGTAAATGTTTATTAAACTGGTGGTAGGGTTATGGAAAGTAAATATACGTAGAATTTTTTATTCAATTTTTCTTACTTTGCTCTTTACAGGAAAAAGGTCACTGGTCAGAACAGCAAGAAGAAAGTAGCTCTTGAAGACAAAAGTTAAAAACAGACTTTAAAAATACTGTCCCAGAAATGTAATTTTATGATCCCAGCATGAATGTTATTTTCATGGAATACTTGAAGTCTTACAGTCACCTGTACCAAACATTTGAAATCAACTACAAGTACATGGGACTGGTGATAAATGATCCTAAACTATCAAGTCAGTTTCAATTTGTAGGTGCCTTTTTTTTTTCCTGTAGAGATGAGGGTCTTGCCATGTTGTCCAGGCTGGTCTTGAACTCCTGACCTCACACAATCCTCCTGCCTTAGCCTCCTGAGTAACTGAGATTACAGGCACAAGCTGCTGCACCCAGCTCTGTAGGTGACTTTTAAATGATTATACAATGGAAATAACATTCATTGACATTTCTGTGGTTTGAATCCAGAGAGATACTTCTTATAGAAAAACAAATGTTTATGCTAAAAATAACACCAAAATGTGGTGAACTCTTAAGGACTTTTCCCTTCAAGTGTGAAGGAAGGTGTGATGAATGCTGTGGAGAGGCATCTGGAACAGAAATTCAAAATAAAGCCTTGACATTAAATACCCCTTCCACTGCTCACTTTGTGGATGGTAGCATGAGCTGTCTACCAAGAAGAAACCTGCTGCTCTCTTAATTTTAATATTTCCTAATTTGTTGATGGCCTTTTGTGTTGTGAACCACAACAAAGAGAGGCCTCTTTTGTGGCTGGTTATTCCAGTTCCCTGGGATTTTAAATTCTTTGGTCTATTAAGTATCCTTGTATTGGATACGTAATACCTTAGTGCTGTCATAATGTTGTACAAGATCATGATCAGCTTCTCCCTTTCTTCATTTTCTGTGATTTAACCATGTTCTTTCCTGTCTCTTTCCATTTAAGATATTTTATTTGAATACTGATAAACATTTTATCCTGATAAGGAAGAATGTTCTTGTTACTTGATATACCTCTGTCTTCATTCTCTTACAGCTTATCTTTCCTTAGGTTGATGGTGCCTCATTTAATAAGTAGATCTCTACTTAAGCTAAAGGATTATGATCATATGGTGTTGGAGACTATTAGCTATTAGATTTTTCTCAAAATATGAGTTTTGTACAATGGAATGAAAAAGTGACTTCATATACGTAAGACTGGTGCCTAAGAATGACTTGAATGTTATCAGTACTACCACAGAACTATAATATACATTGCCTTTTCTCAGCAGCATTTGAATTCAACTTATTTATTTCCTCTATTTGTAGCTTTTTGTTCTAGAGTCAGAACAGGTGGACTTTGCTTTGAATATTTTAGATGGGACAAAAATTGTTCATCTTCGGAATTTATTTAAAGAAAGATCTACTGGTACAGGGTGTAAAAATACTTACAAGAATATGATTTTTTTGTTTGTTCATGCAAACAGATCCTTTACCCAATATATATTCTGGAGGTAGGTATACTGGTGCAACCCATTTGCCAGCTGTGTGACTTTGAGTAAGTTCTTAATTTCTCAGAGTTTCAGTGTTCTCATCTATAAAATTATGTCTCCAATTGTGAGTACCTAGCACTGTACCTGATACATAGTAAACTCACAATAAATATTTCTTAAACATAGATTTTGTTAGGAATACAGGCTTGATAACACAGTCCTTACCCTTACAATGTAATGTTAGAGATAAAGGAGCAAATAGAGTCACGCATCACTTAATGACAGAGATATGTTCTGAGAAATGCATCGTTAGGTGATATTGTCATTGTGTAAACATCATGTTGTTTACTTCCACAAACCTAGATGGTATAGCCTACCAGTACACCTAGGCTATATGGTATAGTCTGTTGCTCCTAGGCTACAAACCCGTATAGCATGTTACTGTCCTGCATGCTATAGACAGTTGGAACATGTAGACTTGTATAAACACTGCACACTTAACCTATACTAAATTTATTGAAAATATTTTTCTTGGCCAGGCGTAGTGGCTCATGCCTGTAATCCTAACACTTCGGGAGGCCTAGGCGGGCAGGTTGTCTGAGCTCAGGAGTTTAGAGACCAGCCCGGGCAACATGGCAAAACCCCATCTCTACTAAAAAAAATACCAAAAAAAGTTAGCCGGGTGTGGTGGCATAGTCCCGGCTACTCAGGAGTCTGAGGCAGGAGAATAGCTTGAACCTGTGAGGCGGAGGTTGCAGTAAGCCGAGATCGCGCTACTGCACTCCAGCCTGGGCGACAGGGCAAGACTGTCTTGAAAATAAACACACACACACACATTATATATATTATGTATTATATATATTAGATATATATTTTTTCTTCAATAAATTAACCTTAGCTTACTGTAACTTTTACTTTATGAGTTTTTTTGTTTTGTTTTGTTTTTTTTTTTTGAGAAACAGGGTCTGTTACCTAATTTGGAGTTTAGTGGCACAATCATGGCCCACTGCAGCCTTGACCTCTTAGACTCAAGTGATCCTCAAACCTCAGCCTCCCGAGTAGCTGGTACTATAGGTGCGGGCCACCAACACTCAGCTAATTTTTAAATTTTGTAGAGACGAGGTCTTGCTTGTTGTCCAGTTGGGTTTTTTAGACTTTTTTTTTTTTTTTTTTTTGGAGATGGAGTCTTGCTCTGTTGCCCAGGCTGGAGTGCAGTGGCATGATCTCGGCTCACTGCAACCTCTGACTCCTGGGTTCAAGTGATTCTCCTGCCTCAGCCTCCCGAGTTGCTGGGACTACAGGCATGCGCCACCACACCCAGCTAATTTTTGTATTTTTAGTGACAGGGTTTCACCATGTTGGCCAGGCTGGTCTCAAACTCCTGACCTGGAGTGAGCCACTATATCTGGCCTTTATAAACTTTTTTGATTCTTGTCATAACACTTAGCCTAAAATGCAAATGTACAGCTGTAGAAAAATACTTTATTTCTTTATATCCTTATTCTAGAAGCTTTTTTTCTATTAATTTTTGTTTGTTTGTTTTGTTTTACTATTTACTTCTAAAACTTTTTTGTTAAAAACCATGGCACAAACACACACATTATGCTAGGCATACAAAAGGTCAGGATCATCAGTCTCACTGTCTTCCACCCCCACTTCTCATCCCACCATTGTATCTGCTGTCTGTGGCTGACCAAAACATCATCATGTAGCACATGACTAGTGTGGCAAGTGCTCTGTTAGATGTAAGGCCATGATGCTAAAGCATCACAAGAGGGCATCTAACCCAGATTGGGGATGTCATGGAAGGCCGACATCCTGAGTTGAATCCTGCAAATGTAAAAACCAATAGGCAAAGAAGAGGAACAAAAAGGATTCCAGGACAAACTGAGGTCACATCTATGATCCTTGACTTTATTGTGTCTGTTTAAAGTATCTACAGTAACCTGTATCAACTTAGTCAGTGTATTAATACTAAATTTAGCTCCTTCAAAGCAGTTGGAACTATGTGCTACATAAATTTCAGCTTCACACAAGGAAGGGAAGGAGTGAAATTAGTGAACAGGCAGTTACAGCAAAAGAAAAAACATAAAAATTGAATAGCTGGCTCTGGTGAAATGAGCAAGGACTTTAGAGTCAAACTGGCCTGGATTTGAATCCTGATCCTCATTGCTTGTAGCTGTATGATCTGGACAAATGACAGTAGCTGTTTCTAACCTTGATTTTCTCATCTGTAAGATGCCAATTGTAACTCCTAAGGATACTGAGGATTTTTTAAAATGCGTGTACAGTTCCTGACCAGTGGTTTGTGCCTAATAACTTATTACAAATTATTACCCAGTAAAAACCTTGAGACAAGAGTGAAAACGTAAAGCTAATTAATCCATTACTTGTTAGCAAGCAAACTACGTGCTTGAGAAAATTACTCAACTTTCATGTTTTACTTCCAGACAGTAGTTTGATTAAAAGAAAAAAAAAAATCACAGCCCAGGCATGTGGCTCACACCCTGGCACTTGGAGGCCGAGGTGGGAGCATAGCTTGAGCCTAGCAGTTTGAAACTAGCCTGGGCAACATAGATCCTATCTCTACAAAAAAAAAAAAAAAAAAAAAAAAATTGGCCCGGTGTGGTGGTGCATGCCTGCGGTCCCAGCTACTCAGGAGGCTGAGGCGAGAGGATCGCTTGAGCCAGGGAGGCTGAGGCTGCTGTGAGCCATGATCATGCCACTGCACTCCAGCCTGGACAACAGAGCAAGACCCTGTCTCAAAAAAAAAAAAAAATCAGTAAAAAATATGCCGAAATAGCTTCAGAGTAATTATGAATTGCCTTCCAAAAACCACTGTTTTGCACTTGCCTGCAAGAATAGGAAAAACAAAAGGACTGTAAGGTGGCAGGATGGCAGAACCAAACAAGAGTAGTACACCTTGGAGTTTTTTCGAAATATGGGTTGGGTTTTTGGGCTCTTGGTTGATTTAAAATAAAATTTAAATGCCTTCAGCGTCTGTGATAGGTGCCAACATGAAGCTACCGAGTTCCAGAGAAAGAGGGGAGAGCTGATCACTCATCAGTGCTGCGAGACTATCAAAGGGCCCTTCAGGACCTATCTGTTCTTTGTGTGTAAAGAGTAACAATAAAAGAACACCAGTGTACCCACCGTATAGTTTAAAAATCAGGACTCAGCCTACTCTTTCCACTAACCGCGATCATGGTTTTCAAACGGAGGACCAACGGCGCTTTGCCACTGGGCCGCCAGCTGGGCCCTGCAGAGGGCCTACCAGACAATGAATCAGCTCCCTTGGAGAGGCGCCCGCGACCGCCCCACCAGCCCGAGAGCTAGAATTGAATCTGGGGGACCCCTGCGGCGCCGGGTCACGTGCCGTGGGCGCGCCACGCCTCCCCGAGGGCCGGGGGAGTCACGTGGGCGCGAGGCCCCGCCCCATCGCCCGGTCCGCGGCGAGGTGGGGCCTGGTGTTTGACCCGGAAGTGGCTGTGTTCAGCTGACAGCTGCTGATAAGGTGGCGGCGGCGAAGGCAGCGGCAGGTCGGGAGCAAGATGGCGCTGCGGCCAGGAGCTGGTTCTGGTGGCGGCGGGGCCGCGGGAGCTGGCGCGGGGTCCGCCGGGGGAGGCGGGTAGGTGTGAAGAGCCGGGCGGGAGCCCGCTGGCCTCCGCGGGGGCGGCGAGGGGCGCTTGGCAGTTATGGCAGTTTTCTCCAGCCCTGATCCTTTTCCTTGGAACTGGGCTGCGGGAGGAGGGTCATCCCCCAGGGACCCAGGCCGAAAGGGGCGTGTGGAGCCCAGGTGCTGGACGCTGGTGTTCCGGGATCAGTTGGGGGCGCCGGCCGCCTGGAATCGAGCGGGGAGCGAGCGCGCGCCCAGTGTGGGAGGGGAGAGAAGATGAGGGTCCTCTTGGGGTGGGGGGGGGCGGGGCAAATCAGGAACCGCGACTCCGCTCCTAGTCCTAGCTGCCTCCGAAGCGACCAGGGTCTTCCCTTTCCTTGGGCTTTCTAGACTTAACCGGATATGTTGGAGGGAGGGCTTTAAAAATCTGTTCACAAAGCTGGAGGACTGTTTCCAAGGGGGGTGTGTGTGTGGACTATTTGTCTCTTCCCCTTTTAGAGTGTCCTGTCCTCTTTATTTCCTTAACCCGCGACAAACAGCAGGAACATCTAAAGACCTCTGAATTAGTAATGGTCTTGAGATAGAGTTCTTGTCTTGTACACTAACTCTTAAGACTTGTCTGTCTTCTTTTTAAAAAGGCATTTAAAAACAAAGAAAGTGCACTGTTAAACAGCAGTTGCGCATTTATTAGAACAAAGCTTCCAGACTCAGCCCTTAAACAAATCTGCCCTCTGCCACATTTCAGCCAAGAACTGCCGTGGTTCTTATACCCAGAATGGTAAGGGAGATGTACGTTTTACAAGCTGACAGATTCGTTATCATTTAAGGAAATATTTTATTCTAGGAAGTTTTCACTCCACTTCTATAATGACCTAGTCTGATTTTGTTTTACTAACCAACACACAACAGCACACACATTTGGAGGTAAAAGTAGCTTTGCATCTTCAGTATCCTAAATTGTCTTTGGAAAACGAAGTGTTAGGTTTTTTTTTTATATGCAGTGTTTCAATTTCGGAGTCGTGAACACTACAAAAGTGTAAGGACCTTAAAGTTATCACCTCTTGCAGGTGCTTGTCAGGAAACGAGCAGTGGCTGTTCAATAAACCACCTGTGTGTAACCCCATTTTTCATTTCCTCTGCACATCTTTAACTTTAGATTTTTAAACTTTTTGCTTTCTCTTTTGTTCTCTCCGTTGTTTCATTAGAGGGTTTTTTAAAAAATAAATACTTCGTGTAAGCCAGTTTCTGGCTGGAGAAGAAACATATGTAATAATTCCCTTCTATTTGTTTTTTCTTTTTCTTTTGTCTTGTTTGTTTTTGTTTTTTTTTTTTTTTTTGAGAGGAAGTCTTGCTCTGTTGCCCAGGCCAGAGTGCGGCGGCGTGATCTCGACCCGCTGCAACCTCTGCCTCCTGGGTCCAAGCGATTCTCTTGCCTCAGCCTCGGAGCAGCTGGGATTACAGGTGCGCGCCACCATGCCCGGCTAATTTTGTTGATTGATCGATTGAGACAGAGTCTCGTTCTGTCACCCAGGCTAGAGTGCAGTGGCACGATGTCGGCTCACTGCAACCTCGACCTCCCGGGTTCAAGCGATTCTTCTGCCTCAGCCTCCCAAGTAGCTGGGATTACAGGCGTGCGCCACCACGCCCAGCTAATTTCTGTATTTTTAGTAGAGACGGGGTTTCACCATGTTAGCCAGGCTGGTCTCAAACTCCTGGCCTCAAGTGATCCGCCCACCTTGGCCTCCCAAAGTTCTAGAATTACAGGCTTGAGTCACCACGCCCGGCATCCTCTATTTATTTCCTATATGTGATTACAGTTTCTAAAATGTCCCTGGATGGTATTAATTTGATCAAGTATATGATTAATCATGGCACCAAGTTCTGGGAAAATGTAAACTTAGAAGAATTGATATCTAGGCCCAAATTTTTATTTACTTAAAAAATGTTTTTGGATGGGGAGGACCTCAGGTTCAGAAATTCAAGTGCATTATTCCCTTTAGTTTGCAGTATTTGAGTATCATTGGTCCATGGACACAAATTTTTAAAATAAATATGGGTTGAATTTTGATAGAAATTAGAATGATTTTAAAATTTCCCCCCTTTGTAAATGTAGCAACATCTGCATTCTAAAACTGTAAACGATATACAGGAGAGAAAGAAGTGGTTAAAATGATTCTTACCTTGAAAAATGTATGGTACATATGTTACATATATTGGCAACTTTCTGAGGCTGAGAAGCTGTATCCTCAATAGAAAAAGGAATATTATTTTTTTTAGAGAGTAATGGTGTAAAGGCTGAAGTTATTTTATTTCCTTTTTAATTTTCTTTTTGCCACCCACCCTCCCTGAAATTATTTTATACGGAAACTTAACATTATGGCAACCTAAGTATATTTGAAGAAAAAAAACAGGCAACTTCTCTACACCTTTAATGGAGAAAATCCATGAACTATAACTGACTGTATTGTTTAGATACTTCTCTATATTCTAAGAGGCTAAGCAAAACACAATAACGTTTTCCAAATTTAATATTACCCTACTTTTGATTGGTGTCCTGGATGAGCTACTTTAGAATAAATGGTAGAGTTGTATAAAGGGCAAAATTTGCCCAAGAGATGAGAAGTATAAATTTTTTTTTTCTTTAATCAAGGCAGAAAAAAAAAAGAGTTGAAAGATCTGGATTAGTCTGTAGTCATTGAATGCTTACATGGGTAAGGTACTGTTCTTGATGCTGTAATGAATTAAAAAGACATCAAAACATGGTCCCCATCCTTGGAGAATGTACAAAATAACTGTGGTACAAAGTAAAGTGGAACAAAGAGGTCACGTTCTTCTGGGATGTTATCATTTGTGAACTTGTCTATTTTTTCCTGATCTTTTACAAGCTTTTAGAGGGCTTCCTCATCTTTTCTTCTTTCACTGCTTCTAGCACATTTTTGCACATAAAAAACATTCTGTAAATATTTGTGGATTTCAGCTATATCAAAGGCAAAGAAGTGGTATTTCATTTGGCCCACAGAGTTAGAGGAAGAGGAAGCGGTCAAGAGATCGTCACAGAGATGGGAAGGCCTAGTCAACACTAAGGAAACGATGTACCTGCAGTGCCAGATGACTGTGGCTCTGAGTGGCAGAGAAGAGTTTTGTGAGATAAAACTGCAAAGTAGAGTTGTGCCCAAACTAGAGAGGGCCTTGAGTTTAAACTAAGGAAATTCAGTTTCAGGGAAATCATTTCATAGTTTTAACTTCAGGGGTGCGTCTTGCTAAAGGACCATTTAATTATTGCGTAATGGTCCATCATTTAGAAAGATGTCTCTCACTTGTGCTGCATCAGATGAATTAGAAACCAGAGTCTGGAGGTGGGGAGATCCATTAGGAAGTCTTTATGTAGGAGTTTAGGCCTAAGAAGTGAAGCCTAGTGTCAAATCTAGGTTAGTAGCAAAGGTAACTGAAAAGGAGGGACGGATGAGATAGGTAAGTGACAGAGCTCTGCTTTCATACCGAGATGTCAGTAATATAAGAATTAGTGGTTTTACCTTTGAAATTAAATTGTTGGTCACCTTCCTGCCCAGTTTTTTGCCAAGCTTTTACTGTCTTATTAATGCCTTAACTGCTTATCTAACCAATCTTTAAGCATGTTGTTATTAGTTGTCTAAACATTTCAGAGAAAAATATGAATTTTTCATAGGTCACTAAGCAGTTCGATTTGCTAAATTCTTACTAGAGAAAGTCATGTTTGACAGTATTTTGTTTTTATTTCATTTTCAAAGTAACCTTTATACATCTGTTTATGTATTCATGTCTATGTGATTGTCTTAGCTGAGACTTTAGCAGCCTTGATTCTACGTCCTCATTTGACAGAGGGGAAACCAGACAGGGGGTAAAGGAGATTGCACAGAGCTTCACAGTTACTTTATGGCAAAGCTGGAAGAAAGAAAATATACACGAGTTTCCAATTCTTTTGAGCCTCTAGGCCATATGACTAATTTAAATGTTTAAGCCTGATTTTTAAAAATCTTGACAGCTTGATTACTTAAATGTATTCATTGCTCCTGAATGTATCAATTTTAGCATATGAGTAATGTCTTTAAAAACTGAATACAGGCATACCTCATTGCAGTTAGCAGATACAGTGTTTTTTATAAATTGAAGGTTTGTGGCAACTCTGCATTGAGCAAGTTTATCCGCGCAATTTTTCCACAGCCTGTGTTCACTTCATGTCTCTGTCACATTTTGGTAATTCTCACAATATTTCAAACTCTTTCATTATTATTATTTGTTATGGTGATCTGTGATCAGTGATCTTTGATGTTACTAGTGTAATTGTTTTGGAGCACCACAAACCCAGCTCGTATAAGACAGCAAACGTAATTGATAAATGTTTTGTGCAGTCTGACTGCTCTACCTACCAGCTGTTCCCCGGTCTTCCTCTCCAAGGGCCTCCATATTCCCTGAGACATAACAGTATTGAAATTAGGCTGATTAACCCTACAGTGGCCTCTAAGTGTTCAAGTGAAAGGAAGAGTCGCCCATCTCTCCCTTTAAATCCGAAGCTAGAAATGATAAAGCTTAGTCATTAAGTGTTGAAAGCTGAGGTAGGTCAAAAGCGAGGCCTCTTACACCAGTTAACTAAGTTGTGAATGCAGAGGAAAAGTTCTTGAAGGAAATTAAAAGTCCTGTTCCAGGAAACACAAATGTTAAGAAAGTAAAACAGCTTTATTGCTGATATTGAAAAAGGGTGAGTGGTCTGGATAGAAGATTAAACCACCCTTAACATTCCCTTAAGCCAAAGCCTAATTTGAAGCAAGATCCTTAGTCTCTTCAATTCTGTAAAGGCTGAAGGCTGAGAAATAGGTGAGGAAGCTGCAGAAGAAAAGTTGGAAGCTAACAGGTCAGTTTATGAGGTTTAAGCAAAGAAGCTATCTCCATAACAAAAAAGTACAAGGTGAAGCAGCAAGTGCTGATGTAGAAGCTTTAGCAAGTTATTCAGAAGAGCTAAGATCATTGATGAAGGTGGCTACGCTAAACAATAGATTTTCTTTTTTTTTTTTTTTATAGACAGAGTCTCACTCTGTCACCCAGGCTGGAGTGCAGTGGCGTGATCTCGCCTCAATGTAACCTTCGCCTCCCGGGTTCAAGTGGTTCTTCTGCCTCAGCCTCCCCAGTAGCTGAGATTACAGGCACGCACCACCACGCCAGGCTAATTTTATATTTTTAGTAGAAATAGGGTTTCACCATGTTGGCCAGGCTGGTCACATACTCCTGACCTCAGGTAATCCACCCACCTCGGCCTCCCAAAGTGCTGGAATTACAGGCATGAGCCACCATACCTGGCCAGATTTTCAATGCAGGTGAAGATGCCATCTAAGACTTTCCTAGCTAGAGAGGAGAAGTCAATGTCTGGCACCAAAGGACAGGCTGACTGTCTTGTTAGGGCCTAATGCAGCAGGTAACTTTAAATTAAACCAATACTCACTGACCACTATGAAAATGTCAGGGCTTTTCAAAAGTATGCTAAATCTACTCTGCCTATAGTCCATAAATTGAACCACAAAGCCTGGGTGACAGCACATCTGTTTACAGCATGGTTTACTGAGTATTTTAAGCCCATTGTTGAGACCTACTTCTCAGAAAAAAGTTTCTTTTGAAAACGTTACTGCTTCTTGACAATGTGCCTGGTCACCCAAGAGCTCTGATGGCAATGCATGAGAAGGTTAATGTTCTCATGTCTGCTAAAGCGGCATCCATTCTCCATGAATCAAGGAGTAATTTCTTCTTTCATCTCTTATTATTTGAGAAATTCATTGTAAGGCTATATCTAAGGCTATAACGCCCATAGATAGTGATTCTTTTGATGGAACTGGACACAGTAAATTGAAAACTTTCTGGAAAAGAATCACCATTATAATTTTTATGTTATTTATTGTTGTTGTTGTTGTTATTATTATTATTTTGGAGAGATGAGGTCTCACTATGTTGCCCAGGCTGGTCTCAAACTCATGGGCTCAAGCAATCCTCCCACTTTGGCCCCCCAAAGTGCTGGGATTATAGGTGTGAGCCACCAGACCCAGCCATTCACTAGATTCTCTAAAGAGTATCTAGAAACCTCCTTTTCAGATCCTTGACTCCCGGATTAAGAGCCTTTCTCACTCAGAAGTCTTCCTTGATTTGTCCCTTTTTCTTTCCAGGCTCAGAGAAAGAAGTCCCACTTCCTTTTCAAAGCAGATCCCTTTTGCTACTTTGTTTTGTTTTGTTTTGTTTTGAGACAGAGTCTCCTTCTGTCATTCTGTCTGCTCAGGCTGGAGTGCAGTGGGGCAATCTCAGCTCACTGCAACCTCCGCCTCCTGGGTTCAAGCAATGCTCATGTCTCAGCCTACTGGATAGCTGGGATTACAGGCACATGCCACCACGCCTGGCTAATTTTTGTATTTTTAGTAAAGATGGGGTTTTGTCATGTTGACCAGGCTGGTCTTGAACTCCTGGCCTCAAGTGATCCGCCTGCCTTGGCCTCCCAAAGTGCTGGGATTACAGGCATGCACCACCTCATCTGGCCCCCTTTTGCTCCTTCGCGTGTTAATCCCATTTCCTTAAAAACCTTATAAATCACTAGGTATGTATTTTGTCTCTTAAATTTTTTCTCCCTAGGGTCTCTTCCCCTTTCTTTGTTGAAACTAACTCACTTAACAATCACCATTTTTGAAAGCAGTGATTTATTTTTTAATCTTCATTCTCACCGCTATTCTACAGCATTAGACACTGGTAACTACTTCCTTGTTGAAATGTGGTCCTTCTTCAGTTATAACTCTCAGTTATAAGCACTCCCTTGGTTTTCAATGACCATTTCCTACTCAGTTTTCACTGCAAGAATTCTCCAAGTTTGTCCTTAGTTGTTTTGTTACTGGATATATGCCCTTGGCTATTTCATCTACAACCAGAGCTTAATTTTTTTTTTTTTTTGAAACGGAGTTTCACTCTTGTTGCCCAGGCTGAAGTGCAATGGCGCGATCTTGGCTCACTGCAACCTCCGCCTCCTGGGTTCAAGTGATTCTCCTGCCTCACAGCCTCCTGAGTAGCTGGAATTGCAGGCATGCACCACCATGCCCAGCTAATTTTGTATTTTTAGTAGAGATGGGGTTTCTCCATGTTGGTCAGGCTGGTCTGGAACTCCCAACCTCAGGTGATCCACCTACCTTGGCCTCCCAAAGTGCTGGGATTACAGACGTGAGCCACTGCGCCTGGCCAGAGCTTAACTTTTTAACCTTTATTTATTTATTTATTTGAGACGGAATCTCACTCTGTCGCCCAGGCTTAACCTTTATTCAAAAGAGCCTAGGCCAAGTGCCGTAGCTCATGTCTGTAACCCCAGCACTTTGGGAGGCCAAGGCAGGCAGATCATGAGGCCAGGAGTTCAAGACCAGCCTGGTCATCATGGTGAAACCCTGTCTCTACTGAAAATACAATAATTAGCCAGGTTTGGTAGTGCTCGCCTGTAGTCCCAGCTACATAGGAGGCTGAGGCAGTAGAATCACTTGAGCCTGGCAGGCGGAGGTTGCAGTGAGCTGAGATCATGCCATCACACTCCAACCTGGACGACAAGAGCAAACTCCGTCTCAAAAAAATAAAATAAAAATAAAGTTGTCAGCTTAAAAAAAACCTTAGAAGAGAGCTTTCTTACGCTCTAAAATGAGGACTTATTGTTTAATGGGTACAGAGTTTCTGTTTGGGATGATGGAAAGGTTCTGGAAATGGATAGTGGTAATGGTTGACAATATTGTGAATGTCCTTAATTATGCCATGGAATTATACACTTAAAAATGGTTAAAAATGATAGAATTTTATGTTATGTATATGTTACCACAATAACAATAAAACCTCTGACAACTTCATATAATATTCAAAATAAAATGAAACATTTTAAAGGCCCTTGACCAGGTGCGGTGGCTCACACCTGTAATCCCAGCACTTTGGGAGGCCGAGGCGGGTGGATCACCTGAGGTCAGGAGTTTGAGACCAGCCTGGCCAACATGGTGAAACCCTGCCTCTACTAAAAATACAAAAAATTAGCCAGTCGTGGTGGCGGGTGCCTGTAATCCCAGCTACTCAGGAGGCTGAGGCAGGAGAATTGCTTGAACACAGGAGGTGGAGGCTGCAGTGAGCCAAGATCGCGCCATTGCACTCAAGCCTGGGCAACAAGAGCGAAACTCCATCTCACAAAAATAAATAAATAAATAAAAATAAAAATAAAGGCCCTGTACAATCTGCTTGCTTTTAAATCATATAGTTAACATTTAACCTACATTCATTTCTCCAAACATCCCTGCATCTCTGCCTCAGAGCTTTTGCTCAAAATATATAGTGTGCTTCTATTTTCCTTCAAGATTCAGCTCCAGAGCTACTTCCATAAAACTTCTCAAGATATAGCCCATTAAAATTCATCTTTTTCTTCTCATCTCTATTAATAATTTGGACCTCGCTTATAGCAGTTAGCACATTTACCCTGTGGTATAGTTATTTGCCTGCATATGTGTATTTTTGATTATAAGATTCCATCATTTCATGTAGTTGACACTCAATAGATGTTGACTGAATTGAATCTAAACTCTCTCATTTTATAGATGGGGAAACTGGAATCCAGAGAGGACACGAAGTGACAGAGCCAGGACTAATTTCAGGGTCTTCTGTCTTTTGTTTCAACAAGTTTCCGTCTGCAGTAGCATGCTGACATGCATCCTATGGATGCTCAGTGTACTGATGTTGGGCAATTCAGTATTGTGGTGCAGAACAAACACCAGGTCCCATCTACAAGTCTTTTATCCATATAAAAAAGTACACGTGTTATTTGAAATCTTTGTACATACGAAGATTATAATGTATTTTTATTCTGTTTTCAGCTTCATGTTTCCTGTTGCAGGTGGGATAAGACCCCCTCAAGGTATGTGAGAGCTTAAGTTTTGAACTTTTATTTTTCACTCTTGTGTTTCTGAATCTGGGAATTAAATAAGTAAATAGAAAATAAGTTCTGTTGCTGCTGAATAGAGTAAAATTTTCTGCACTCTTAAACCTGTATGTCCTATATGACAGCTACTCTTAAATTTTCTCAAAAATTATATAATTTTGGGAGTAATAAGGATCACTCCTCGTTTCTCCCAAACTTACATAGACATTATGTTCATAGATTGTTTAACCTCAGAGGTGAAAGACTTTTAGGACAAGAATGTTAAAGAACAGGTGATAAAAATGAAACGAGCTGTAATTCACTTAATGATGTCTTTCTCCTTCTATCTAGTCTTCTGCTAGATTGTTAGTGCCATGTCTGTCTAATGCTCATCTAGCATTATTTGTAGCACCCAGCATGTTGATTCAGCACAATAGGTTATCTGTAGATGTTTGTTGAATGAATAAACAAACATCTTTAGTTGTTTTACACTGCTATTTTTTATCTATATGATAGTATCTTATTATAATCATGTTTTATAAATATATAATTTTGAAATTAAAAGAGATCACATAGTCTGATTCAGCTTAAGTATTTAAGTCTCAGGATTTTGTTTGGTTTTTTATTTTTATTTTTGAGATGGAGTCTCTTGCTCTGTCGCCCAGGCTGGAGTATAAGTGGCACAGTCATAGCTTACTGTAGCCTCAGCCACCTAGGCTCAAGCATTCCTCCCACCTCAGCTTCCCAGGTAGCTGGGACCACAGGTGCATACCACCACGCCTGGCTAATTTTTAAATATTCTGTAGAGACAGGGTCTCCCTATGTTGCCCAGGCTGGTATCAAATTCCTCGGCTTAAGCGATTCTCCTGCCTTGGCCTCCCAAAGCACTGGGATTACAGGCATGAGCCACCACATCCGGCCAAGTCTCAGTTCTATTCCTAGAAATTTCTCTAAGTATACCTTTTCTCTCTTGGTCTCAGACTAGGACCCACCAATATCAATTCTAGCTTTATCTTCAAGGAAATAGTAGTGAAGGAATATAATTTTGACCCATGCTGCCATGCAACTGGGACACAACAGTGAAGAAGGAATAGATCTGCCTTCATCTGGCTTCTTTCCGCTCATTTCTTTCACTCTGACAGTCTTCCCTCTCCCCTCACACCAAGCTGCTTCTGAAAACTGGCTCTTCTTAAAAAGCCAGCGTTGATTGGTTGTCATAGATTTGCTAAAGAAACAGAGACTCCTAGGTCAGCAGTAGAGATAAAAGATAAAGAGCAGCTCAGTAGCAGGTGGTCAGTGGCTCATCCTGACTTTGTCTTCATTTATAATCAGTGATGGTGGTTGGGTTTCAGGTAAGTTTTTCCAAGGCTCAGTTGTATTCTTTTCATCGTGTTCACATTTATGCATTATTTAAGCTATCTGTAATTAGATGTGTCCCAGATTGAGATCAAATGGTTTGAGATCTTTTGTTCTTTAGGAAGGTATTACAGAGTTATGTGTCCATTATCATGTTTGTTATTTTGCATTTCTATACACTTTCAAGTAAAAATATGCATATGGAGCAAAGGAACTGGACAAGAAGAGACCCCAAAGTGTTGCCTGATATTTTTTCTTAGGGAATTTGGAATTGGTTTGGAGATTTTTTTTTAACAGTTGTTAGAATGGACTTTTTGATCATTTGAAGGCTTTAAATTATGCATGGATCATTTCTGAAAACATATGTAAGAAACCGACAGCAAGGTCATGGCCACAAGATCATGAGTACTTGAACCGGAGACAGAGGAGAGAAAGAGACCTATTTTTTACTGTGTACACTTTTGTGCCTTGAAATATTATGCCAGATATCTGAGTTACCCATTCAGAAATAAAATAAAATCAGTTAAAATCAATAAAACTTTAAGTCCAAAGAAATAAGACGGAAAACATCTTACTGTGGCTATTTTCAATCTGTGTATTCTAATTCTCCCTGACACCTCGTGATCTTTGTACTTGGTGTTCTTTGGTCTGGAATATTTTTCCCAAACATCTGCATGGCTTGGTTCTTTATTTACTTGAGGTTCTTGTTGAAATACTACCCTGTTGGTAAAACTTTTTCTGATTGCCCTATGTAAAATAGCAACCACTCCATTCCCCCTTGCCCTGCTTTATTTTTTGCCCTAGCTCTTATCACCACCTGACATGTACTTATTTTTTTGTTATCTATCTCTCCTAATTACAGTGTAAGTTCCATGAGAGTGAAGACCTGGTTTTGTTCATGGCTATGTCCCTAGAACAGTGCCTAATACGGAGTAGGCTTCAAATACTTGAATAAGTGAATGGCCTACCTCTAATAACTGTTAGCCACAAATGTGGATGTCCATGCTTCTGAAATTAGGCTAGGTTATAAATAACCTGGGAGGTACACAAAAACCATAAGATAAACATGGTATAATTTCCTAGATCTTTAATTTTTCAAACTGACAGTTTGATATAAAGTTCCTTATGGTAGAACCAACATAGATGTAGTTTGAATGCAAAATTAGAATGAAATTTGTGCTCAGACTATGTAGGGATTTTGTTTTATTCACTTCTTGTGTACCAAGCACATAGAACTATGCCTAGCATATAATAAGCATTTAGTATTTATTAAAATCCCAAAGGGATGTATATTCATTCACCTCTGCTCTTGGAAAAGTTTGGGAAACACTAGCCTAAATCATACATTCGTGATAGTTTTCTGCCATTGCACATGCTGATGGCTATTTTGTGGTAACTGTTATATTACCTATTCATGTAAGAAAAAGGAAGAAGAATAACATTTCTTTGAGCATAGTAAGTATTAAACAGTTTTACAAATGATAAACCAAGGCATAGAAAGAAGCAGATTGCCCAAGGTTCCAAAATAGTATGTGTCATTTCTAGTTGGCTCCCAGAGTTCATGCTCCTAACTGTTATTTTGTTAGTTATCTGCTGTTGTGTAACAAATTATCCCAAACTTTAAAAAGTAAACATTTTATTATTTCATAGTGTGTCTCTCGGTCAGGAATCTAGGAGTAGCTCTGCTGGGTGGTTCAGGCTCAAGACCTCTTATGAGATTGCAGTGAAGATGTCAGCCAGGCTTGCAGTCATCTGAAAGTTTCATGGAGATGCTGCCGAGGTGGCTCGCTGAGATAGATGGCAAATTCATGCTGCCTTTTGGCAGAAGACCTCAGTACCTTACCACATGGATTCTCCATAGGTCTTATTGAGTATTTCATGACGTGGCAGTGGCTTGCTCCAGAGCAAGTGATCCAAAAGAACCAGGAGGAAACTACAGTGTCTTTTAAGAACTAGCCTTCAGGCCAGGCACAGTGGCTCACACCTGTAATCCCAGCACTTTGGGAGGCTGAGGCGGGTGTTGAGGTCAGGAGTTCAAGACCACCCTGGCCAAGATGGCGAAACCCCATCTCTACTAAAAAATACAAAAATTAGCTGGGCGTGGTGGCAGGCACCTGTAGTCCCAGCTACTTGGGAGGCTTGAACCCAGGAGGTGGAAGTTGCAGTGAGCTGAGATCATGCCACTGCACTCCAGCCTGGGTGACAGAGTGAGACTCTGTCTCAAAAGAAAAAAAAAATAACTAGCCTTCGAAGTTACATGCTGTCATTTCCACAGTATCCTGTTGGTTATACTGATCAGCCCCATTCAGTATGGAATGGAACAACACACGGGTATGAATACCAGGAGACAGAGGTCATTGGAGGCCATCTTGAAGGCTGAGTACCCCAATTAGGCCATACTGTTTTTTAATATGCATACAAATTCCATAGAAGAGATATTATCTTCATTTTACAGATGAAGTTTTGTAACTTGTTCAAGATCACACAGCTAAGTAAATGATGGAGTTGGAATTCATATTCACATCTGTCTCACTCAGGACCCTGTGCTTTTTCCATTACACTCTGCTTCCTGCCAAGTAACAAGTCCTTTAGGTACTTATGGTTTTAAGAAAATAAACTTTAAAACACATTGACTTTAATAATGTCTTTATATTTTCAGCAGGCCTGATGCCGATGCAGCAACAAGGATTTCCTATGGTCTCTGTCATGCAGCCTAATATGCAAGGCATTATGGGAATGAATTACAGCTCTCAGATGTCCCAAGGACCTATTGCTATGCAGGTACTTACTTCTTTAGTTGGTTTCTTACAAAGTTATTGTTTGTTGTTACGTTTATATATCAAGAGCTACAGGCTAAGAGCTTAATGTTACAATTAGAAATAAGCATAAATAAATGGCTTCCTTCAAACTAAAATGAAGATGTGTTCACCCTCCAAGAGTGAGGGAAAAGGCTAGGTGCAGTGGCTCATGCCTGTAATCCCAGCACTTTGGGAGGCCAAGGCGGGCAGATCACTTGAGGTCAGGAGTTCGAGACCAGCCTGGCCAACATGGTGAATCCCTGTTTCTACTAAAAATACAAAAATTACCTGGGCGTGGTGGCATGTGCCTGTAGTCCCAGCTACTCGGGAGGCTGAGGCAGGACAATCCCTTAAACCCGAGAGGTGGAGGTTGCAGTGAGCCAAGATCATGCCACTGTACTCCAGCCTGGGCAACAAAGTGAGACTCCCGTCTCAAAAAAAAAAAAAAAGGCCAGAGGAAAAAAAGGTTTTTGCTTTTGTACTATTAACAGCTATCTTGAAGGCCATATACTGTATTTCTTTTTTACCTAATACTTTACTTATTTTTGCTTTTTTCAACTTATATTTTAGATTCAGGGGGCACGTTTGTAGGTTTGTTACACTAATATGTTGTGTGATGCTGAGGGTTGGGGTATGATGGAACCCATCACCCAGGTAGTGAGCATAGTACCAACAGGTAGTTTTTCAACCCTTCCCCCACTTTCTCCCGTCTTGTAGTCTCCAATGTCTGTCGAGCCTGTCTTTATGTCCATGTGCACCCAGTGTTTAGCTCCCACTTGTGAGAACATGCAGTATTTGGTTTTTTGTTTCTGCGTTAGTTTACTTATTTACCTAATACTTTAACATTTTCTATTTCTGTGTGTTTTGTTATACAGTATATACTTTTATACAGTAACACATGTATATAACTTATAAATAAGTGATATTAGGACTTCATGACCAGAATTTTAAGTTGAAACCATTGTTGTTTTGAAGTCGATTATGCAAATAAAGCTTCTGTTTTGTGTTTAAAGGGTCAGGAAAACTTCCAGTGTCATTTTTTATCTGTCTCTAGAAGGAAGGGAATACATTGAAATTGTGTAGGTTTTTAATTCATGTTAAGCTAGCTTTCACTAGGGTGTGCTGCAGAAACAGTCCCCAGATCTCAGTGACTTAGAAAAGTTTATTCCTCACTCGTGATACATATCCTTATGGGTTAGTGCTGACTCTGCTCCATGTTTTCTTTATCCTAAGACCCTCAGCCAGGACATCCTAGGCTCTTGGCATAGGAAAAAGAGATGGCCAAACCCTGTGATGTCTTTTAAAGCTAACACTTGGAGGTAGCATTTATTAGTCACTTCTGCTCACCAAAGTAATGTGGCCTTAACATCAATAGGGGAGGAATATACCAGGACGAATGTAAACCACATAGGGATGTGTAGTTCTCTTAGAATAAAGGTAGCAAATGGCTGGGAGCAGTGGCTCACACCTGTAATCCCAGCACTTTGGGAGGCTGAGGTGGGCAGATCATGAGTTCAGGAGATCGAGACCAGCCTGACCAACATGGTGAAACCTCGTCTCTACTAAAAATACAAAAATTAGCCGGGCGTGGTGGTGCATGCCTGTAATCCCAGCTACTCAGGAGGCTGAGCAGGAGAATCGCTTGAACCCAGGAGGCAGAGGTTGCAGTGAGCTGAGATTGCGCCACTGCACTCCCGCCTGGGCGACAGAGTGAGATTCCATCTCAAAAAAAAAAAAAAAAAAAGAAGAAGAAAGGCAGCAAATAACTAAAAACAATCTACCATAGAATACAATGTATTTTAAATTAAGACTTCCTAAGCTTAATACTGAATCTTAATAACAATTGATACAAATTTTAAATCATTAATTTTTATTTTAATATTAAATATTAATTAAAATAATTAATATTGTAATTAATATAATTAAAATTAATATTATTGTAATTAATATAATTAAAATAATTAATATTGTAATTAATATAATTAAAATAATATTCATAAACATTATTTTATGACTTACACAATTATCTGAAAAATGTTTTTAGAGTTTGAAACAACCAAAAACAGTAAGAGTCTCTAATATGCAGAACAATAAGAAAAAAGTAAACTATGAGAGTTGTTAGTACCTTAATAATGTCCCTGAATATCAGAAGCTTGTGTATTAATGATTCTAAGACAAAGCAGCCAAAGTCTTTTTCTTTAACCTTTAATCTTGCTGACAGGCATTATACTGTTTGGAAGCTGCTCACCATTTTTTTTTTTTTTTTTGAGACGGAGTTTTGTTGCCCAGGCTGGAGTGCAATGGCACGATCTCGGCTCACTGCAACCTCCGCCTCCCAGGTTCAAGCGATTCTCCTGCCTCAGCCTCCCAAGTAGCTGGTATTACAGGCATGTGCCACCACGCCCGGCTAATTTTGTATTTTTAGTAGAGATGGGGTTTCGCCATGTTGACCAGGCTGGTTTCAAACCCCTGACCTCAGGTGATCTGCCTGCCTCGGCCTCCCGAAGTGCTGGGATTATAGGCATGAGCCACCACACCTGTCCGCCACTCACCATTTTTTAAGGAGAAAAACATCCAGATTTTATTTCCCCCCACCCCGAAACTCAATAGCCCTAACCAACCAGGGACATACATGAAGCAAACCCATTGTTCCTTTAGTTATCTCTTAAGTCTTTGGAGATAAAAGTGATGATTCAGATAAAAGTCAACATAAAAAAATTTAGTCTTTTTTTTGAGACAGAGTCTGGCTCTGTTGCCCAGGCTGGAGTGCAGTGGTACAATCTCGGCTCACTGCAACTTCTGTCTCCTGGGTTCAAGCGATTCTCCTGCCTCAGCTTCCCAAGCAGCTGGGATTACAGGTGCATGCCACCACATCTGGCTCATTTTTGTATTTTTAGTAGAGACAGCATTTCATAGTGTTGGCCAGGCTGGTCTTGAACTCTTGACCTCAAGTGATCCACCCGCTTTGGCCTCTCAAAGGGCTGGGATTACAGGTGTGAGCCATCGCGCCGGCCAGAAATTTAGTCTTGATTATTATTATATTATTATTGATTATTATAATCTCTCCCTTCCCCAAAACACATAAAAAGAAAACACTCCTCATGATGTACAATACATTTTAAAATTATTATTCTGAAGCATTTCAAACATCTAGGCAAGTTTAGAGCACATGATGGACATGTGTAAACCTGTTGCAAACTGTTGTGTTATTGTAAGAAATAATAGAAATCCTTTGCCCAGTTCCCCTATTGGTAAAACTTGTAGAAATACAGTAACACAACCAGCATATGGACATTGGCACAGCTGAGATACAGAACATTTCCATCTCCCCAAGGATCTCCTCACATTGTCCTTTTGTAGCTGTATTCACTTCCTTCCTGCCCCACCTTACTCCTTTTGCATTCACTAGTGTGTTCCCCATTTCTATAATTTTGTGTTTTCAAAAATGTTATATAAATTGAATCATTAACCTTTTGGGTTTGGCGTTTGTCGCTTAGAATAATCCCTTCAGATTCATCCAAATTGTTGCATGTATCAGTAGTTCATTTTTTTTATAATCGATGAGTAATAGTCCATGGTGTGGATGTATGACAGTTTGTTTAACCTTTTGCTCACTGAAGGACATCAGAGTTGTTTACAATTTTTGGCTATTACAAATAAAGGTTTTTGCGTGAACATATGTCCTCATTTCTTGGGATAAACGCCCAAGAGTGCAATTACTGGGTTGCATGGTATTGCATTTTCAGTTTTTTAAGATGCTGCCAAACTTTTTTCCAGAGTAGCTGTACTATTTTACATTCCCACCGGCAATGTATCAGAGGTTCAATTATACTGCATCCTTACCTGCATTTAGTGTCATTATTTTTTGTTTAGCCATTCTCACAGGTACGTTGTAATATCTCATGGTTTTAATTTGCATGGTTTTAATGTGCAGATGGTGTTGAGCATCTTTTCATTTGTTTATTTACCATCATTACATTTTCTTCAGAGAAATGCCTTTTCATAGCTTCTGACCATTTTCTAATTGCATTTTTTGGTATTACTATTGAATTTTGAGAGTTCTTTATATCTTTTAGGTACTAGTCCTTTGTCAGATATGTGGTTTACAAGTATTTTCTTCTTGTCTTTAGCTTGTCTTTTCACCCTCTTAACGGGGTCTTTTACAGAGCAAAAGTTCAATTTCGATGAAATTTAATTTACCAGTTTTTCCTATTATGGATCATGCATTGGTATAACTCTAAGAGTTCATTGCCTTGCCCTAGATTCTGAAGATTTTCTCCTATTTTTTTCTAAAAGTTTTATAGTTTTAATTTAAGTCCGTGATCCATTTTAAGTTAATTTTTGTGTAAGATCTAAGACTTAGATTGAGGTTGTTTTTTATCTCTCTCTTTTTACCTATGCAAGTGTGATTGCCCCAGCAACATTTGTGGAAAAAGCTATTCTGCTTCCATTGAAATGCTTTCACATTTTTGTCAAAAATCAGTTGGGCATGCTTGTATGGATCTTTCTCTAGGTTCTCTGTTCTGTTCTATTGTTTTATGTATATGCCTGTTCCTTCACCAATAACACAGTCTTCATGACGGTAGCTATACGATAAGGTTGATTCCTCCTACATTCTTCTTCTTTTCAAAATTTAACTATTCTGGTTCCTCTGTCTTTCCATATTAATTTTGGGATAGTCTTGTCTATCTTTGGAAAAACTCTTGCTGGAGTTTTGATAGGCATTGTGTTAAACCTCTGTATGAATGTAGGGAGAATTGATGTCTTCCAACATATCAATATGAGATGTCTTTTCATTTGTTTAGATCTTTGGTTTCTTCTATCAGAAGACTGTGTAAACTATCATTTACATAGTTTTCAGCATAAAAGTCACATCCATGTTTGGTTAGATTTACATCTAAATATTTTGATTTTTTGAGTAATTATAATGGCGTTTTTTAAATGTCAGTGTTCACATATTCATTGCTAGTATATAGAAATACAATTGATTGTTTATGTTTGTTTTATATCCTTCAACCTTACTGAACTCATTTTATTAGCTCTGGGAATTTTTTTGTGGATTCCATGGGATTTTTTAATATGGGTAGTCATGTCCTACCTTTATCAGATTTTAATATGCCACGTTTGTTTTACATTTTTTTAAAGAATTGAAAAATACTTTCCTTCCTCTCCTTCCTCAGAAGTTGTTATCACTATCATGAATTCGGTGTTTATAGTTCTCGTATGTATTTTTATACTACTCTGTCGCCCAGGCTTGGAGTGCAGTGGCGCGATCTCGACTCACTGCAGACTCCGCCTCCTGGGTTCAAGCAATTCTCCTGCCTCAGCATCCCTAGTACCAGGGATTACAGGTGTCCGCCACCTTGCCCAGCTAATTTTTGTATTTTAGTAGAGATGGGGTTTCACCATGTCGGCCAGGCTGGTCTCGAACTCCTGACCTCAAGCAATCCACCCACCTCTGCCTCCCAAAGTGCCGGGATTACAGGCATGAGCCACTGCGCCTGGCCATATTTTTATACTTGTATTATTTTATATATTTGTATACTCATGAGCAATATATCATATTTCCTAGGTTTTAAATTTTACGTATGTACCCTTCAAATTCTTGACTTTTTAATTTATGCCAAGTTCATTCATAGTAGCTGCTGTGTGGTATTTCATAGAGTGAATATATGTTGTTCTATTGACAGACATTTAAATTGCTTCTAATGTTTTGCTGTTTTGATTTAATTGATTTCTGAGTGTTCATTATATATTCTAGATTCTAATCCTTTGTAGTTACATGTGTTGCCAGTATCTTCTGCTAGTTGTTGGCATCTCTTAATTTTGTTTATAGTGTCATGTTGTGTCAAAATTAAGACAGATGGATAAATCATTTCTTTTTTTTTCTGACTTATCTAAGACATTCTTCCCTACCTGTATCTTCTTATTTAAAAAAAGTTAAGTTTCTTTTCTTTTCTTTTCTTTTTTTTTTTTTTGAGACAGAGTCTCGCCCTGTCGCCCAGGCTGGAATGTGGCGCAATCTCAGCTCACTGCAGCTGCCGCCTCCCGGGCTCAAGTAATTCACCTGCCTTAGCCTCCAGAGAAGCTGGGACTACAGGCATGCCCCATCATGCCTGTCTAATTTTTGTATTTTTAGTAGAGATGGGATTTTACCATGTTGTCCAGGCTGATCTGGAACTCCTGGCCTCAAGTGATCTGCCTGCCTCAGCCTCCCAAAGTGCTGGGATTACATGTGTGAGCCAATGCGCCCGGCCTGTCTTTTCAAATTAAGTCTCTAACCTACCTAGAATTGTTCTTTAGAATCAGTGTGTGGTAGAAGGATGTAATTTTATTATGTTCCATTGTAGTCAGTTGTTCCCAAATCATTTATAAATAGCCTTTTTTTTTTTCCTTTTTGAGTCAGAGTCTTGCTGTCGCCCAGGCTGGAGTGTGGTGACGCGATCTTGGCTCACTGCATGCTCTGCCTCCCGGGTTCACACCGTTCTCCTGCCTCAGCCTCCCGAATAGATGGGACTACAGGCGCCCGCCACCACGCCCGGCTAATTTTTTGTATTTTAGTAGAGATGGGATTTCATCGTGTTAGCCAGGATGGTCTTGATCTCCTGACCTGGTGATCCGCCCACCTCGGCCTCCCAAAGTGCTGGAATTACAGGCGTGAGCCACCGCGCCCGGCCCTAAATAGCCCATTTTTAATTTATTGATTTCTATGATTATTCCTGTAATATCACATTTCTTTATATGCTTTGGATTAATTTCTGAGCTCATGTATTTGTCCCATTGCTGTATCTGTCTTTCCTTGCATCAGTAAATATCTTATGCCTTAATTATCTAGCCTGAAATAAGCATTGATACCTGGTAGTATGGATCATCCTTCTTCTTTTACAGAATTATAGCTGATTCGTGGTCCTTGCCCTTCAGTATAATTTTAAGATCAACTTGTCAAAACACTGTTGGGGCTCTGACTGAAGTGGACACTTTTACTCTTTTAGTCTTAACTGTCATACTATACTTCTCAACTTATTGAAATCTTAAGTGCCATCAGTAGTTTATCAAATGTATCTCAGATTTCTGAGTTCTTTCTTTTGTTATGTCATCCATTCAGTATATAATTAAAGACTAGTATCTCTTAACCTTTTAGTTTATTTAGGTTTCAAAAGTCTGTTAAAAGTTAGACAGTCCCTCCTTTCCAGGTGTAGGGGAAACACAAAATGCCATTTAGTAAATTTGAATGTTCCTCAAGAAAGGAGTTTGTAAATAAGAAGGCAATATGCATAACACCTTTCTTTCTTTCATTCTTTATTATTTTTGTAGAATACTTTGCCTTATTTTTAATCTCTATGATTTGGGTAGTTTCTTTTGTATTTTATATACTTTGGGTGAAATGAGTAAAAAAAAAAAAAAGAATAATTCTAGGACTGTGATACTAATTTTTAGCAGCAAGAGATCAATACTATGATTTAAAATAAGTATACACAGCTATCTCCACCCAAGATTTAGAATAGAGAATGTTAGCAATAAACCAATATTGTGTGTAACTCCAGTTGTACAGTGCTAGAAACCCTCCAAAGGCATTCCAAGCTGGCTGGGCGTGGTGGCTCATGCCTGTAATCCCAGCACTTTGGGAGGCCAAGGTGGGTGGATCACTTGAGGTCAGGAATTCGAGACCAGCCTAGCCAACCTGGTGAAACCCCATCTCTACTGAAAATACAAAAATTAGTTGGGTGTGGTGGCACATGCCTGTAGTCTCAGCTACTTGGGAGGCTGAGGTGGGAGAATCACTTTAGCCCGGGAGGTGGAGGTTGCAGTGAGCTGAGATTGCCCTACTGCATCCCAACTTTGGTGACAGAGTGAGATCCTGTCTCAAAAAAAAAAAAAAAAAAAAAGAATTTAAAGTGAATCCTCAATGTTTTTCTCTCCAGCATGGTTCAGTGGTTTTTGTATAAGCATAGAGAAGTCGATTAGTTGATTCTAATCAGGGGTGAAGTTTCCCAGGAGACCATGTTAAGGAATTGACAATTAAGGGAATTAAGGATATTTACAAGGGCATTTAATATGGAACCCTAGAATCTAAGTTGAGCAAGAAGGGAAGTGAGGATATAATGAAGATGATTAATCATGAGAAAAGTGGCAAAATTAACAGGTGGAACCTACAAAATAAGCTCACGGAAAAAAAATAAATTAACAGGTGGGAGATATTAATGAGATAGGAGAATTACTGATCTAGATGAGCTAGAAGGATAGGAGGTGGTGGTCAAGTGTCGGGATGCCTAACATCCAGATTTTGGACATGACACAGTCTTTGGTGCAGATAGATCATGGGTATTACCATGGAATGGGAAGCTGGAATTGTATGTTGGGCATGATTGTGATGAGGAGGCTAAAGACCTGGAAGACCACACAGTGTTAGGTGAGTTACCCATGTGGGTGATTGTTGACGTTACCAAGAGCAGTTTGGGGGTAGAATGGAAGACAGCAATGTCTGAAGTGTTCAACTGAAGAGTGAGGAAGTTGAGGGTCAGTAGATGACATGAACAAGATCGGATAGTAGATGATGAAGTCTGTTAGTGAGAAATTAAAATGTATTCAGGTTTTTGAAGGTAGAGAGAAGAGAAAAGGTTTAGAAGAAGCAAGGAGGAATATTCCCCACTTACAGGAAATATAGAAGAGAAGTAGCAGTCTCCAAATGAGAGTGTTTCACGGACAGACTTTAGTTAGGGACAGAAGAGGAACTTTTCAGGGAGAAGGTTGAGTAGTAGAAGAGTTTTCACTCATTAAAAATTAGCCATTTAATTATTGTCATTGTCATCATTCTTAATATTAGATTTTGAGCCAGGTGCCATCGAGGGCACACGCTTATAGCCCTAGCTACTCTGGGGCTGAGGCGGGAGGATCTCTTGAGCCCAAGAGTTGGAGGCTGCAGTGAGTTGTGATTGCGCCTTTGCTCTCCAGCCTGGGTGACACAACGAGACCCTGTCTCTAAAAACATAATATTATTAAATTTTGTGATTAGCTATTGTGTTATTCTTATTTCTGGACACTTTAACAAACTTTATAATATTATGTAATTTTTTATTGAATATGTGTCATTTTCTATAAAAGTTTGACTATTAGGCCTTTGATAACATCAAAATATTCATTATCCTCTCATATATATTGGAAAATCAGATTTAATTTCATTTGTGGTATGTTTACCATATGCCAGGCTCTTACCTATTATTGCAAATATGAAAATATATAAGATATAATGCCTCTTCTCAAAGAGGATTAGTGAGCTCACAAGAATATAACTTGTGGGCATATAGTTCCATAACACACCAATCAGACTATTAACAGTGGTCACCTCTGGGACAGTGAAGGGAATGGAGGGGTTAGATATTAAGGGGAGCCTTCCATTTTTAGCATCTTTTAATATAATATATTTCTTTGTATATTTGCATCTTTTATTTATTTGCATCTTTGCATCTTTTAATCCAATATATTTCTATTTTTTACAAATAAGAGTATTAAGATAGAATTTATGGAAGTCACATTTTTGTGTGTGATAATTAAAGGGATAAATTGTGTTTTTTAAGCCTTTGTCTGTTTCTTCTAGGCAGGAATACCAATGGGACCAATGCCAGCAGCGGGAATGCCTTACCTAGGACAAGCACCCTTCCTGGGCATGCGTCCTCCAGGCCCACAGTACACTCCAGACATGCAGAAGCAGTTTGCCGAAGAGCAGCAGTAAGAGATCACCAGAATTAAAGGATAACAAAGATACATTATAGCATCTATCTTAAGAATTGTCTAATGATCTCTAGTGCAGATTTGAAACTAAAACAGTCAAAAGTTGTCTTTAAAACTCTTAAGGCCTGGCCCAGTGGTTCATGCCTATAATCCCAGCACTTTGGAAGGCTGGGGTGGGCAGATTGCTTGAGCCCAGGAGTTCGAGACCAGCCTGAGCAACATGGTAAAACCCTGTCTCTACAAAAAATACAAAATATTAGCCAGGCTTGGTGGCTCATGCTTGTAGTCCCAGCTGCTCAGGAGGCTGAGGTGGGAGGATCACCTGGGCCCCGAGGTTGAGGCTGCAGTCAGCCGTGATCATGCCACGGTACTCCAGCTTCGGTAACAGAGTGAGACCCTGTTTAAAAACAAAAACAAAAAAGCCTCTTTAAACTACCATTATTATAAGTTTAGAGTCAAAAAGGACCTTAGAGATCCTGTAATTCAACCCTCTTGTTTTATATCTAGTGAAAGTGAAGTCCAGGAAAATGAAACAACTTGTCAGTCCAGGTTACACAGTTACCAGCAAAGCCTGGACCCAAAGGCAGGCTTCCTGATTCCCAAATCATTACTCTTTCTGCTGTATGACACTGCCTTCCCAAGCAGGTTCTTTTTTAATATGCAGAGCAAAGTGTGTTCTTATGTTTGTCTGCCTGTTTTTCGAGAATACTTTTATATGCAAAAGCTTGTTTCCTCCTCTTGCAAATTAGATGAGAAATAAATTCATATACATAATTTAGGTAAATCATTCTTTAGACTCATGTCAAATATTTTGGAATTAATATAGTGAGGAAACAGGATTGTCGTAAGAAAACTAGATATTTAGCAATGAAATTTACACTTCTGGAAGTGCAACATGATATTGCTGAAACTGTTAGAAATCTGAATATAAAACACAGTGTATAATCCCGGGAGCTGGTTCTTTATTAGATCATTTTTCCTTCAGGAAACGATTTGAACAGCAGCAAAAACTCTTAGAAGAAGAAAGAAAAAGACGCCAGTTTGAAGAGCAGAAGCAAAAGCTCAGACTTTTGAGCAGTGTGAAACCCAAGGTAGTATTTCAATACTTCTCTTCACCCAGAACATACACACCCTGAATGTGCCTCTTCCCACTCATTGAGTGGATTTCGTCACTGGGGCACCAGCCCAAGCTGAGGCTGTGATTGATTCTTCTCATTTTGGTTTACCTAATTACTAATGTGAAGGGTTTTTCATTTTCTGTAAAGATACACTGCTGTCAATGAGAATAGGCTATCAGCCATTATCTTTTCAGCTCTTTTTTAGTATCATGGCAATGTTTATAATCTTTTTCTTGGGAAGCAGTAATCCTGAATTCAGTGATATTTCATATTTCTCTTAGAGCCTTCACAGGACACTTAATATCAAACAGGTCTATCCTAAAGTATTTATACATTGGCCTTGTAATGTTTTTATTTTCTGTGGAGTGTCATTGTTTAATCATTTACCAATGTCTTGCTGACTTGGATAATTCATTATCAGAAGTATGTGGTAAAAATATTGGAAATAGATGAATATCTGTGCTTTTCTTAATTTGGGAGGGTTTAGGATACAGTGAGGGATAAGTAAAGAAATACGCATATATTTGTTGTCTCTTAGACAGGAGAGAAGAGTAGAGATGATGCTTTGGAAGCCATAAAAGGAAATTTAGATGGGTTTTCCAGAGATGCAAAAATGCACCCTACTCCAGCATCGCACCCCAAGAAACCAGGTAGTTTTAAGAGGCATTATATTTTTCTTTTCTGGGAAGGTGATTTATGTAGTCCCTGTTTCTTTACCTCGCCATTATATGTGTGTGTGAAAAGTCAATGTAGAACTCTTCCTTCAAGCTAAGTACAGATTTGGATGTTCTCAAATATACAGTGGCTTAAGAGCTCTGGTCTGGATAACAACTGTCTTGGGAGGAAAAAACCTCTTTGTCTTCTAAGTAAATATCAGTATGACAATTTCACCTGTAAGTTTTCTGTATATAAATATGTTAACATTAGTAAAATCTATTCACTCAGAGCAAATGTAATAAAGGAGTTTACCATTTAATTCTCATTGTTTTATAGTAATTTTTATGAACTAGCTCTGATTTCATTACTTAATGTGATTAAACTTACAAATTCTTAAAATGCCTCATTTAAGAAAATCATGAGTATAATAATGCTCTTCTTGAAATGTTAGTTTCCCTAATGCATTTCTTTGTAATTTTTATCATCATTTATTGTCAGGTAAGCAAAAAGAAACGTCCCTGTTTTAGAGCAGGGTAAAGGGATTGGAGGTTGGGGTTTGGTTGTTCTTTTGAACATTTAGCAGTTGAAATGAGTCTTGTATTTGCATAATTGTTACCACATTATTTTTAAAAATTCAACATTTCAAGCCAGGTGCCATGGCTCATGCCTGTAATCCCAGCACTTTGGGAGGCCGAGGCAGGTGGGATCACTTGAGGTCAGGAGTTCAAGACCAGCCTGGCCAACATGGTGAAAACCTGTCTCTACTAAAAATACAAAAATAAGCTGGGCATGGTTGTGCATGCCTGTATTCCCAGCTACTCGGGAAGCTGAGGCAGGAGAATCACTTGAACCTGGGAGGCGGAGGTTACAGTGAGCCGAGATCATGCCACTGCCCGCTCCAGCTTAGGCATCAGAGCAAGACTCCATCTCAAAAAACAACAAAAAACAAATTCAACGTTTTGACATTTTATCAGCTGATTCCAAGAAAACATACCTAATAGGTGAACAGTTTTCATAAATCATTTAGCCAGCCAAGAAAGTACTATCTTCTGCTGGAAAATGTTGCATTGATAAATTTTATCTTGAACCCTTGTATTATAGTACCTTTCATGGGTGATATCAAGAGGGAATAATCACTGGCATAGTAACCAGTTCTTGATTTTTCCGGGACAACTTTGACTCTGTTCTGTTAATTTCACTTAAGATTCCCATTCCAAAAGTATGCCCCAAAATAAAATATACAAGATTGAAAAGAAAACAGATATTAGCAATCAGGCTGAGATTAGAAAGGAAAAACATATCTAAAAATGAAAATTATAAGGTGAATAAGCTAGTCAAGAAGTAATTTAGGAATATATATTAGAAGTTAATACTAAAACTAGACCTAGGCTGGAGGTTAGGAAAAGTAGAGAAAGGCAGTCAGGAGTTCAAGACCAGCGTGGCCAACATGGTGAAACCCCATCTCTACTAAAAATACAAAAAATTAGCCAGGCATGGTGGCACGTCCCTATAATCTCAGTCACTTGGTGGGCTGAGGCAAGAGAATAGCTTGAACCTGGGAGATAGAGGCTGCAGTGAGTCGAGACTGCGCCACTGCACTCCAGCCTGGACGACAGAGTGAGACTCCATCTCAAAAAAAAAAAACCAAAAACCTAGTCCTAAAGTATTTATAAAAAGAGTTTCCAGCCATTCTACCACCAAAGGCACCTTTTAAATTTCTCTTTATAGATTGTTTATCTTAAAATACTGAATATACAAACTATATTGATCATATAACTTTTTTTTTGAGACAGGGTCTCATTCTATTGCCCTAGTGCGGTGACATGATCACAGTTCACTGCAGCCATGACCCCCCAGGCTCAGACAATCCTACCACTTCAACCTCGTGAGTAACCGGGACTACAGATGCGCACCACCACGCCTAGCTAATTTTTGTATTTTTTGTAGAGACGGGATTTCACCATGTTGCCCTGGCTAGTCTCAAACTCCTGGGCTCAAGCAGTCCACCTGCTTTAGCCTTCCAAAGTGCTAGGATTACAGGTGTGAGCAACTGTGCCTGGCCCATCATTTAACTTTTATACTTCTTTTTAATCATATACCTAGCTGCTAGAGTTGGTATGGGCCAAAATATATTCCATGTAGAAGTCACACATTCCAGCCAAATGCAAAGAAACATTGGTTTGGTCTTTACAGTATATCCCAAGGAAATAGGGTCCATTTAAAAAATATTTTAAGTAGCTGGGAACCCAAATTGAGAACCTAAATCCAGCCTTGGTAATTGTTGGGAGACTTGGAATACAATGTGGGAGGGCTTTTTCTTTTTTAAACAAACTTGATTAAGGCAATAATTTTGCATATTTTGCATCTTTCTTAGAACTTTCAGTGCATCCAGGTTTTATTGCATTGATCCTAAAGAGAGGAAAGAAGTATGCAGGGTCTCCATTTTTCAGACAAGAGCCATTTCTTAAAAAAAAGACTACTCCTGAGCTTCAAGTCAGTGACAAAAAAAAAGACTGCTTATTGTGACAATAGACTTTAGTCATATTAAAGCAATTCAAAGTAATTTAAAATGTGGGGAGGCCAGGTGCGGTTGCTCAAGCCTATAATCCCAGCACTTTGGGAGGCCGAGGTGGGTGGATCACCTGAGGTCGGGAGTTCAAGACCAGCCTGACCAACATGGCAAAACCCTGTCTCTACTAAAAATAAAAATTAGCCAGGTGTGGTGGCGCATGCCTGTAATCCCAGCCATTCAGGAGGCTGAGGCAGGAGAATCTCTTGAACCCAGGAGGCAGAGGTTGCTGTGAGCGGAGATCATGCCATTGTACTCCAGCCTGGGCGACAGAGCCAGACTCTGTCTCAAAAAAAAAAAAAAAAAGAAAAAAAATGTGGGGCCAGGAGTGGTGGTGCACACCTGTATTCCCAGCTACTCAGGAGGCTGAGGCAGAAGAATTGCTTGAACCTGGGAGGCAGAGGTTGCAGTGAGCTGAGATTGTGCCACTGCACTCCAGCCTGGGCGACAGAGCTAGACTCCATCTCCAAAAAACAAAAACAAAAACAAAACAAGGTAAGGCGTGGTGGCTCACGCCTATAATCCCAACACTTTGGGAGACCAAGGCAGGCAGATCACCTGAAGTCAGGAGTTCGAGACCAGCCTGGCCAACATGGTGAAACCCCATCTCTACTAAAAATACAAAAATTAGCCGGGCGTGGTGATGGGCACCTGTAGTCCCAGCTACTTGCGAGGCTGAGGCACGAGAATCACTTGAACCTGGGAGGCAGAGGTTGCGGTGAGCTGAGATTGTGCCACTGTTCTCTAGCCTGGATGACAGAGGGAGACCCAGTATCATAATAATAATAATAATAATAATAGTAATAATAATAATAAATGTGAAGAAGCAACAATAAAATAGTATTGTTAATGAGCTTCATGTTAAATGTAGCCCCAGTAGAGCAGGTTTATTACATAAGTGAATTTTACATTTAACAATAAAAAGCCACAGTGACATTTATATCCTTTAGTGCCAAAGATCTTTTAAAGGTAGTTGTAGTCTTCAGGCAGGGTTTACTTTCTTAAATTGACTATAGTTGTTTGATTCAGCTCTTCATGATATCCTAATATTGATGCTTTTCACAAGAAAATATCACCTTAATAATGTGTTTAATGTTCTTGTCTTGGCCAGGCATGGTGGCTCATGCCTGTAATCCCAGTGCTTTGGGAGGCCAAGGTGGGTGGATCACCTGAGGTTAGGAGTTCAAGACCAGCCTGGCCGATATGGAGAAACCCCCGTCTCTACTAAAAATACAAAAATTGGGCTGGGCGTGGGGACTCACACCTGTAATCCCAGCACTTTGGGAGGCCAAGGCAGGTAGATCATGAGGTCAGGAGTTCAAGACCAGCCTGGCCAAAATGGTGAAACCCCGTCTCTACTAAAAATACAAAAGTTAGCTGGGTGTGGTGGCACGCACCTGTAGCCCCAGCTACTTGGGAGTTTGAGGCAGAAGAATCACTTGAACCCAGGAGGTGGAGGTTGCAGTGAGCCGAGATCGCGCCACTGCACTCAAGTCTGGGCGACAGAGCAACAGTCTGGGCGACAGAGCAAGACTCCGTCTCTCTCTCTCTCTCTCTCTCTCACACACACACACACACACACACACACACACACACACACACACACGAAATACAAAGATTAACTGGGCATGGCGGTGCATACCTGTAGTCCCAGCTACTTGAGAGGCTGAGGCAGAAAAATCTCTTGAACCGGGGGAACAAAGCAGAGGTTTCAGTGAGCTGAGCTCATGCCATTGCACTCTAGCCTGGGCATCACAGCAAGATTCCATCTCAAAAAAAAAAAAAAAGTTCTTTTGTAATTTTTATTTCTCATATGGTAACTTTACTGAAATATGATCTATGCAAGTGTGTGGATCGGGCATGATATTTCAAAAATTACAGCTTTGTATTGTGCATTATTTCTTACTGAATTTCTTAATAAATAATGAAATTTAGTCATCATGGTATATATCTGTCCAAAATGTATTCAGCACTATATTGGTAGGTTTTCTTATATCTGATGTATATTGGTTTGAGATAATATTATCTAGATAAACAGATCATTTCAACTGCAAAAATAATCATCACTTTGATGTAAATCATTAATGGTCTCAGGGGAAAAATTATTAATCTAATAAAAGAAAGACAGTCAAGGCCAGGAGCTCGAGACCAGCTTGGGCAACATAGTGAGACACCATCTCTATGAAAAAAAAAAAGAAAGGAAGAATTAGCTGGGTATGCTGGCATGTGCCTATATTCCTAGCTACTCAGGAGGCTGAGGCTGAAGGATTGCTTGATCCCACGAGTTTCAGGCTGCTATGATCATGAGCTATGAGCATGCCACAGCACTGTAGCCTAGGTGACAGAGCAAGATCCTGTCTCTAAAATAAATGAATAGATACATGTATTTTTAGTTTTACCTTTTTTGAACCAAATACAAAATAGCTATTAAAACTCCCCTTTAAAAAGACATAAAATTGTGTATAAATAGACATCAAAGTGTTTTACATGCATCATGCAATTCCATTTGACTATTGTTACTTGTTATTTCTTGTTCACCTCCACTATTTATGTTTCAATATATTCTTTTGGAATTGTACTACATCTTAATTCCTTTTTCTCTGTTGGTTTCCATTTTTGTGTGTTTCATTGCCATTTTCCATTTTGCAGATTGCCCCACATCATCTCATTCTACTAAAACTGTCTCCCCATCACCTGCCTTTCTTGATGAAGAAGAATTCAGTGACTTTATGCAGGGGCCTGTTGAAGTTCCCCCATGTGGGCCTTCTTCCACGTCCCAGCCCTTTCAGTCTTTCCACCCCTCCACCCCACTTGGCCAGTTGCATACACAGAAGGCTGGGACACAGCCTCTCCCTCCAAGTCAGAGTCCAGTGCCTTTTGCCTTACATGGCGTCCCTGGGCAAATTCCTTACTTCTCTACTGCTTCAGCCTCACACAGTGTACCAGAAGCAGGTAACTCTTAGCATTATTAATGAAAATATTCTTAAGATATCCTGGGATAACTTATTTCTGTTATATAAGTAGAATAATCCAGTGATGTTGGCAAATAAACATGCACATAAATGTATGACTGCTGTTGAAATTCAACAAAACAAGTGTCTAGATTTTTAAGTTCTGGGGTCTTGACATTCCAGAAAGGTGATTTAAAACTTTTGCTCCTCAACTAGGAGCACTTTAAACTGCCTTATAACTTTAAAAGAAATCTTCTGATTTTTCCAGAAGATTGTTGTTTGGGAGATTCACCGATATCATTTTCTTAAGAATAAGGAGCTAGGAAAGGCTTCTTTAGAAAGTACTCTTTCAGCTTCAGTGACAGGGCACTTGGGGGCAGAAGCCCAGGTTGTCCATTTACTGTCAATTTGTCCTTGGTGTGCCTTAGATTTTGTCATCTATAAAATGAATAGAGACAGCTACACATCCTGGCTTGAGACAGGGTGCTGGGAGGGATCTTGGCAGACATGTACTTAGTCCAGACTGTCTCATTTGATGGACATGGAAACAGACCAAGAGATGATGATGATGTTACTGGCCAGAGGCCTCCCTAGGAGTTAGTGGAAGTGTTATCTTATGTAGGTTGTCAGATTTCAAAGGTAGTGCTCCTTCCACTACACTCTTCCACCTACTGTCTCATAGAATTCTTTAGAATCACAGTAGATAATTATGTTTACATTCTCTAAAATCTCTGAAGTCTCTCAAGTCCTATACAAATGTGCAGTGATTGAATTATTTCAACGTTTACTTTTTTTTTTTTTTGAGACAGAGTCTTGCACTGTCATCCAGGCTGGAGTGCAGTGGCGTGATTTCAGCTCACTGCAACCTCCGCCTCCTGGGTTCAAGTGATTCTCCTGCCTCAGCCTCCCAAGTAGCTGAAATTACAGGTGCCCGCCACCACGCCTGGCTAATTTTTTGTATTTTTAGTAGAGATGGGGTTTCATTATGTGGGTCAGGCTGGTCTTGAACTCCTGACCTCATGGTCTGCCTGCCTTGGCCTCCCAAAGTGCTGGGATTACAGGCTTGAGCCATGGTGCCTGGCCACAATGTTTACATTATACGTGGCAGGGCCTCCCTTTAGAATATGGGGGTGAGCTGGGCACCGTGGCTCACTTCTGTAATCCCAGCACTTTGGGAGGCTGAGGTGGGTAGATCACCTCAGGTCAGGAGTTCGAGACCAGCCTGTCTAACATGGCGAAACCCCGTCTCTACTAAAAATACAAAAATTAGCCAGGCTTGGTGGCGGGCGCCTATAATCTCAGCTACTAAGGAGGCTGAGGCAGGAGAATTGCTTGAACCTGGGAGGCAGAGGTTGCAGTGAGCTGAGATCATGCCAGTACACTACAGCCTGGGTGACAGAGTGAGATTCCATCTCAAAAAAAAAAAAAAAAAAAAGAATATGGGGGTGGAGATGGATGGTTAAAAAGATTAGACATATACAGTTATATACAAATAATCCTTCATGCTCTTTGTTTAGGCCCTTCCTTGGAGGAGAAGTTCCTAGTATCTTGTGATATAAGTACATCTGGGCAGGAACAAATTAAATTAAATACTTCTGAAGTTGGCCACAAAGCCCTAGGCCCAGGTTCCAGTAAGAAGTATCCCAGTTTAATGGCCAGTAACGGGGTTGCTGTAGATGGATGTGTAAGTGGTACCACCACTGCAGAGGCAGAAAATACTTCAGATCAAAACCTGTCAATTGAAGAGAGTGGTGAGCTCGTGAAGCATTCAGCAAAAAACTTGTTTAACCAAATGTTGCTCAAATGCTAACACCTTAAGCATTAATCTTCAAATGAATGCTGCTTGATTTTGCTAATCGAAATTTTGCTTGAAATATATTTAATGCATTCCTTTCTCCAATTAACCCCTAAGATTTTGCTCTGAATTCTTTCAACACACTGTTACTCCTTTTTAAAAATGATTTTGATAACTGGTTTTCTTAATTGGAATCATTTCTGATTTAAAATTTTCTTTCCTTTTATTTTATAAAAACTCTCTTTTTTCCCCCCTTATACTTTCTGTTCTTCCATAAAGGTTGAAAAGTTAAAATGTAACTGGAAAAGTCACCAATGAGAATATAGTTTTGGTTTCTCTAAAATAAATCATATGCACCACTGCCTAAAAGATCTAAATTGTATAAATTCAACCCTCAGAAATGAATTAGAATGTGGGCAGCCAAGGAGGCAAACTTTTGGGAGGATATTTTATTGGACAGAAAGCCCCCAAAAGTCCTATATATTTAAGACAGCAGTATCATATGTAGGTTAAAAAACAATGAAACTTTGCAAAGAAGCATTAGTAAAAACTGCAAGTAAAGCTTGGACAATTAAATATTTTTAGATACATAATTTTAAACTATCATCTATCATGTTTTTTTCCTTAATTTGTAATACATGTTAAATGGTGCAAGGCTTATATGATTTAGAGTATTGATTTGATACATTTTAGTTTTTGTATAATTTACTCTTTAGAACATAGTTAACGTACAAGAGTTGCTTAAAAACCAAATATTTTATTCTGAATCGGAGGCAGGGGGGACCAAGTATTTTAATTGTATTGGTGACTTTTTTTAGTGTCTCCAGCCAGTGCTCTTTATAAAAAACCATGACTCAGTGTGATTTCGCCATCTTCTCCATGGACCACTATATACATTAATGTTTCTTACCTTCTAGGTGTGGGAGTATTTCCCTCACAGGATCCTGCTCAGCCCAGAATGCCTCCTTGGATTTACAATGAGAGTTTGGTTCCAGGTAAAAAAGCTTCTTTACCCAGGATTCCCATCTGGATATTTTGGTTTAAATATTGTAAATGTAGTTGTAAATATTTACTGTTGCACTTACAAAAAATGCAGGAGGAGTTGTCACTTTTCTTTTTTTCTGAAAGAGTACAGAAATTAAATAAATGTCGTGTTTCATAAGACTGCCTCATATATGGAATAACTATATAAATAGAGGAGAATAGTTTTGTTTTAATGTTTTATCAACCATCATACTTTTATTTCTAAAAGCTCTCTTAGATTTATTATGCTTTAATGGACATTATCAAATATTTACTTCAGCAATTAATAACATCAAGAATTTTACCAAAATATTTAATGTAATTTTCTGAATTCTTAGTTTATATTTTTAAAAATATTCTTTCTATGACTTGTCATGTAATACTATATGAAATAAAAGACCATGTGGGATCTTTTTTTTCACATTGGAAGATGTGAAGGATAGTGTTTACTCTTTTTTTTTTTTTTTTTTTTGAGACAAGGTCTTACTGTCACCCAGGCTGGAGTTCAGTGGCAGGATCTTGGCTCACTGCAGCCTTGACCTCCCCAGGCTCAGGCAATCCTCCCACCTCAGCCTCTCAAGTAGCTGGGACTACAGGCGCATGCCACTACACCCAGCTAATTTTTGTATTTTTTTGTAGAGACGGGGTCTCGTCATGTTGCTCAGGCTGGTCTCAAACTCCTGGGCTCAAGTGATCTGCCTGCCTTGGTCTCCCAAAGTGCTGGGATTACAGGTGTGAGCCACTGCACCTGACCTACTTTTTCTTTACATGTATTTTTACTGCTGAGCCAAGAAGAAAAAAAAAAGAAAAGAAAATCCTTAAAGTGCATTTTCTTCTTTAAACAAAAAAAAATTATTTTTAATTTTTGTGGCTACATAATTGTATATTTTTATGGAGTACATGAGATACTTTGATACAGACATACAATGTGTAATAATCACATCAGGGTAGATAAGGTATCCATTACCTCAAGCATGTATTACTTCTTTGTGTTATGAACATTCCAATTATACTCTGTAAGTTATTTTAAGTGTACAATAAATTATTGTTGACTGTAGCTACCTTGTAGTGCTATCAAATACTAGATCTTATTCCTCCTATCCAACTATATTTTTATGCCCACTAACCATCCCCATTATTCCCCCCCACCACTACCCTTCTCAGCCTCTGGAAACCATCATTCTATTCTCTGTCTCCATGAGTTCAGTTGTTTTAATTTTTAGCTTCCACAAATGAATGAGAATATATGAAATTTGTCTTTCTATGCCTGGCTTATTTCACTTAATATAGTGTCCTCCAGTTCCAACCATGTTGTTGGAAATGACAGGATCTCAATTTTTTTTATGGCTGAATTGTGCTCCATTGTGTATATGTACCACATTTTCTTTATCCATTCGTCTGTCAATGGACACTTAGGTTGCTTTTGAATCTTGGCTTATAAATTAGTACAGCCACTATGGAGAAACCTTTATACTGTTCTCCATAGTGGCTGTACTAATTTACATTCCTACCAACAGTGTACTTGGGTTCCCTTTTCTCCACATCCTCACCAGCATTCGTTATTGCCTGTCTTTTGGATAAAAGCCATTTTAAGTGGGGTGAGATGATATCTCATTGTAGTTTTGATTGACATTGCTCTGATGATCAGTGATGTTGAGCCTCTTTTCATAAACTTGTTTGCTGTTTGCATGTCTTCTTTTGAGAAATGCCTGTTCAGTTGTCTTGCCCATTTTAAAATCAGATTATTAGCTTTTTTTGTATTGAGTTGTTTGAGCTTCTTATATATTTTGGTTATTAATCCCTTGTGAGATGGATAGTTTGCAGATATTTTCTCCCGTTCTGTGGGTTGTCCATTTTGTTGATTGTTTCCTTTGCAGTGCAAAAGCTTTTTAACTTGATGTGATCCCATTTGTCCATTTTTGCTTTGATTGCCTTTACTTTTGGGTTATTACTCAAGACATCTTTGCCCAGACGAATGTCCTGGAGAGTTTCCCCAAGTTTTCTTTTAGTAGTTTCATAGTTTCTGGTCTTAGATTTAAATCTTTAATTCATTTCCATTTGATTTTTTTATTTGGTGTGGGATGGGGTCTAGTTTTATTCTTCTGCATATGGAGATCCAGTTTTTCCAGCACCGTTTATCGAAGAGACCCTCCCCAATGTATGTTCTTGGCACCTTTCTGAAAAATGAGTTCACTGTGGATGTGTGGATTTATTTCTGGGTTCTCTATTCTGTTCCATTGGTCTCTGTGTCTGTTTTTGTGTTATTACTATGCTGTTTTGGTTACTATAGCTTTGTAGTATAATTTGAAGTCAGGTAATATACAGTAATGTACTGTAATTCCTCCAGTTTTGTTCTTTTTGCTCAGAATGGCTTTGGCTATTCTGGGTCCTTTGTGGTACCATATAAATTTTAGGATTATGTTTTCTGTTTCTGTGAAGAATGTAATTGGTATTGATAGGGATTGCATTGAATCTGTACTACCCATTGCTTTGGGTACTATGGACATTTTAACAACATTGATTATTCCAAAACATGAACATGGAATATTTCTCTATTTTTTTATGTCCCCTTCAATTTATTGCATTAATGTTTTATAGTTTTCATTCAAATGCATTTTCTGATACTACTCATAATGACAAAAGGCTGTTACCAAAATAGTATGTACAATTCAACTGTACTTTAAAATAATGGCTTTTCTTCCAAATGCCTGTTAGACAGTTTGCATCTTTTCTTCTCTGTCCTCAAGCCAAACGAATGAAATCTAGATCTTGGTATATTTTGGAGTTTTATCCATTTTCTGCCAGTTTGTATTACTTTACTTTCGCCCTCTTCCTTAGAAGACTAGAAAACATACATGCATGTATACTTTCTAGTCAAAATATGGTTTTTTTTGTTTGTTTGTTTGTTTTTGAGACGGAACCAGTCTGTCACCCAGGCTGGAGTGCAGTGGCGCAATCTCGGCTCACTGCAACCTCTGCCTCCTGGGTTCAAGCAGTTCTCCTGCCTCAGCCTCCTGAGTAGCTGGGGCTACAGGCGTGCACCACCACGCCTGGCTAATTTTTTTTATTTTTAGTAGAGACAGGATTTCACCGTATTGGCTAGGCTGGTCTCGAACTCCTGACCTTGTGACCCGCCCACCTCAGCATCCCAAAGCACTGGGATTACAGGCATGAGCCACCACATCTGGCCAAAAATATGTGTTCTTATGGAGAGCCCACTAACCTGTAATCCATACTTATAATCCCAGATGTAAAATTTTTGTTTTAAACAGTTTCTCTGTCCCCCTTAGCCCTACTAAGTTTCATTTCCCTAACTAAGCTTGCTACATTTAGTAAATAACCATACAGGATGCCCAGTTAAATTTGAATTTCAGGTAAACAGCAAATAATTTTTTAGTATAAGTATGTCCCATGCAATATTGGCATTCTTTATTTTAGCCCTGTATCTAACAACATTTCCCACTTGGTCCTTTGGAAAACCCATGTTATTGTCAAAAACTCACCAACTGTACCCCCCTTTTTAAGACACTTGTTCTGCTTCCTCACCTTAACAGAAACTGGGTCTTTCCTTAAAGGCTGTATTTCCGTAGCACCTTCTCCAATGGTGTTTTCTCTCACAGCCTCTAATTTACTGGAGAAGAGTGATGTTGGTATAATTCTTACTTCCCATTGCTCTTTTCAAACTGTTCCCACCATCATTACTCTACAGCTTCTCTTGTAAAGTCCAAAGCATGCTGTCTTGTTACAATCTTCTACTGAATTATAAGACTTTGTCTTACCTCTAGCCCTAAATTTTATCTTTAGTACCAAACTTCAGACTCTTAATTGTCTGCTGGACATTTCCACTTGAATATCTCAAATTTTTTTTTCTTTTTTTTTTTGAAACGGAGTCTCACTGTTGCCCAGGCTGAAGTGCAGAGTGCAGAGTCGTGATCTTAGCTCACTGCAACCTTTGTCTCGGGGTTCAAGTGATTCTCCTGCCTCAGCCTCCTGAGTAGCTGGGCTTACAGGCACATGCCACCACGTGTGGCTAACTTTTGTATTTTTAGTAGAGATGGGGTTTCACTATGTTGGCCAGGCTGGTCTTGAACTCCTGACCTCAGATGATCTGCTGGCCTTGGCCTCCCAAGTGCTGAGATTACAGACGTGAGCCACCACGCCCAGCTGCACTTGAATATGTTTAAAGCAATTTAAACCCTGACATGGCTTCGGTTCTATTAAAGCAGTTTTGTTGAAGATTATTCTTGTATACCAACAATGGCATCCCAAAAAATAAATCACTTGGAATGTGTTTCCATTTGTAATCTGGTCTTTCCTTTAATAGATGCCTATAAGAAAATCTTAGAAACCACAATGACTCCAACTGGAATAGATACTGCCAAACTGTATCCCATTCTGATGTCATCTGGGCTTCCCAGGGAAACTCTTGGACAGATATGGGCCTTAGCTAATCGAACTACACCTGGCAAACTTACAAAAGAAGAACTTTATACCGTTCTAGCCATGATAGCGGTAACACAGGTAAACAATGTTTCTTAAGTTAGATCAAATAACTTTATTAATATAAATTGCAAGGATATGAAATCTTTTTTACTACATTGTGTAACTCCTTGTACATTAAAATTTAGATCATTTTCAGGATATAGTACTTCAAAAATGTAGAGTTTATAAGATGTGCATAATAGCAAGTTATTCCTTTGTTTAAAGACTTTTTGTTTTGGTTTGTTTTTGAGACTGAGTCTCATTCTGTTGCCCAGGCTGGAGTGCAGTGGCGAGATCTCAGCTCACTGCAGCTTCCGCCTCCCGGGTTCAAGTGATTCTCGTGCCTCAGCCTCCCAAGTAGCTGGGATTACAGGCACCCACCACCATGCCCGGCTACTTTTTGTATTTTTAGTAGAGATGGGGTTTTACCATGTTGGCCAGGCTAGTCTCGAACTCCTGACCTCAAGTGATCCACCTGTCTCGGCCTCCCAAAGTGCTGGGATTACAGGCATGAGCCACCACGCCTGGCCTAAAGACTTTTAATATTAACATTCTCTGAACTTGAAAGTTAGTCAGTAATAGGTGAAATTACTCTGTGTTTTGAAATTCTTCTCTAAAATTTCATAGATACAGATAAAGTATTCTCAGTCTGGTATAAATTTTTCTTTTATTGCAAAGTCATTTTAAATGATTTGATCATATAGAATTAACCAAACTTGTCAGAAAGTGAAAATGTCAGAACTGATATGTGTTGGCCATTTCTTTCTTAAGTATTAGGTTTGCATTGACCTTGTAACTTTTTTTCTTAAATCAAATTCATGAGTTTTGAGAGTTGGAGTGGAAACATGCAAAGGCTACAGATTTTTTTACCTTTCGGTCTCTGCCAGATTTCGACCGTATGTGGTTTACAATCCTCTAATCCATTTTCTTTCTATCATTTGTAGAGGGGCGTTCCTGCAATGAGTCCTGATGCTTTAAACCAGTTCCCAGCAGCTCCTATTCCAACTTTAAGTGGCTTTTCTATGACTCTGCCTACACCGGTGAGTCAGCCAACTGTGATACCTTCAGGTCCTGCGGGCTCCATGCCCCTCAGCCTTGGACAGCCAGTCATGGGCATTAACCTTGTTGGACCAGTGGGTGGAGCTGCAGCCCAGGCTTCTAGTGGTTTCATACCAACCTACCCTGCAAATCAGGTAAATGGCGAAGCTGTGCATATTTCAGATAATCACTGAAAGTGAATCTGGGCACCATTTTTTCCGGGGATACATAGAGTAGGTTACTGGATTATGGTGAGCACATTTAAATTCTTAGGTTGTATCTTTCAGAAAAACTGCTAAACCTGAAATTAAAATACTTTAGTTTTTCACTTCTCAGATTAGCAAAAATGTTTTAAATATATAATATTTAATGTCATTGAAAAAGTAGGGTAAAAGTGACTAATACACTCTAGGCTTATTGTACAGCCTTGTTGAAAGGCAGACTTGGCAATAGCAATCAAAATTCTACATGTTGAGCTGGGCATGATAGTGTGTACCTGTAGTCCCAGCTACCCTGGAGGCTGAGGCAGGAGGATCACTTGATCCCAGGAGTTCAAGTCTGCAGTGAGCTATGATTACGATCACACCATTGCACTCCTGCTTGGCAACAGAAGGAGACTGAGTTTAAAAAAAAAAAAAAAAAAAAGCCTCAGCATGTCTATATCTTCTATCCTAGTAGTCACATTATTAGAAATCTATCCCAAGAATAGTAACTCGAATTAGCAAAGATATACAAGAATTTTTGTTGTAACATTGTTTGTTAGAGTAAAAAGTAGAAATAGCTAAATATCCAACAGGAGGAGAAAGGTTAAATAAATTTCAATTCCTTCACACAGTGGTAATCATTAAACTGAATGAGATAGATCTACATGTACTGCATGGAAATGTGTCTTTGTTATATAGTTAAAGTATAGAGCAATATAGTGTAATCTCATTTGTCTTTAAAACAAATGAGCTGTTAACAGTACTTCTGGAGTGTGGGATTAGGAGTCAGTGTCCACTCTTTGTACATGTATGTGATTGGTTATGATGAGCTTGTGTCACTTAATTTGCAAACATGCATGATATAGCTGTATGTCTTTTTTTTTTTTTTTGTAGCATTTTGACCTTTCCTTTTTAGTTTTTTTTTTTTTTTGAGACAGAGTCTTGCTGTGTTGCCCAGGCTGGAGTGCAGTGGCACGGTCGTGGCTCACTGCAACCTCTGCCTCCCAGGTTCAAGCCATTCTCCTGCCTCAGCCTGCCAAGTAGCTGGGATTACAGGTGCCCGCCACCACACCCGGCTAGATATATCTTTTAAAGATGGTAGGCGCTCAGTAACCCAATGAATATCATTCAGCTATTTTACAAATGTATAGATTAGCTTTTTTTTTTTTTTTTTTTCAGCCAGAGTCTTGCTCTGTCGCCCAGGCTGGAGTGCAGTGGCACGATCTCGGCTCACTGCAACTTCTGCCTCCTGGGTTCAAGTGATTCTCTGGCCTCAGCCACCCACGTAGCTGGGACTACAGGCACATGCCACCATGCGCAGCTAATTTTTGTATTTTTAGTGGAGATGGCGTTTCGCCATGTTAGCCAGACTGGTCTCGAACTTCTGACCTCAGGAGATCTGTCCGCCTCGATCTCCCAAAGTGCTGGGATTATAGGCGTGAGCCACTGCTCCCAGCCTAAATTAGCTATTTAAACCAGTCTTTTACCATTTGTACCAGAGAGTATTTAAAAATACAAAACAGGATTCCTGCCGTAAGCACTTGAGTTAATGTATCTAAACTGAGAAATTTTAAAGGCAGTCTTTGAGATTGACTTTTGATTTGTTGTGTATTTATTTTGTCAGTCAGTGCTATTTATTTAAATGACCTTTATAAACCTAGGTAGTAAAGCCAGAAGAAGATGACTTCCAGGATTTTCAAGATGCTTCTAAGTCAGGATCCCTTGATGACTCATTCAGTGATTTCCAAGAGTTGCCTGCTTCTTCAAAAACAAGTAACTCCCAGCATGGAAACAGGTAGAAAAGAGTTTAATATATTTAACATTGCATTTAACCATTAAGAAAGAGGCATCCATAATAGGAAGGCTAGGTGTGAGAAATTTAAAAATTAAGACTCCTTACTCTACTACTTTCTGTGTTTATTCCCTCTGTATTAATACTTTTACTTTTCAAACTTCTCTCCCCTTTGTCCATCTTAAACTTCAGCTCCTACTGTTTCCTGTAAGTACACACCTGCCTGCCAATATTCTTTTTTACCTGTGCCAAACCTTTATTATAGCTAAGATCACCTGTGCAGTGATGACTTCGTGTTCCTATATTACAGCAAGGTCTTCAACTGTTAAAAAGTTTTTTAGGCAGGAGCACATAATTGCACATTTTTGTAATGTTATGTACTGTTGCTTTTCCACAGAATCATAATTCAGAACTCTAATCATATTCATTCACATTTCTTGTATATTTGACATTAGTGTCTTTTAAGCCTTCAGATTTCTGTTGTTTGCATAGACAGCTGCATAAACATTTCTCTAAGGTTTTACACGCCACCTTAACCTTCAGGTACAGTAACTGATTCAGTATGTTGTCAGCATGTTTAGTTTTTTTTTGAGATGGAGTCTTGCTCTGTCGCCCAGGCTGGAGGGCAGTGGCGTGATCTCGGCTCACTGCAACCTCCACCTCCCAAGTTTTCCTGCCTCAGTCTCCTTAGTAGCTGGGATTACAGGTGTCCACCACCATGCCCAGCTAATTTTTTGTATTTTTAGTAGAGATGGGGTTTCACCATTTCACCATGTTGGCCAGGCTGGTCTCAAACTCCTGACCTCAAGTGAGTCTCTCTACTTGACCTCCTAAAGTGCTAGGATTACAGGCATGAGCCACCATGCCCAGACGGCATTTTAAAAAAAGTATTTAGATATTTCTGCAAAGTGGAACACATCAGACACCAGAGTAAGCGATATGAATTCCTTTGGTTTTATTTTTCGAATTTGTTATTGTCAGAATACATATTCCATGTCTCCTCTGTTCCTGTTTATGCAGTTTCGCTCATCTCTTCCCCTTTAGCCAATTGATTATCTCTTAGTCAGCACTTTGCTGCATACACACTGTAACAAGAACTAAGGGATAGGCATTATAGAGAATTACAAATTAGGAAAAGAGATTATTCTCCTGATTTTAAAAATATATTAAATGCATGTACATAACATATAGAAGAAACATATAAGGAATGTGACCATAGAGTGCTGGTATTTCCAGGACTGCTGCACCAACACAAGTTAAACCTTCTAGACGCATAAATTGTATTTCTACTTCAGATCTCTTCCTTCAAACAAAATTTATATGTACTACTGCTATCTAAGCATCCCTATCTGAATGAGTCAAGGCACCTCAAATTCACTGCATGAAATTACCTTTAGTGTTTTCCTACTCAAAGCCACATAAAAATGTGTTAAATCGTTATTCCCTTCCTTGGTGAATGATGTCACCATATTCAGTCACCAAATTAAAAGCATGCTATTTACTTTGGCTCTGTCATCTCTCCTTTACCACCATTAACTCTGTCAGCTCTGTGTGACAGTGTGTGATCTTAACTCCTGCCCACTCTCAACTCTTGCTATTCCCCATGACTTACACTCCAGCCTTGCCAGCATGACTCCAAACTGACCATGTTCTTTCAAGCTTTATCCATTCTGTTCGCTTCAGTCTGAAATACCCTTACCTGATCTCCCTATAGTTATAGTTCCATTTCAGAAATCAGCTAAATATAGGAAGTTTTTCCTAACCAATTCCCACCTCCTTTGCTACTGCTGTAGTACCTGATGAATGTCTGTGCCCTAATTGTAATTGCTGGTTTACCTGACTGTTTCCCTTTCTAGGCTGTAAGTATCTGAAGACAATTATTCATGTTTATATATGTAGTGCTTGGCCCCATCATATGTAATTAATAAAGATCTGTTGGATGACTATATTATAGTATGTGGGTTATAAACCTAATTTATCAAATGGGTGGTTTATTTCTCTGAGCAAAACTGTTTGTAGATGAAATTAAAATTTGGGGGTAGAAAGTTTTAAGATGGTAGCCAGACCTGAGATATATGGGATATTAGCAATTTTGTGTGGCATTATCTCCATGTAATAGTTTACTTTCGTATATGATACTTTTTTTTTTAATTTATTTTTTTATTGATAATTCTTGGGTGTTTCTCACAGAGGGGGATTTGGCAGGGTCATGGGACAATAGTGGAGGGAAGGTCAGCAGATAAACAAGTGAACAAAGGTCTCTGGTTTTCCTAGGCAGAGGACCCTGCGGCCTTCCGCAGTGTTTGTGTCCCTGGGTACTTGAGATTAGGGAGTGGTGATGACTCTTAACGAGCATGCTGCCTTCAAGCATCTGTTTAACAAAGCACATCTTGCACCGCCCTTAATCCATTTAACCCTGAGTGGACACAGCACATGTTTCAGAGAGCACAGGGTTGGGGGTAAGGTCACAGATCAACAGGATCCCAAGGCAGAAGAATTTTTCTTAGTACAGAACAAAATGAAAAGTCTCCCATGTCTACTTCTTTCTACACAGACACGGCAACCATCCGATTTCTCAATCTTTTCCCCACCTTTCCCGCCTTTCTATTCCACAAAGCCGCCATTGTCATCCTGGCCCCTTCTCAATGAGCGGTTGGGCACACTTCCCAGACAGGGTGGTGGCCGGGCAGAGGGGCTCCTCACTTCCCAGTAGGGGTGGCCGGGCAGAGGCGCCCCTCACCTCCCGGACGGGACGGCTGGCCGGGCGGGGGGCTGACCCCCCCACCTCCCTCCCGGACGGGGCGGCTGGCCGGGCAGGGGGCTGACCCCCCCACCTCCCTCCCGGACGGGGCGGCTGGCCGGGCAGGGGGCTGACCCCCCCACCTCCCTCCCGGACGGGGTGGCTGCCGGGCGGAGATGCTCCTCACTTCCCAGATGGGGTGGCTGCCGGGTGGAGAGGCTCCTCACTTCTCAGATGGGGCGGCTGCCGGGCGGAGGGGCTCCTCACTTCTCAGACGGGGCGGCCGGGCAGAGACGCTCCTCACCTCCCAGACAGGGTCGCGGCCGGGCAGAGGCGCTCCTCACATCCCAGATGGGGCGGCGGGGCAGAGGCGCTCCCCACATCTCAGACGATGGGTGGCCGGGCAGAGACGCTCCTCACTTCCTAGATGTGATGGCAGCCGGGAAGAGGCGCTCCTCACTTCCTAGATGGGATGGCGGCCGGGCGGAGACGCTCCTCACTTTCCAGACTGGGCAGCCAGGCAGAGGGGCTCCTCACATCCCAGACGATGGGCGGCCAGGCAGAGACGCTCCTCACTTCCCAGACGGGGTGGCGGCCGGGCAGAGGCTGCAATCTCGGCACTTTGGGAGGCCAAGGCAGGCGGCTGGGAGGTGGAGGTTGTAGCGAGCCGAGATCACGCCACTGCACTCCAGCCTGGGCACCATTGATACTTTGCAGCTATTCCTCTTACATACAGCTCTGACTTGACTACTTCCATACTTTCCTTGAATGAAACTATTTTTTTTTTTTTAAGACGGAGTCTTGCTCTGTCTCCAGGCTAAAGTGCAGTTGCGCGATCTCGGCTCACTGCAACTTCTGCCTCCCAGGTTCAAGTGATTCTCCTGCCTCAGCCTCCCTAGTAGCTGGGACTACAGGCACGCGCCACTACACCCAGCTAATTTTTGTATTTTTAGTAGAGATGGGGTTTTACCATATTGTCCAGGCTGGTCTTGAACTCCTGACCTCAGGTGATCTGCCTGCCTCGGCCTCCCAAAGTGCCAGAATTACAGGCGTGAGCCACCATGCCCAGCTGAATGAAACTATTTTGGTTTTATCTAGAATTCATACTCATTATTCATTTATTCATCCAGCAAACATTTATTTAGCATTTGCTATATGCCAGACACTGGGATAGGCATGAGAAATACAGAAGCAAAAACCACAGTTCCTGCTCTAAAGACACTTAGTTTTATCTGGTATTTAAATTATCTGATAACATTCTCTTAGGATTAGTCCTTAAATGTACATATAAAATGTATTCCCTAGTTTATGATAATCTGTACTCCACATTGTTTTAAAAAGAGATTTGTTAAATCATGGTGTGAATAGCTAAGCCTAGGAAAGACCATTTTGGACAGAAAATGGGCATTACTTGTTAGAGAAGATGAAAGGGCAAGTAAGGTTTTAGGAGTAGACCGGGATGGAGAACATTGTTGGTCTGTGAGAAAATAACATTAGTTAAGGACGGCACCAGTTGTGGGATGGCTTATGACTTATGACATACTCTATTTTAAAGCATTTTATGAGTAAGAAGTGGCACAATGAAAGTGATTATTGCTACTGTGTATAGAATAAATTCAGTTGCCATGGTAATCTTGCTGTGAGATGATGAGAATTACTCAGGGTTTAGAGTTATAGACACTGAACAGTTTATATCTGAGAAATTGGCTAGACTCGGTGTTAAACTAGATAGTCAAAGGAGAGATGGCAGTTGAGCCTGCACATAAGACCCTGAAGGGCCTCTGGAAGGCAGCAACATCATCCAGTCATTCATTCAGAAAATACTATGTGCCAGGCACTTGGGAGCCTAATCAACAAAGCAGATATGGGACATTGATCATAGAAAAGTTAACAAGGGGGCCAGGGTTGGCCAGGCACAGTGGCTCACACCTGTAATCCCAGCACTTTGGGAGACCGAGGCAGACATCATCTGAGGTCAGGAGTTTGAGACCAGTCTGGCCAACATGGTGAAACCCCATCTCTACAAAAAAAAAAATACAAAAATTACCCAGGCCTGGTGGTGTGTGCCTGTAATCCCAGCTACTTGGGAGGCTGAGGCAGGAGAATTGCTGAACTTGGCAGGTGGAGTTTGCAGTGAGCCAAGATCACGCCACTGCACTCCTGCCTGGGAGACAGAGTAAGAATTTGTCTTAGAAAAAAAAAAAAAGCTGGCGGGGAAGGCTGGGTGCAGTGGGTCTTGCCTGTAAACCTAGCACTTTGGGAGGCCAAGGCGGACAGATCACTTGAGCCCAGGATTTCACTTGATCCTGGACAACCTATGGAAATGCCATCTCTACAAAAAATGCAAAAATTAGCTGTGCATGGTGGTGCATGCCTGTAGTACCAGCTGTCCCACCTACTTGGGATGCTGAGGCAGGAGAATCACTTGAACCTAGGAGGTCGAAACTGCAGTGTGCTATGATCATGCCGCTGCACTCCAGCCTGGGCAACAGAGCAAGACACTGTCTCAAAAAAATAAATAAATAAAAGTTCACAAAGGGTTAACATATAGGACTTTGGGGTTGGTTAGTTTATTCTGCTGAAATCAAAATATTTCTTTTTAAATGTATATATTTAGCAGGGTAAGCAACTAAATAAAGCTATCTACCACAGTCATATGGAGTGATTGTAAAACACTAATAGATTCACTAGAGAAAATGTAAAATACTTTTTTGTGGCCGAATTTTTTAAGTCTTACCTTTTAGTAGAATACAGGTTCTTAAGTGTAAAATCATATATGCCTTTCTCACTTGAGTATTTTCATTAGTGTGAAAGTGTAGAAATACCGTCTTCATGTTTGGAGCGGTTGATGACTACTATGTAACTGGCATAAACACTTTCATGGTGATTACAGTGGTTTTTTAAAATAATAACTTCAGAGAAAGAACTGGAATGAAATATTCATTTGCAGTATGCATAAAATTACAGTCTTGAGTCATAACTTTTTTTGAATGGAATTTTGTTGACTTTAATCAGCAAGCAGTAGTTCATTACCCTAAAGATTCTGTTGTTGTTTTTTTTTCCAATTCTGTGAATATAATTTTAAAATTAATAATCAATTAAGTGTAACATTTAGTAGAAAGATTTTTACCATTGAGCCTTAAAAGACCGTAGCTAAAGCTGGAGGGTCATGAAAAATAAAGAAATCATTCAACTTTGGGGGTTTTTTTTCCCTAAGATGTTAATTTCCTTTATTCCCATGTAACATTCTGTACAGTGAACTGTACTTTAATTACTTATGGAACTTTTAAAAAGTCCACTTACAATGTATAGGTGATGACTTATTTCATTTGTCAAGATCAGTTATGTAGCAGCTGTTTGGTGGTGACGTGAAATCATAATATTTGATGGCATTAAGCCCTAAAGGACTGTGTACCCCATTAGCATGCAGCTACCAGAGCCTAGTTTTTACCTTGCTTGTAAGCCACTGATAAGAAGGTTTAAATGACTGTGGAAAGATTTTTGCTCCAGGGCGAAGAACTCAATAGAAATCCATTTATATAACTTGTGCATGGTATTGAATGACACAAACTAGTGGTGGAATGTAGTCATTCATATGTAAAGGTGGTTCTTCCAGGGAGCTGCCTGGGTCTGATAAGAGAAGAAGAAGAAGAAGAAGAAGAAAAAGTAATGCTTTTATAGTATGTGTTTAAGCCTTCTAAGAATTACCTGCCCAGATGCTACTCATTACGCTATTTTTCCATCCAGCACGAAATATGTCCACAGGCAAAAGTATCTTTATCTAATTTTGAAGTGATTGTTGTTTTGTTACAAAGATAGCTTCTAGAACCGCTGATGTGATCTTTGTAAAAATGCAAATTGTATTAACTCTATGGCAGCTTATCAGATGTATGCACTTCTGCCAGTAGGCAGTGCAGTACAATCAGAAGAAAAACAATTTACATTTTGGCTTGAACAGCATTTCATAAATAGATTTTTATCTCAACTATTCTACCTCTGCACTCTGAACCCATTGAAGTTAATAATTTATATTAAGGTTAACATGATTTATTTTAAAATATTGAGTATACATATGTGGAACAGTTCACTTTTGCAGTTTTATGGACCTTAAGTTAAAATTGCAGGAAGTCATCATTCTTTAATAATCTACTTCCAACGCCATTCCAGTTGTTATTACGGCTTAAAGAGATGGTTAGACAGTCAGCATGGATCTGACCCCTCTTCATTTAATCAAGAAAAAAATGATTGTTTGGGTAATGTTTTTTGTTTTGTTTTGTTTTTTGAAAAAGGACATGGTTTTTTTTTTATTTGTGGTATATATGTATACTATATAGTTTTCTAACTTTTAAAGCAGAGAGCCATGAGTTTTAATGAAATACCTGTTTGCCATTTTAATTCTAACTTCCTTTTAGATGATAAAGGAGGGATTCAATGTCATCAAAATATGTTTATTTTTTCCTTCAGTGCCCCTTCTTTGTTGATGCCACTTCCTGGAACTAAAGCATTGCCTTCAATGGACAAATATGCTGTGTTTAAAGGAATTGCAGCTGACAAGTCCTCTGAAAATACTGTTCCACCTGGAGGTAAAAAGTTGGTAAATTCATAAACTTGTGAATGCTAAATTGCATACTATTTAAATTGTATGAATCTTTAAGTGGTGGTCTTCTGTGCTAAATATGTAAAATGCCTGTATACCACATGTTAATAGTGTTTGGTTAAACCAATCTGCCTCACTTCCTGGAGCTGTGATTTCAAGATTCCTAACCTTAACTGAGCTTCTGTCCTTTCTATCATAGATCCTGGTGATAAATATAGTGCTTTCAGAGAACTTGAACAGACAGCAGAGAATAAACCTTTAGGTAAGTTTTTGAGTCCTCAAAAGGATAAATTATTTCCATTTTTAATAAAAAAGGGGTTTTCGATGGTTCTTTCAGTGGCATTCCCTTTATTTTAGTGTGTGTGTGTCTGTGTGTTTAGGAGAAAAAAACTGAATGGACAAAACAATATGGTATAGTAGTGATGTTTATAATAGATACTCAAACTATAAGTATTCTAATTCAAAAAACCTTAATAATAGCAACCGTGTTTAGGCTGGGTGCAGTGGCTCACGCCTGTAATCCCAGCAGTTTGGAAGGCCAAGGAGGGTGGATCACCTGAGGTCAGGAGTTTGAGACCAGCCTGGCCAACGTGGCAAAACCCTGTCTTTACTAAAAATATGAAAATTAGCCGGGTGTGATGGTGCGCACCTGTAGTCCCGGGTACTCGGGAGGCTGAGGCAAGAGAATCGCTTGAACCCAGGCAGAGGTTGCAGTGAGCCGAGATTGTGCCACTGCACTCCAGTCTGGGTGACAGAGCAAGACTCCATCTCAAAAAAAAAAAAAAAATAGCTATTGTTTTTAAAAAATATCATGATAGGGTCGGGCACAGTAGCTCACACCTGTATTCCCAGCACTTTGGGAGGCCGATGTGGGCGGATCACCTGAGGTCAGGAGTTCCAGACAAGCCTGGCCAACATGGTAAGACCCCATCGCTACTAAAAATACAAAAAAGTTAGCCAGGCATGGTAGCACATGCCTGTAGTCCCAGCTGCTCAGGAGGTTGAGGCACAAGAATCGCTTGAACTCAGGGAGGCAGAGGTTGCAGTGAACCAAGATCATGCCACTGCACTCCAGCCTGGGCAACACAGCAAGATTCCATCTCAAAAAAAAAAAAAAATGATAGGTGCTGAATGGGGGATTATCTAGTAGAAGGGGGATAAGATTACTTCTTATGGTTCTGGAGATTACAAGGAGGTAAATGTGCTTCAGCTATTGAGAATTATTTATTTTCTAAAATTTAGGGCATACCAGGCACAGTGGCTCATGCCCGTAATTCCAGCACTTTGGGAGGCCAGAGTGGGAGGATGGCTTGAGCCCAGGAGTTTGAGACCAGCCTGGGCAACATAGTGAGACCTTGTCTCTACAAAAAATGAAAATAAATAAATAAAAAATAAGCCAGATATGGTGGTGCACACCTGTGGCCCCAGCTATTCCAGAGGCTGAGGTGGGAGGATTGCTTGAGCCTGGGAGGTCGAGGCTGCAATGAGCCATGATTGTGCCACTGTACCCCAGCCTGGTCACAGTAAAAATAAAATAAAATTCAGGGCAAATTCCAAATCAGTGTAGTTTCCTCTGAAGATAGGACATTCCCTTTCACGGGAAGCTTGCATGACAAGTTAAATTCCCTTGTCAAATGAGAGCCATGGTTACTCTGATTTATTACACTGCTCAACAATGTACTGCTAATACTCAAACTACACTGCTTGAAGTATTAGCAGTACAGCAATCTGCGGACTGTAAAGGCAGCAACTAGTCTTTTTTTTTTGAAACAGAGTTTTATTTTTGTCAACCAGGCTAGAGTGCAATGGCATGATCTTGGCTCACTGCAACCTCCACCTCTTGGGTTCAAGCGATTCTTCTTTCTCAGACTCTCAAGTAGCTGGTGTTACAGGTACCTGCCACCATGCCTGACTAATTTTCATATTTTTAGTAGAAACGGGGTTTCACCATGTTGGCCAGGCTGGTCTGAAACTCCTGACCTCAGGTGATCTGCCCGCCTCGGCCTCCCACAGTGCTGGGATTACAGGCGTGAGCCACCACACTTGGCCAGTCTTTTTCTTTTCAAGATTTTTTTTTCTATTGTTGTTGCGGTACTTGGTACCATTATTATTTGGTTTTTTTTAGCCTTTCACTCATGATCTAGAAAGAAAATATTCTAGAATAACATTATTAAAAATGACTTGATTAAGGCATAGTCACTGCTACATATCACAAAGCAGGTACAAGATACATTCACAGAGGTGTATTACAGTACTGTCTTACATCTATAATACTAGAGCGTACAATTAAAAAGGCATTATATAAGATTTGATTCTACTCTTCCAGCAGAGAGCCCAAAGGATGGTAGGACACAGCTCTCATACAGAAATATACCTTCTTAGCTAGGATTTTCCTTCATTAGTAGCATGGTTATAGGTACTCACTTTTCTTCATGAACATCAGCTAAAAATAATTTAAAAACAAACCAATGAAACATTGGATTCCTACAAAGATGACCAAGTGGGAGTAAGCAGGACTCAACCGAACTCGTATTTTACCAAATCCTTCATGTTAGAATGGTGAGAGCTCTGTGAAGGAAAGGGAATGGCAAGTAGCAGTTCAAAGCTCGGGCCACAACCAAGACACAGGATCATTTCAAACAGAAGCAGTAACCAAACAATGCTCACTTAGTATGTTCAAGGATACAGACGTCAAGACGCCAGTATTCAATCATCTGCGCACTAATCCAGTAAGAATGAGTGATCAGTTACTATACTTTGCTTGTGTTAAACTCAATCACCACTTTACAAGATTTTCAAGATTGGCTATAATTTAATGAGAAAGATGAAGAGAGAGGGATTTATGTGCCCATGTGGTTACCATCTCCGATAGTAAGACTTAGAGTACAAGGGAATATAAAATGATCATTTGGGAGTCATATATGTAAAAACTGAAAGTTATGTTTGTGGTTAAATCCTACTGTAAACATGATGGGTAGGGTTTAGATAACCCATAGGTCAAATTATGTTCTGCAAAGCTTAACTATGCATGCTATGAAATGTGTATACTCTAATGAGAATTTCCTTCTGGGAACAATACCACATTCTATCTTTACGTATTGAATGCTCAAACTTGGGACATCCTTCAGCAATCTTTTATTTCTACTCTTCTGCTAGGGGTAGGGGAGAGAAGGTAGGTAGGTATGGTAGAAACTGTATTGCTTAATCATCTTTAAAGAAGGAAAGCCCACCTCTTATAAGAATATTCAGCCCCATATAACTGTTAGGTTCTAGAAATATTTTCTTGTGTTTTATCCAAGCTTTTAGAATGTAATAGCCATTTCTTCCTCAGTGCCTGTATCAGATACACAGTGGGAGTAACAGAGATAAACCTGAGGGGATCTTTTGACTTGTTAGGTTTTTATTTACACCTAGCAATGCTTTCATCAACACTTGGGCCAAGATAAGTTTGGAGTAAAGAGCACATGGTTTAACATGAGGATTCTTGTGTAATATGGTATTAATGACCATAATGTGTATTCCCGTAATAGACAATAGGAAAAGACAGTGGTGTCACCAAAATGTAAGCAGTACCTTAGTCCTGCCTTTTCAATACCTTTTTTTTTTTCTGAGAGACAGTGTATTGCTCTGTCATCCAGCCTGGAGTGCAGTGGCGCAGTCATAGCTCACAGCAGCTTCCAACTCCTGGACTCAAGCAGCCTCAGCCTCCGTCCCAAGTGGCTGGTACTGTAGATGTGCATCACCACAGTGGGGTCTTGCTGTGTTGCCCAGGCTAGTCTTGAACTCCTGGCCTCAAGCAATCTTTCCAGCTCAGCCTCCCAAAATGCTGGGATTACAAGTGTGAGCCACCATGGCCAGCCACATTTCAGTACTTTTTAAACAAAGTTCCAGATTGTTGTTATTTTCATTTACTTGCTTTCATTCCTATCTTAACTTTAATTCTAAGGTTTTCCAAGTAGAGTTGCCAACTTTGTTCATTTTAGGAGAATAGATTTTATTTTCCTAAATGGTGTGATATATTTTTTATACTCAAAAAATACATTGGCTTGACTTCGTCAAAGTACGTTAGTATCTTAGAATTTATGAAGAATCTTATAGTATTGTGTTGTTCAGAGCTGTGGGTTTCTTAGGTTACTGAATGACAGAGTTTAATAATGTTTCCTTTTTTCCATCTCCAGAGTTTAAGCCATAAATTAAAGTAAATGAGGAAATGTTCTGTATAAAGAAATGACACATTTTTATTGAAATTTTAGCAAAAAAGTGGTCCCTTTTGAGATTTTTTGGAGTCTAAAAAGTGACGGAGAGGGAAACTTACAAGTATGTAGACATTAACCAAAAATCTAACCATGAAATAATATGCTTAATATGCCTTCTGATAGACAAGCTTCCATTGACTGTGACTAATTTATTTGCCAACAAATTCCCTTTGTAAACTCACCCGCTTTTATTTCCTTTTAGCCCTTTCACCCAGCTTACATTTCCAATGGAAAAGTTTACAATTCATCAGTAAGTGTAGTTTGCTGTGGTGATTAAAACAAACAAACAAACAAAGCAATACTTGTCAATTTCACAGATATTTCAAAGCAACACATTAAAAATTTAGGCTGTGATAAAAATGGCCGCTTATCACCTCTACATTTTCAGAAATAATACAAGTATAATCAGTGATACTACTAATCTAAAATTCTAGGGTGATTTTTAAAAGTTTTACATCTTCTGTCAGTTTGTGAAATTGACTTGAGTTTTACTAGTGGTATGTCTTACAAATATAAATTACAGGAAATCTGAATGCTGTTCCTCTCTTATTAGATGAATTCCTTGGTGTTGATGAATTATGCTGGTGAATTGGTTAACTATCTCAGGTTAGGAGGAAAAATTAGCTTGTATTGTTTTTGGTGCTTTTTTTTTTTCATCTGCTATATCCAAGTACATATCTTGTTACAAGCACAGTATATTTTATTTTTTAAATTTATTTTTATTTTTATTTTATTTATTTATTTATTTTGATACGGAGTTTTGCTCTTGTTGCCCAGGCTGGAGTGCAATGGCACAATCTCGGCTCACTGCAACCTCTGTCTCCAGGGTTCAAGCGATTCTCCTGCCTCAGCCTCCCAAGTAGCTAGGATTACAGGCACCTGCCACCACACCCAGCTAATTTTTTGTATTTTTAGTAGAGATGGGGTTTCACTATGTTGGCCAGGCTGGTCTCAAACTCCAGACCTCAGGTGACCCACCCGCCTTGGCCTTCCAAAGTGCAGGGATTACAGTCGTGAGCCACCGTGCCTGGCCCAAGCACAGTATATTTTAAGCCTGCATTATTTTATATGCCAATTTAAGAATTGGATTTTGGTTCTCAATACATTTTTATTATTGATATGCTCTTATATGTCATTTTTAGGGGAAAATGTAATTTTTAAAAATGGGTGAGGAAATTAAAGCTTATATTTTAATTTACTTAATTTTAATCTCCAGAAATGGCAGTCATTTTTTAAAATAATAAATGATGTTGGTTGGTATAGCTATATTTATTTGTTTTTTTATTTTTATTTTTGAGACAGAATCTCTCTCTGTCCCCCAGGCTGGAGTGCAGCGGTGGGATCTTGGCTCACTGCAAGCTCCGCCTCCCAGGTTCAAACAATTCTTGTGCCTCAGCCTCCCGAGTAGCTGGGATTACAGGCATGTGCCTCCATGCCCAGCTAATTTTTCTGTATTTTAAGTAGAGATGGGATTTCTCCATGTTGGCCAGGCTTGTCTTGAACTCCTCCTGGCCTCAAGTGATACACCCTCCTTGGTCTTCCAAAGTGCTGGGATTACAGGTGTGAGCCACTGTGTTCGGCCTTGGCATAACTATATTTACATTTGGTTTATCTCTGGTTTTTATTACCTGGTATAGCCTAGTGGATTTTATGGTAGACCTTCAGATGCTATTAGAAAACTGAGATCATCTGTATCCTGATGCTGTACCTGAGTGATGATAACATTACTATGATAATAAAGAATATAGAAACCTTTTAAGAATCACAGGCCTTGGGCCGGGTGCTGTAGCTCACGCCTGTAATCCCAGCACTTTGGGAGGCCGAGGCAGGTGGATCAGCCGAGGTCAGGAGTTCAAAACCAGCCTACGTGACGTGGTGAAACCCCGTCTCTACTAAAAATACAAAAATTAGCCGGGCGTGGTGGCAGGTGCCTGTAATCCCAGCTACTTGGGAGGCTGAGGCAGGAGAATCGCTTGAACCTGGGAGGTGGAGGTTGCAGTGAACTGAGATCACACCATTGTACTCCAGCCTGGGCGACAATAATGAAACTCTGTCTCAAAAAAAAAAGAATCATAGGCCTAAATTTTTATCAATGTCTTAACTGAGTCTGTTTAATTATTTATGAGAAGTACATAAGTACCCACTCTATTTAACCAGAATATAAAAATAAACAAATCTGAGACACATGTTTCTCAGGATCTCTTGAGAGCTGTGTCATGGGCAAAAGAAATTTTATTTAAAAAATAAATAAATAAATAAACAATTCCGTCAGTTACCCCATCCTCAGAGTAGCATAATGTAAACTAAAGTCTAAGTCATACCCTCTAAAACTTTATATAATAGAGTTGGTATTTATTCAAATCCTTTTGAATTTTAATAAATAAAAATAAGTGCTCATTGATACAGTGAGACAGCTGATTTCTAGAAAAGCTCAAGTGCTCAAGGACTTTTTTTCTGTGAGATTCAGCTTATTAGAGACTATAGGGAGGAGCTGCTTTACAATGTGCCCCACCTAGAATGCTTTGCAAATAAATAGATACCTTTTCAAAAATTTTCATCAAAGTTCCCTTCAAATTAATGCCTTCATTTACTTGAGCAAGACCACATAGTATCTAATGTTATTCTTAAAGTGCCTGGCTAAACCAAGTGTTGTACATCCTGAATATTAGATGTAGGATTTTTCATAATACTTTATTGGTACCTCTGATTTTTTTAATGGGTAACATGTTTATCTTTAAAGGGCCACTGTTTTAATATGCCTCTCTTCAAGAACCTCTAGCCCTATTTCTTATTGTATTGTCTGCTTGGCTGGCTAGCTGTGGGAACAAAAAGTCTTGAGAGGAGTACTTTTAGCCAGTTGTAGGATCTAGAGCTAAGAGAGATCCCACACTAAAAGCATGAGCAAATGAAAATGGTACCGTCAGGTACTTTCAGTTCGATTTCTATTTATTTCAGTATCACTAGACTTCAGTGTGGAAATAAATGTGTAGTTCGATAGGGTTTAAAGTATGTAAACATTATTAAGTAATGTCAAGTCAGTGGAGAAAAGTCAGTAAAATTATGCTTGCAGTTTAATATACTGTGTATTATATGGTTTTCAGTTCAGCATTCCCATTTGTTTGGTGGTATTTTTTCTTTCAGGAGAAAGCTTTGCAGAATTCAGATCTGCAGGAACTGATGATGGTTTCACCGATTTTAAAACAGCCGATAGTGTATCACCACTAGAGCCACCAACAAAAGACAAAACTTTTCCACCATCCTTCCCCTCAGGAACTATACAACAGAAACAACAAACACAAGTGAAAAACCCTCTGAACTTAGCAGACCTAGATATGTTTTCCTCAGTTAATTGCAGCAGCGAGAAACCATTGTCTTTTTCAGCTGTGTTTAGCACATCAAAATCAGTTTCTACACCACAGTCAACAGGTTCTGCTGCTACTATGACAGCATTGGCAGCAACAAAAACTTCTAGTTTGGCTGATGATTTTGGAGAATTCAGCCTTTTTGGGGAATATTCTGGTCTAGCACCTGTTGGGGAGCAGGATGACTTTGCAGATTTTATGGCTTTCAGTAATAGCTCTATTTCATCTGAGCAAAAGCCGGATGACAAATATGATGCCCTTAAAGAGGAAGCCAGTCCTGTTCCTCTAACCAGCAACGTGGGCAGCACAGTGAAGGGTGGACAAAACTCGACTGCTGCGTCTACCAAGTACGATGTCTTCAGACAACTTTCTCTGGAAGGGTCTGGACTAGGTGTTGAAGACCTGAAAGATAACACTCCTTCAGGAAAAAGTGATGATGATTTTGCTGACTTCCACTCCAGTAAATTTTCTTCCATAAACTCGGACAAATCCCTGGGAGAGAAAGCAGTGGCTTTCAGACACACCAAAGAAGACTCTGCATCAGTGAAGTCCTTAGATCTCCCTTCCATTGGTGGCAGCAGTGTTGGCAAGGAGGACTCTGAAGATGCACTCTCTGTTCAGTTTGACATGAAATTGGCTGATGTGGGAGGAGATCTTAAGCATGTCATGTCTGATAGCTCTTTGGATTTACCAACAGTTAGTGGCCAGCATCCTCCTGCTGCAGGTGAGGAATTGGTGAGATTGCTCTGGTGATGGTGTTGTAGATTTCAAAGATGATTCTGCGGGTGTTGATTTACATGAGTAAGGCTCTGGCCCTTTAGCTTTATGAATCTCTAATAATCAACCTCTTTATTGCCAGTCTCCTTAAAGCAGTGTTAAATTTGATTCTATGGATACTTGATATGGATACTATGGCTACTGTGGAACTTAGATTGGGTAGCTAAGATATTTTTATTTTTGAAATCTAGCACCAGCTTGGTGTTAGAGGCACATAAAAAGTCACTGCTAAGTGAACCTCACATTGCCAGAAATTTGATAAAGACCTTTGCAGTGCCGGCAGTGTTCCTTCATTTCTGTGAGTAAAATCAGTGTTTCCCTCTCCTTTTTTCTTCTCTTGGGTATACACAGCAACTGCCAGTATAGTATTCTGTTTGATTTACAGAAATTAACTCTTGTTAGGTCAAGAAAGTAAAAATTTCTAACCACTTGTAGTGCAGTTTGCCACATCCTTTTAAGAGAAGAAGAGGGAAAGAGTTTATATATGAATGTTCTGTATGTCAGGGCCTGGCAAAGAGGAGGGTGTGTGTTGTCAGTGGAATCCAGGAGCTGTTTTCAGTGTTAACTCTATTACTGGAAATATTAAGTTGTAACAAATCTGTAGATGCTAGGATAGGGTAACTGCTAACTTTCTGATAAAATGTTTGAAAACATCTTATTAGGGAGCCCTCTTTAAATTCTGTGTAGATTTACATGTAGCAATTTACTCTCTAGTTCAACTTCTGTCATAAAAACTAGATTCCCAAGTGTCCTGGTTTTTCTTTTGTTTTGTTTTTTGATATGTATATAGAAAGATAAACCTATTTTGTGGCCTTTTAATAATGAGAAATATCTCAGTATCACTGTATTATTCTAGAAAATGTATTATGCATATGAAGGATTTGGTTTTGTCTAACTAGGGGGGACACGTGAGACACTTCCAAGTTTACAGATTCAGGCAGAAATTGTAAAGTCCTATAGCTTTTGCATATGTCAAATTGGCAAGTCGGAAAACAAAATTGCATCCATCCTTTGGTTATGGAAATGTTGTAGGTATTGCTAAACAGGCTGCTGAATCAGGAGCAAGTTAGCAGAGACATTGCATGTTTCATGTTGCTACTTGCTAAGGTATTTTTCAAATGCAGTGGGCGGTCTGAAGAGCTCCTGTGCCCTTGACTGTCTACTTTCTGTCTTTTTTTTTTTTTTTGTACTTTTCCTCAGAAATTTTCTTATTTTTTTGCTGCTGTTTGTTTGATAGAGTGATTGTGGGTTTTGTTTTGTTGGTTTTTTTTTTTTATGAGCTGCTTGAACCACAGCAGTTGGTTGCAAAGTGCTCTGTTTTCTGAACAATATTGGATTTTTATTTAAAAATCTCATAACATGTATACTAGCCTTTTGGACTCTGAAGTTATTAATTAGAAACTATTTTTCTGAAAGTGAATCTATATTCTTTCACAGTGCCAAGGTAGATGTCTTTATGAAATGAGGCTAATCCGGGTTTGGGGTGTCTTTTTTTTTCCCCCATTTTATTTGGAGGTTGGTTTTTTTGACCAAGCTTGTTCTTACTGACCTGTTAAAATAATCTTCTGTGCTCATGTTCTTTTATGTATGTTTGGAACATCCTCAGCTTGGAGCCTGTAATGTTCAAGCTAACTCTTCAGTTGGAGGATATTCTTAAAAGCAGATTGTTTCCTCCCATTGATCTGTAAACCTCCTGTCAGAAAGGAGCAGTATCCCTTTAGAGCGGTTGTTAAAAGGGGTTGATGTCTGACCAATGCGCTATATTGCTGTTGTGCAAAATTGCTGCATCAATGTATTGTAGAGGGTAAATGGCAAGGACTTATTCAAAGTAATGTAGTTTTATTTTATCCTCATGTTCACCACAGTATCTCTTGCTCTCTTAGTTTGAGGGTTAAAGGTACTTCTTGTTGGAGAAATAAGAAGTGAGCTGATGAAGAGAGAATAAAACCTGGTAGATTGCTATCTGCGGACCTTAATCCTGTTTAGAAGCCCTAACTTAACTCTGAAGGGGATACTGTCTCTTTTAACTCTTGCTATAATCATTTGTATGGAAGGTAGATAATACTGATAACATTGCCTGATTTCTCTGCGTATTATTACATTTAACCCTTTGAGGCCTTGCTGCATATAATTTCAACTAGGCTGTTTTTTCCCCCTGACTAAATTTAATCTGCGGCACTGAAGCATCTTGACGTGCAGTCATTAAAATCATATGGTTTTATTGGCAGCAAGAGCTGACCCTCATCTGTGACATTTTCAAAGGGTTAGCAAGACTTCTGTAGCTACCTACCTACCTATCTGTAAAGTAGCTCTTCTTTGACATTGAAAATCTTTGTATTTTAATTAGCACCTTTTTTTTTTTTTGGCTGCTTTTCTGATGTCTTTTTTTCAATTTAGACATTTTCTGTGTGAATGTGCCTTCAAATTTACTTTAGTATATTCCTCTGCAAATACTGATCTGCATGCTTATTCTGATGACTTCTTTTCCAGCTCTTCTGTATCACTCTCTTTTGTGATCTGTAAGTCTTGTGTTAATAAATAATTCTTTGGCATATTTTGAAAGTGTGGGGATGTGTGTAATTTGTACTTTTTCAGGGTTAGACCAAAGAAATACCTGGCTGATACCAAGTTTAAAGCAATAGTATCCTAAGACTAGAGGGTTTTCCCCTTTTGTTTTGTTTCGTCAAACACTTGTCTCCTGAGAAAGTATTGGTACATTTTAGCCTTTGTTTCTTATAATTCCATTAATGTAAGTTTTTAACATGGCATTGGATTGAAATAGAAAATTAAACTTAAATAAGAATAAACCTTACACTACTTTACATGATAGGGAGAAAGAACATTTATTGCAGTTTCTTCTCTTGAAGAAACTGATCATATTTTATTGTAGAGAATCTGTCTCTACTAGGCATTACATTGAAGAGAAGAGAAGGGGAAGGTGGGGAAAAAGACCTAAGAGTTGAGTGTTGTGGAAAGAGTTAACTATAACTATCTAGTTATGTAATAACTAGTTATTAGATATATATCATCAAATAATATTGAAATGGACTTCTGAGCACAGTAAATGTAAACTGTATTTAAATTGATAATCTGCATAATGGAAAGTGTTCTGTATTAATAGCAGGAAGTCTTGAGGATGGAATTTGATTTGAGTTTGAAATTGGGTACTCATCCGGGCACGGTGGCTCACACCTGTAGTACCAGCACTTTGGGAGGCCAAGGTGGGTGGATTGCTTGAGGCTAGTAGTTCATGACCAGCCTAGGCAACATGGCAAAACCCCATCTTTACCAAAAAATACAAAAATTAGCCGGGCACGGTGGTGGGCTCCTGTAGTCCCAGCTACTCAGGAGGCTAAAGTGTGAGGATCAGTTGATCCTGGGAGGTAGAGGCTGCAGTGAGCTGTGATCACATCACTGCACTCCAGCCTGGGTGACAGAGCAAGACCTAGTCTCAAAGAAAGAAAAATTGGGTACTCCATCCTCTAATTGCAGAGCATGTTAGGTTTGCAGTATGTGTTCTGTATGATGAAGCAACCCTCAGCCTTTTTTTTTCACTCATAGTACATAAAGCAAATTCTTAAAACATGTTACTTTAGGGGGTGTGTCTAACAAAGTAAGGTTTGAACCATTCTTATTTTTAAGAAAACATTTTCTAGAAGGACCAATGAAATGTGGCAACAAGCGTAGGCCAAACATGGAAAATATTTTCTCCATTTTAGAGTATGGTAACAGTAAAAAAACCTTGAGAATATTACTGTTTTTCAGGTTAGAAACCCCAAAGCAATAAAATCCCTGGGAAAGGGGATATTTCCATGGTTTACATTTTGTATTCTTATGTTTTGAGGCTTTAATTCTTTGTTCTTTTTTAGAATTTGAGGAAGGAAGGAAATTAAATCACTGAAGATGAGGACTTTTTTTTTTTTTTTTTTTGAGACCAGGTTTCTTGTTGCCCAGGCTGGAGTGCAATGGCACAATCTCAGCTCACTGCAACCTCTGTCTCCCAGGTTCAAGTGATTCTCCTGCCTCGGCCTCCTGAGTAGCTGGGATTACAGGCACATGCCAACACACCCAGCTAATTTTGTATTTTTAATAGAGATGGGGGTTTCTCCATGTTGGTCAGGCTGGTCTCGAACTCCTGACCTCAGGTAATCCGCCCGCCTTGGCCTCCCAAAGTGCTGGGATTACAGGCATGAGCCACCACGCCCGTTTTTTTGTGTGTTTTTTTTTTTTTTTTTTAAGACAGAGTTTCCCTCTTGTCACCCAGGCTGGAGTGGAATGGCGCAATCTTGGATCTCGGCTCACTGCAACCTCTGCCTCTGAGGTTCAAGTGACTCTCCTGCCTCAGCCTCCCAAGTAACTGGGATTCCAGGTGCCTGCCACCACGCCCAGCTAATTTTTGTATTTTTAGTAGAAGTGGGTTTTCACCATGTTGGCCAGGCTGGTGTCAAACTCCTGACCTCAGGTGATCCACCTGCCTCGGCCTCCCAAAGTAGTGGGATTACAGGTGTGAGCCACCACACCCGGCCTAGAAGAAGATGAGGATTTTGAATAGGACTCCTAAGAGATCACTTGTAGTGTCTTAAATATGCCATTTAAGAAAGAAAAGTTGCATATAGAGGTTTAGGTTAACTCTGAGAAAAGCCAGGCCTGCCATTCAAAATACAGCACTTTCCAGAGCATACTGCTTTAAAAAGTTGAATAATACTTGGTTTCAAAAACCTTGTGTAAATGCATTATATTTTATTTATGATATGTGCTTCCTAACAAATTTGAAAGAAAGAGATCTTAGTGTAGCTTCCATCTAGTGATAATGCCAGCTGCCCTTTATTTTGGATTTTCCCGTGCTATTTATAAAACCAATCTCTTGATGGCTTTGACTGAGGAATTTCTTTGTCAGTGGAATTCTGTAATGCTAGATTGGTCCATGTAGGACTGCTTTATTTTAACTCTTTTCTGCATTTATCTGAGCAGGCTGCAGAAAATGACTGAATGTAACTGTGTGTAAAGCATACATTCACAAATTGAGTAATGAGTATTTCCAAAGTAACATTACTTTTTAGGGAGGTAGTTTTAATATAATGTAATGACTTAAACTTCTTTTGCGAAAAAGACTTGAAGAATTCTATGCTATAGGTTTAAACAAAATACTGTTTTGTTTACCCTGATGCCAAGTAACATATGGTTAGTGCTTCACTTCATGTATCAGTGCCTGAGAAAGTATACCTATGTATCTGTTGTTCTATAGTCACTCTGTTGTTCACATCAGAATCCCTGCTGATTTTTAGAAGTAGCAAATGACGGCCAGGCACAGTGGCTCACGCCTGTAATCCCAGCACTTTGGGAGGCGAAGGCAGGCGGATCACCTGAGGTCAGGAGTTGGAGACCAGCCTGGCCAACATGGTGAAACCCCATCTCTACTAAAAATACAAAAATTAGCCAGGTGTGGTGGCTCGTGCCTGTAATCCCAGCTACTCGGGGGGCTGAGGCACGAGAATTGCTTGAACCTGTGAGGTGGAGGTTGCAGTGAGCTGAGATTGTGCCACTCACACTGCAGCCTAGGCGACAGAGCGAGACTCCATCTCCAAAAAAAAAAAAAAAGCAGCAAATGAACATGAAGGGAACACTGGCAATATCAAAAAACCTGTGCTAAATCCTAAAATAATGCAAAGAACCAAAAGGCCTCAATTGCACTTCCTGCCTTCTGTGTTCATTTGGTGTCTTTTTGGTGAGATTTTTACTGATGACCAGGGGCAGTCCCACTGTGTATCCTGACACCATTCCTTGGCCTTCTGTCTTCCTCTAACTTAAAATATCCACAGGATTTCCAGTTTTCTTTTTTGAACTTAAAACACTAACACAGAAACCCAAAGGTGCTTCTAGATAGTGTGGATATAATTTATACCATGAAGTTGTGTGAGTCAGTACAAATGAAGAACAAGAAATTTTCATACAGATTAGAAAACACTGGAAGGCAATTAAACAGCAGCATTTTTCAGCCTGTCACTTATACTGTGATCACTTTCATTCCTGTTTTCTTCAGTGTTTGAGACTTATAGGACACAGACCAGGTTTTTTAGTTAATAGAGAATATGAATATGACTGATCTCATAGGTAGATCAAAGATAGAATAGGGACTAAGGGAGATTAGGGCCCAGGGTAGAGAGAAACTGAAATGTACAAGTATTTTATGGTTTGCTTTAGTAAATGAAGTTTAGATTACATGAGTACTGTAAATTAAAATATATATCTTAGTCCAATGAACATTTTTATTGCTATATAAAATGAGAATAGTGGAATTTGTACATATATCTCCTTTCTTCTTTCTCCAAACTCCTTCAAAAGCCAGTAACTCTTCCTCACCTGGGCATATACTTAACAGCTTTAGCAAATGTCCCTGGGAATGAGCTTGGCCGTCTGTGTCCTGTAGTAGCAGCCAACATTCTTTGTTCCAAAAAATACCGTTTTCATGTACAACATCTATTCAAAAGAGATTTGAATAGAGGTTATGGAAGAGACTGATAGGGTTACTTGCCAGCATAAGCAAGAAATATGTGTTTTGATTTGAGATCCATGATGGAAAACAGATCGTATACATTTATTTCTTTGGCCTTTGTAATAGGACATCCCTGATTGCAAACAGATGTATGCATTAAAACAACAATTTGGCATATTATCTGTGTGCAAATGCAGTCAGCCTAGCACAGCCTAGGAGTTTTGCAGCAGAACTGGAAATACAGTAGTGATTTTCTGTTCATTTTATTGCATTCATTCTCCATTTTCTTTTTCCTTTTTCTCTTGCAATTTTCAGAATTCGGCTATCAAATTGAAAATCCATCTATACTAGCTTCAGTGATTACAAACTAAAATGTGGGTTATTCCACATCATTTTTTCTATCATTTATGTTGTAGGTCTTACATAATCTTTAATATTTTTAAGACCATTATACAATAATACCGATAAGTGGACTGCTTAGAAATGTAGAACTATTAACAGGGGAAATGAAGAATTTTCTTACTTTAAGCTACCTTCAATGAACTGATGTACCACATTTTTCTTAGTTAATGGTTGACGTATATTTGCTATGCCAGAACATACTGCCCTGTAATTATATTGTTTATAAATTCTAAGTTTAGGGGCACGGTGTTCTGTCTCACATTCCTTATGTACCATCAGTACTGGTGTTCAAATGAATTACACTTTACGAAATTACTTTTTCACACTATAATAGCCAACAAATAAGCAAAAGTAAATTTAAAACTCAATTTTGAGGCTTGATTTTAGTGACTCTTGTATATTTGCTCTTCATTTTAAGTATAAAATATTTCTAAGTCTTTCATTTGCTTTCCTAGTCTTTCATTTAGTCTTTTCTGGGAGTTGCTCCAAAAGGCAAGATGTTACAGGCGTATCATTTTTAACAAAAATAAGATTTCCTGAAATTTTAAAAATGCTTAAAAATGCCTCAGCTTAGGCAATCCCTTATTCCCTGTAATGCCTTTTACCTGATTATATTAGTCATTTTAGTTTTTCAAAAGACATTTTCTTGTTGCATAATTGCACAGAAAGATCTTTTTATTACCATAGTAATATCTTGATTGCAGTGTTTGAACTGGAGCTATCTTTTCATTAAATTTATCATTTGCTTCTAGGAAAATTGTCTCCTTTTTTTGAGACAGAGTCTCAAACTGTCGCCAGGCTGGAGTGCAGTGGTGCCATCTTGGCTTACTGCAATCTCCGATTCCCTTATTCAAGCGATTCTCCTGCCTCACCCTCCCGAGTAGCTGCAATTACAGGCACGTGCCACCACGCCCAGCTAATTATTATTATTATTATTTTTTTTTTTTGAGACGGAGTTTCGCTCTTGTTGCCCAGGCTGGAGTGCAATGGTGCAATCTCAGCTCACTGCAACCTCTGCTTGCTGGGTTTAAGTGATTCTCCTACCTCAGCCTCCTGAGTAGCTGGAATTACAGGCATGCACCACCATGCCCAGCTAATTTTGTATTTTTAGTAGAGACAGGGTTTCTCCATGTTGGTCAGGCTGGTCTCGAACTCCTAAACTCTGGTGATCCACCTGCCCCAGCCTCCCAAAGTGCTGGGATTACAGGCCTCCCAAAGTGCTGTGAGCCACCATGCCCAGCCTGCTAACCTTTTAATAGGAAAGATTCTGGAAGCAGTTCCTAATATAGTTTCCCAAAACGCTTTCGTCGGGCCTAGTAATAGAAATATCTGTATTATGAAACATTTTTCTGAATGTATCTCTCCAAGAATAGTCCTGTATTTAACTGCATCATCCCCTGACTGAATTTCACCTCATTTGAGTCTGGACACCTTCTGGTCCCTTTAAATCGTGGGGAAAAAAACGAAAACAAAAAATCACTACAGCAAAAACCAAGAAAGCTTTGGGCTAAAGGCTTTTCCATTCATTCTAAACTATAAATTTTTCACCTGAGGCCAGGCACAATGGCTCATGCCTGTAATTCCAGCACTTTGGGAGGCCGAGACGGGCGGATCACCTGAAGTCAGGAGTTCAAGACCAGCCTGGCCAACATGGTGAAACCCCGTCTCTACTCAAAATACAAAAACTAGCCAGGCGTGGTGGCGGCTGCCTGTAATCCCAACTAATCGAGAGGCTGAGACCGGAGAATCGCTTGAACCCAGGAGGCGGAGGTTGTAGTGAGCCGAGATCGCGCCATTGCACTCCAGGCTGGGTGACAAGAGTGAAACTCCATCTCAAAAAATCAATTAAAAAAAAAAAAAAACTTTTCACCTGAGTCGTTTTTTCCTTCTGTTTTATAAACCACATTTGAAGGGTACCATTGCACCACAGAATTTTTAAATATGCCATCATTCTGTGAAAGCTGTTTGCTTTTTGCTGGTTGGTTTTTTGTACAACTAGTGTTTTTTGTTTTTATTATTCACTTAGCACCCCTTTCCTAACAGCTCAAAGAAAGAGAGATTTGGATTATACCATTAGAAGAGCTATGGAAATGTCAGGAGCTTCTTACCCCTCATAAATTATGCAGTATTGCTGTGAATGAAAGAGAAGAATGACTCCAAGTTGGTTCACTTATTGACTTAGTTCTGAAAATCTAGGTCATAAAACTTTTGAGCACTTTCCTTGTAAATCACATATGTGGTTGTCAGAGGGAGAGTCTCATATTTGGCCTTCTTGCCTCATGTACAGTGACTACAATGAAACGAAATGCATATCAACCCACTTCTCCACACCAGCCAAATTCAGTCTCGGCTGGTTTTGCTTTCTGAAAATGAGCAAGAAAATTTTCTCCTAGTAACACCACTAAAATGCTGAGTTGACTTTTCATTTTTGCTTTGAAATTCCACTGTAGGCCCTAAAGCAGCAATTAACTGTCAAGTTGAGGCTGGTGGCACCTATGCTGAGCAGACACTAGCTATTATGTATTGCTCACCAGGCACCAACCTGGCCTTTTACACACATGATCATGGTTGATGGTCATAACACAGTCCTTCCAAGTACATGGTCTTCTCCTCTCCTCATTTTACTGATAAGCAAACTGAGGTTCAGAAATGTTCAATCATTAGCCTAGTGTCATACAAATAGTAGGTAGCAAGGTTGAACTCAGGTCTTTCCAAATCAAAAACCTACATTCTTTATGCTGTTTTATGCTACCTCTTAAATTACTTAACTATATATTAAGAATGCTTTGTAAAATCAGTCGTCTGCCCCAGCAGTTCTTTCTTTTTCTTCTTTCCTTTTTTTTTAAAAAATGGGGAGTAGATACATAGTTGAAGGAAAAAGTGGAGCCCAACAGGACCCAGATCTTTTTATTGTATTTTTTTAAGGGCTAAAGTAGATCAGATTGATTTTCTTTCCTCATACTTCATCACAGCAATATGACGTCCAATTTGACCAAAATAACAACTAGGTAAGTAATTGCTTGATTAAAATCTCATGTTTGGCATTGCCTGAGACAGAAATTCTAATAATTGATAATATTATGACAGAAACCCTAATAATTGATTAAAAGTTAGATGACATTATTTTCATTTTAGTTTTGAGAAACTGTCAACTTTTAATTATTTTGCCATGTGCATTTCACATGACCATGTTTTAAAGGCACATTTTCCAACAAAGTCAAGATGAAGGGAGACATGTTTTAGGCAAGGAATATCAGTACATTTTTAAGTTGATAAGGGAACAATTTATTAAATGACCCTAATCTTATATCAAACAGTGTATACTTTGGTAGATGAACCTCCTATCTTTTTTTAGTAATTTTTATAGCCAAAGAAAATGGTTCTTGGTAACTAAATGTAAATGCCAACTCAAGGCTAATGTGGGTTTTTTTAAGATCAGATTTTACAGCCCAACTCTTAATTTTAGTACAAACTCTAAATTTAGCTAATTTCAACATAGTATAAAACTAATCAAATATGCTAGGCATTTTGCTTCTACAGAGTTTAGGGCATTTTGCCTAAATTGCTTGCCTCTAATTGTGGGGTCTTATTTCCCTTTCAGATATAGAGGACTTAAAATATGCTGCTTTTGGAAGCTACAGTAGCAATTTTGCAGTGAGCACACTTACAAGCTATGACTGGTCAGACAGGGATGATGCAACTCAGGGCAGAAAACTCTCTCCATTTGTCCTCTCAGCAGGAAGTGGATCCCCCTCAGCCACCTCAATTCTTCAAAAGAAAGAGACTTCATTTGGCAGTTCTGAAAACATCACCATGACATCTCTCTCCAAAGTAACGACCTTTGTAAGTGAAGATGCTCTTCCAGAGACCACCTTCCCAGCTCTTGCCAGTTTTAAAGACACGATTCCTCAGACCAGTGAGCAAAAGGAATATGAAAACAGAGACTATAAAGATTTCACAAAACAGGACCTGCCTACGGCTGAACGGAGCCAGGAGGCCACGTGTCCCAGCCCAGCGTCCAGTGGTGCCTCTCAAGAAACCCCGAACGAATGTTCGGATGACTTTGGAGAGTTTCAAAGTGAAAAGCCCAAAATCAGCAAATTTGACTTCTTAGTAGCCACTTCACAAAGCAAAATGAAATCCAGTGAAGAAATGATCAAAAGTGAGCTGGCAACCTTTGACCTTTCTGTTCAAGGTGAGTAGCTTCCAAGGTAGATTTTACTATTGTGGTTTTTTTCCACTGAGATGTTAGATGTTCTTAAGAATAAAATGTTGCTCTCTGGTTTCGCAGGAAATAGATTGTTCTAATCTTTGAAATCAGGGTCAATTACAGATAGCTATAATAAAGATTTCCCTGAGACGGGAGTCAAAATCAGCATCCCTCAGATAACTGCTTTATGGGCTAAAAACAAGCACAGCATGCAGGTATTGCTCATTAGCTCGTTTGGTTAGAGGTGTGCTGTGTTAAAAGAGCCAGATAAATGGATTCGAGCCACTTGTAGGCACATTAGCTCCGCTCATGTTCCCTGAGCACAGATAATGTCTTTTAATCCAAAGGTTGCAAAGTGGGGGCCGGGGATCTGCATCTAGCCTGCATATCACATTGACCCACACAAAAGATTTTTAAGTACGAAGTAATTGCCAGTATTTAAAAGACATGAGATTTCCCAATCTGGATTTCCAACTTTTCTTGAGAAGTCATAATATCTGGCACTAGTAGGTCTACAGTCCCATATGTTGGCAGCTGGAGCCGAAGAGCACCACTCCCTGTAGGTGGGTCATTCTCTCTCTCCTACCATAATCCCCACCGCTTCCTGTCTCAGCGGACCTACTTAAGTTGTTCACTTTACTTGCCTGGTCTCTGAAGGCATTTGAGTTTGCCTCTTCTGCTTTAATCTCATCCTGACAGGAGGGGTCGTTGATTTCAACTGGATTGAGAGACTGTGAAGGAACTCGGTTACAAATCCATAACAAATGACTGGAAAAGCCACACAACTCTTACATACTGATATTTAGAAAGGTGCTTTTGTTCTCCAGACTCCAGTGATTCTGCACTGGGCATTATGGAAGACTTGTGATAGATCAGAGAAGAGTCATGTTGAAAACGAAACGCAGGGAAACCGTGCAAGAGAGAACAGTAGAAAAGATTTAACATGTAGCTTCCCAGAAAGAATGAATGAGGAATGTGTTTGTGAATGCCTCATGACATAAGCATCTGAAGAAGAGGGTCGTGGGCTGGGCGCGGTGGCTCACACCTGTAATCTCAACGCTTTGGGAGGGGAGGCAGGCAGATAACTTGAGATCAGGAGTTCGAGACCAGCCTGGCCAACACAATGAAACCGTGTATCTACTAAAAATACAAAAATTAGCCAGGCATGATGGTGTGCACCTGTAGTCCCAGCTACTCAGGAGGCTGAGGCAGGAGAATTGCTTGAACCCAGGAGGCGGAGGTTGCACTGAGCCGAGATCACACCACCGTACTCCAGTCTGAGCGACAGAGCAAGAATCTGTCTCAAAAAAAAAAAAAAAAAAAAAAGAAGAGGGTTGTGGTAGCGAGGAAGAGCCTCTGCCTGAACTAAGGTGAGTAGCCAAAACCTTTGACTGTATTATCCCCTTCTCCCAGGATCACACAAGAGGAGTTTGAGCCTTGGTGATAAAGAAATAAGCCGTTCTTCTCCTTCTCCAGCTTTGGAGCAGCCTTTCAGAGACCGTTCCAATACTCTGAATGAGAAGCCCGCCCTGCCCGTCATCCGAGACAAGTACAAAGACCTGACGGGAGAGGTGGAGGTGAGAGGAGAGCTTTCTACAAGGGGTGGGTAACAGACCAGCAAGCACACAGGGCCCCAAGAAAGAATGCTGTCAGCTTTCACATGGGGAAAATGAGGGGCAGAAAGACACAAAGCACCAGACATAAACTATGTAATTAAAGTGAGGCAAGGGTAACATTAGCCCTGGGTGAAAACATTTCCCAGGTGTGGCACCCACTGAAACTAATCAGTGACCCTAAAACCAAAACTATTCATGGGACTTCACAAGGATGGCAGTGTTTGTATAATTCTTCTTGAGCACTTAGACTTTATTGTCTTCATGAAACCTCAAAATAGAGGAGACAGGGAAAATATTCTGAATTTTTTATTTCTGTCTGCTGCATCTTAGTGCCACGCTATGTTCCTCCTATGGTCAACACACTTAATTTCCCACCTTTCCCTACTCCTTGTTACATGTGCACATGGGCCACGTCCTCACACACAGCCACACAGCGTTATAACTGGGGCGTGGAAAGCCAGTGGCTTAATAGCAGTTTCTGTACCAGATAGCTACATGCTGAGTGCCTCCGAAGAAAGGCTTACACTGTTACTGATGGAACAAATGAGGCAACACTCACAGGGGGAAGCTGCTGGAAAGCATGTCCCTTAGACTCACAGGTCCTGTGCTCAGAAGTTACATTTATTAGTAATTTAACATAGTTATTAGTGAGTTCAAAAAGATAAACTGCGGCTGGGCATGGTGGCTCATGCCTGTAATCTCAGCACTTTGGAAGGCCAAGTCGGGCAGATCACTCGAGCTCAGGAGTTCAAGACAAGCCTGAGCAACATGGTGAAACCCCACCTCTACCAAAAATACAAAAATTAGCCTCATGTGGTGGTGCGTGCCTGTAGTCCCAGCTGCTCTGGAGGCTGAGGTGGGAGGATTGCTTGCGTCCAGTGCAGTGAGCAGAAATCATGCCACTGCACTTCAGCCTGGGCAACAGAGCAAGACCCTATCTCAAAACAAAAACAAAAACAAAAAAAACATAAACTGCTTGAACTAGAGTGATCGTAATAAAAAGGAAAGTCCTCCAAGCACTTTGAATTGACAGAGTCATCAATAGAAGATTCCAGGTTTGTGTGTTTAACCCAGTTCTTTTTAACAAATTCACAGGAAAATGAGAGATATGCATATGAATGGCAGAGATGCCTGGGGAGTGCCCTGAATGTGAGTATGTCACTTACGCGTTCACACATATGTGAGTGCTCTTTTGTGCCTTTTTGCCTTCTTGGTTCATTTGAATTGACAGAGGCAAACTTCAGGAGAGCCTTACTTGGATGTCCCTGGGCAAAGAGTAACTCTGTGGAAGTCATGCATCTAAGGTGAGGCTTCTTTCACACTTACAATAGCAGACCGGCTCATGTGTCAGTCATCCCCTCATCTGTCATTGTGTTTAAGAAATAACAAAGTGATTTCATTAACTCTGACTAAATCAAAATAATATTTAAGCTAAAGAACCTGTCTTGGCTGGGTGCGGTGGCTCAACACCTATAATCCCAGCACTTTGGGAGGCCAAGGCGGGCGGATCACGAGGTCAGGAGTTTGAGACCAGCCTGACCAACATGGTGAAACCCTGTCTCTACTAAAAATGCAAAAATTAGCCAGGCGTGGTGGCACGTGCCTGTAATCTCAGCTACTCAGGAAACTGAGGCAGGAGAATCACTTGAACCCGGGAGTCAGGGGTTCAGTGAGCCGAGATCTTGCCACTGCACTCCAACCTGTGCTACAGAGCGAGACTCCGTCTCAAAACAAAGCAAAACAAAACAAAAGGAAAAAAACATATTTTCTCTTCCAGAGAAATGGAGGATTGTTTCTTCAAGGATAAAATGAGATTTTTTGACACCTCCTGGCTTTTCGGTTGGGTTTTCTACTAATAGTAAATTGATTTGCAATGACTTTTCTCAGTTATGTAAGGTGATGTGATTTCATTTCTTGTAGGTCATTAAGAAGGCAAATGATACCTTAAATGGAATCAGTAGTAGTTCTGTTTGCACAGAAGTAATTCAGTCAGCTCAAGGCATGGAATATTTATTAGGTATGTTCTTTCATATTTTACTATTGAAAATGATGGCCCTTTGCATTATTTTCAGTTTTCCCTTTAATTATTTTAAGCTAGATCTCTCAAGTTACATATGACTTCAGTAAGAAGCATCTGTATTTGTGGGTAAGACACTCAAGCTACAGGCAGTAAACTATTGGACTTAATTAAAAAGTCTCTATGGCTAAGTTTCCTCATCCTTGTTATATACGTAATAGCAAAAATGTAAAATTATATCTGTGTTACTGGTTTATCAAAGAATCTGAACTACCGATGCACTAAAGTAAAATCATCTTGTCTCCCATCAATTCCTTACCATACTCTATATTCTTTCTCTCGACCGCTTAATGACACCACAGAGTCCTTAACCTCCTGGCCATCTGCAGCAATTTGATGTGTCAGTCCAACGGGAAAGTGTAGTCTCTGTCCACTTCGGTGTTCCTCCCTTCCCCAAGCTCAGGCTTGGCCCGTGGCCAGAGCCACACATGCTGGACCCTAATCTTTTTCAAATCTTTACTCAAATGTCAGCTTCTGAGTGAAATCTTTCCTAGCATCCATCTCTCCAAAGAGTATCGTCTCTCCCTACCCCGGTACTTCCCATCCCATTCTCTGCTGGATTTTCTCCTTAGCCCTATTACCTTTAATTTCTTACATATGTTACTTATTATTCTTTTCTTTTCTTTTCTTTTTTAAGACAGGTTCACACTCTGTCACCCAGGTTGGAGTGTAGTGATGTAGTCATGACTCACTGCAGCGTCCACCTCCCAGGCGCAAGCAATCATCCCACCTCAGCCTCCCAAGTAGCTGGAACCACAGGTGTGCACCACCATGCACCCAGCTAATTTTTGTAGTTTTTGTAGAGACAGGTTTCCGCCATGTTGCCCAGGCTGGTCTCGAACTCCTGAGCTCAAGCGACCCACCCACCTTGGCCTCCCGAAGTGCTGGGATCACAGGCGTGAGCCACTGCACCTAGCTACTTGTTGTTTTTACTCTCTGTCTCCCTTCACTAGAATGAACCTCCAAGAAGGCAAGGATTTTGGTCTGTTTTGTTCACTGGTGTGTCCCCAACACCTAATCTAGTGTCTTGCACGTAGTTGGCACTCAAAAATATTTGCTGGATGAGTGGAGAGTGAAGGGATGTAGTCTCTGCCTTACTCCTGCCACCTCACTTGGGGTCTTCTTTTCCTGCTCAAACAGGCACAGTTCTGCATAAGCAGATGTCCACCAGGAAATGGGGCACCTGTCTTTTCTCCTAGTATCCTTGTATCTATGGAAGATTCTCTTAGAAGCCCCCTCACTTGGCTTAGGGTGGGCAGTAATTTCTGCCCCTCTCTTGGGAAAGGAAGAAGAAAAGCCGTAGTGCTGACACAGGGCTGCTGAGGCCCCGCTCTGAAGATCCCCTGGAATTCCTCCAGTGTTCACTTAGAGAGATCGGGGTCATGTCTTTGGTGACTGTTACATTGCAGGGGTTAGGGATGTGTCTGGTGGCTGTCCTTAGAATGTGGAGGTACTTAGCACCTCTCATCCTTGCTTCAAGAGTTCAACCACAATTTAGAGACCATAGGAAAAGAACTGTTCTGCATCCTGTTATGTGTTTAAAGATAAGTGAAGTCAAAGTGTTTGTAAGACCTTCAGATTCAGAGGGGTGAGATGTTTCTTCATTACTTTGTGATGCTATTAACATTTAGATTCTTTTAAATTTTTACTATCCCCATTTTCAGCTAGTTTATTGGGATTTCCCAGATTCAAACAGATGGACTCATAAATAAACCTCCCAAAAAACAAAAGCTAATAACTTGCATAGTGCCTGCCATTCTCCAAGCACTGTTGTAAGCCTTTTACCATATTACCCTATTTAATCCTCTCAACCATCCTTGGAGGAGCTACTGTTACCATCCCAACTTCACAGATGAGGAAACTGAGGTACAGAGAGATTATGTGACTTGCCTAAGGTCATGTAGCCAGTAAGAGGCATAGCTGGGGTTTGAACCCAAGCAGTGCAGCTTCTATGCTCTTACCAGTAAGCTATACAGCAGCATTGAGAAGTGGATTGGTCCCAAAGAATAGTAAGTACACCTCTGTCCAGATACACCCATTGTTTCTCACAGATATCAGCAAGCAATAATGCTCCCCTGTCTGGGTCCTCTGTGTCTCCACTGCCAACACTCTCTCTCTGCTCTCTCATCCCGTCAGGTGTTGTTGAAGTGTACAGGGTAACCAAGCGTGTGGAGCTGGGGATAAAAGCCACTGCAGTGTGCAGTGAGAAACTCCAGCAGTTGCTGAAGGACATCGATAAAGTATGGAATAACCTAATCGGCTTCATGTCACTCGCCACACTCACAGTAAGCCCATGAGACAACTCAGCAGTTGCTTTCCTTTCCAGAAACCTAAGTTGTAAAGCAGAGTGTATATTCCTATGATGGTACTTATTAGAGGCTGGAGGTGCCAACTGGAGCATGTTATATTAAAGGAGGGAGATCACAGGTGTGTGGTCAGTTGAACAGTACCAGGTGGGCTTCTGATCTCTCTAAGGCCCAGTGAACCTAAGGAAAAAACCAGTACAGGAAAACATTCACTCTGGCTACACCTTTCTTAATTCACATAATACACGGAAGTTTTGCAAAGCAGTGGTTTGAGATACTCCCTTTGCACTTCTAGTTATTTATGTCCCCATACGTGTCCTTTCAAAAAGCTATATGATACCTCATGTTGCCATCCTGTAGTTTGTTTAGCCCTTCTTTTTTTAGGTTCTTGGGTCATTTTCATTTTTCCCTGTTACGAGTAGTTCTCTGAATAGACAAATCACTGTTCCTTTGTGGGGATGTATTTCCTCCAAGTGAACTAGGAGGTCAGTGTGTGTGTCTGCACAGGTGCATGCATGCGTATGTAGCTGTTGTTACATTTATTAGAAGGCTTTCCAAATAGCTTATATTGGTTGCAATGCTACCAGAAATATGTAAGTACATGGATACATTTCTCTACATTATGTCCTATCAATTTCTTAATTTAACAAGCATGCAATTATTCCCTAAGGTATTTTTTACATTTTTTTTTTTAATTTCATGAGAGGCTTTGCAGTGTTCCAAATGACAATTTACTATTTCTGTTTCCTTTGTGTATAAACGGATTGGACTCTTCTGACCATTTGACCATTTATTCCTTGGAATATGGTTATTGACCTTATATATTTCATATTTGTAATAGATTTATATACATATATATAAGCTTGTAAACGTTTATCAGCTATTTTCCTCCTCTATTACTGTCCCTTTTTTACATTTCATTGGGCAAAACTATTTTATTTTTATATATTCATACCTATTCAATTTGTCTCTGATGATATCCTTTATTTCACAATAGTCAGAAGTTTATCTTCCTTCCACAGCTGGAATAAATATGCTATTCCAATTTTTTTTTTAACATGGAACTCTGCGACCCATCTGAATGGGATTGCAGCTGTGTGGGAGGAAGCAGTTCTAATTTTCTGAACTGATAGCCAGGTGGATACCCAGCTACCCCAACTACATGTCTTCAGCAGCACATCCTCTCACCATTGTCATGTTGCTTCTGGTTTGTAATATTAAAGTCTTTAAGAGTTTAAGTAATTTCCAAAACTTTTTCTTGTTCCCTTGAATCACTTCTCATTTTCTAACCTAAAATTGTATGTAGATAATTAAAAAAAAAAATACTGTTCTGGCAAGTGAAATAAGAAATGGAGTATTAATATTTGAAAAAAGAGATAAAATTATGTTTACTTGGTGATAATGAAATTCTTTTAAAAATCTAAATTCAAGCAGCCAGGTGCAGTGGCTCACCCCTGTCATGCCAGCACTTTGGGGAGGCTGAGGTGGGCGGATCACCTGAGCCCAGGAGTTTGAGACCAGCCTGAGCAACATGTCAAAACTCCGTCTCTACCAAAAATACAAAAATTAACCAGTCTCATAACCCGGTCTATAGATAGATAGATAGATAAAAAAATATTTTTTAATCTAAATTCAGGAGTTTAAATGTATTGCATTTGGCAAAAATTCATAACAATCCTACATATTATTAGTAGTTAGAAAATATGATGAAATTAGGCTGGGCATGGTGGCTCATGCCTGAATCCCAGCACTTTGGGAGGCCAAGGCGGGCAGAACAATTGAGGCCAGGAGTTCGAGACCAGCCTGGCCAAAATGGTGAAACCCCATCTCTACTAAAAATACAAAAAAAAAAAAAATTAGCTGGCCATGGTAGCGGGTGCCTGTAATCCCCACTACTCAGGAGGCTGAGGCAGGAGAATTGCTTGAACCCGGGAAATGGAGGTTGTAGTAAGCTGAGATCGTGCCACTGCATTCCAGCCTAGGTGACAGAGCAAGACTCTGTCTCAAAAAAAAAAAAAAAAAAAAAAAAAAGAAAAGAAAATGAAGTTTAGAAACCTTATTTTTTTTGTTAGAAAATATAACGAAGGCCTTAGTGGCTGATGCCTGTAATCCCAGCACTTTGGGAGGCCGAGGTGGGTGGATCACCTGAGGTCGGGAGTTCGAAACCAGCCTGACCAACCCCGTCTGTACTAAAAATACAAAATTAGCTGGGTGTGGTGGTGCATGCCTGTAATCCCAGCTACTTGGGAGGCTGTGGCAGGAGAATTGCTTGAACCCAGGAGTCGGAGGTTGCAGTGAGCTGAGATCACACCACTGCCCTCCAGCCTGGGCAACAGGAGTGAATCTCTGTCTCAAAAAAAAAAAAAAAAGAAAAAGAAAAGAAAGAAAATATAATGAAATTAGAAATCTTTTTTAAAAAAATTATTAACTAATTCAAGCCCTTATCACTTTTGAACTTCTGACCTCATAGCTAGGGTTACTGGTTCCATTTTTTTTTTAATCTCCTAGCAATCTATTCTGCACACCTCTACCAGACTGTTTTGTTTTTTTTTTTCCCCAGACAGAGTCTCACTCTGTCACCCAGGCTGGAGGGAAGTGGTGTGATCTCGGCTCACTGCAACCTCCACCTCCTGGGTTCAAGCGATTCTCACGCCTCAGCCTACTGAGTAGCTGGGATTACAGGCATGCGCCACCACGCCCAGCTAATTTTTATATTTTTGGTAGAGACGGGGTCTCGCCATTTTGGCCAGGCTGGTCTCAAACTCCTGGCCTCAAGTGATCCACCCACCTTGGCCTCCCAAAAGTGTTGGGATTATAGGCATGAACCACTGTGCCTGGCCTTGATACGAATATCAGAAAGAAATTTCTTCTGTGGGTTCTCATAAAGAGGAAACTAATATAATCAACATTGCCTTCAAAAAAAAAGAGAAATCCTTTCAGTAAATAAAGCAACAGTTTTCATTGGGTAGTTTCTTATTACATTTCTCAATATAGGCCAAATGGCATAACTCCAAAGTATGAGTGGAAGTCATTTTAAGTGTGGAAAAAATAGATTAAATTGTAAACTAGGAGGTGTAGTAGTGCATACAGATGGCAGGCTCATGTCTTTGCTCTGTAAAGGAAGCATACAAATCAATGAGAAATATACCAACATCCCAGTAACGTATGAGCAAAAACGTGAAGTGATTCATAAAAGGGGAGGTACAATTAATCAGTAAACATAAATTCAAATTAAAACAAGGTTTCATTTTTTACCTACTAATTTTTTTTTTTTTTTTTTTTTTTTGAGACAGATCTCACTCTGTCACTCAGGCTGGAGTGCAATGGTGCAATCTCGGCTCACTGCAACCTCCGCCTCCCAGATTAAAGCAATTCTCATGCCTCAGCCTCCCAAGTAGTTGGGATTACAGGTGCGTGCCACCACGCCCAGCTAGTTTTTGTATTTTTAGTAGAGACAGGGTTTCACCCTGTTGGCCAGGCTGGTCTCGAACTCCTGGCCTCAAGTAATTCACCCACCTCTGCCTCCCAAAGTGCTAGAGGCATTACAGGTATGAGCCACCATGCCCGGCCTGCCTACTAATTAAGCCCAATTTTTGTATGGTCTGTTTGTATGAATACTAATAGTGTTGATGTGGTAAAATGTGGACTACATACTGTAGGATGGAATCACCTATGGAAAGAGAAGTTTGGCACCATGCTTTCTCCCTGACTGTGAACTTCTTGAAGACAGAGATCAAGACTGTGTTTTTCATCTTTTCTTCTTTATCTGAGCACAGTGCCAGGCACTATGTAAACATTCAGTAAACACTCAGTAAACGTTGAATGAATTAAAGGACTTAATATGCATTCAGAGTAGCTGACTCAGTAATTCCAAATCTGAGAAAATATCCTAAGGCAGCGATTCTAAATATGAATTCACAGAAAGAAGCAAATTAAGTGCACAAAGTTGTTCTTTGTAAACGTGAAAAATTAGAGACAACCTGAAAGTCCAAATCTAGAGGATTGGTTAAGTAAATTGTGGTGAATCTTTAGCCCAGGATCTTACGCAGCCATTTTGTAAAGGAGCACGAAGTTTGAATGACACAGAAGTGTTACTACAGGGCTTGAAGGAAATCTGCCAAAATGATATTAGGGATGTGTCTGGGTGATGAGACACTGGATTTTTTTTTTTTTCTTTTTTAGACAGGGTCTCCCTCTGTCACCCATGCTGGAGCACAATGACGTGATCACAGTTCACAGCAGCCTTGACCTCCTGGGCTCTAGCAATTCTCCCACCTCAGCCTCCTGAGTAGCTGGGACCACAGGTGCACACCACCAAGCCCAGCCAATGTTTTTGTATTTTTTGTAAAGACAGGGTTTTGCCATGTTGCTCAGGCTGGTCTCAAACTCCGTGGGCTCAAGGAATCCATTCACCTCGGCCTCCCAAAGTACTGGGATTACAGGCATGAGCCACTGTGTCCAGCCAAAACACTGGATTTTTAAATATTCTTTTAGTTTTTTCATTTTTTTCAACTTTCTTTCAATAGCATTTGTTGCATTTATAATGGAAAAACAAGTGTTTTTACTCTGGTAGGAGAAATGTGTCATTACCCTCCATTCACTTGCACAAACCCTCCCTGTAGATAGCCCTTGTTACCCTTGCCCACTTCTCCTTTCCGTTGTAGTGATAGATTATGAAGTTCTCAAAACTGAATTTTATTTATTTACCTGTTTGTTCATTGTTTAGAGACAGGGTCTCACACTGTCACCCAGGCTGGAGTGCAGTGGCACAATCACGGCTCACTACAGCCTTGAACTCCCAGGCTCAAGTGATCCTTCCATCTCAACCTCCCACAGCTGGGACTACAGGCATGCACCACCATGCCTGGCTTGGTAGGAATAGGGCCTCACTATGTTGCCCAGGCTTGTCTCAAACTCTTGACCTCAAGCAGTCTTCTTACCTCAACCTCCCAAAGGGCTGGGATTACAGGTGTGAGCCACCACGCCCAGACTACTTTAGGGACTTTAATTGCAGTAAATCTGCATGGCAACCTGACATCTTTACCCTGCCGTCATCCTTTCCTGAAGCAGAGGAGAATCATGCCCAAGCTACCAGACATTTTTTGTCCTGACAGTCCACCTGACTAAGGAGGACTATAGTACCACACATCACTGCCCCTAAAAGGCAGCTGAATCAGAATATTGCGAACAGAAGCTGGGGAGAAGGAATGGGGGTAGTTTACTACTTATCCTCTATTTCTCTATTTACATTCAGAGAGGCAGAATTCTTGGGGTCTGAATGAGAGTCTTCCAGTTCTGTCCTTAATGGATTGGTTAACTGTTATGATGACTAATCCAAGGAACTTGGGAGAAAAAGCACGTGTTTACTGCAGTCCTCCAATTTTCTTTGAGCTTCTGGAATTCAGTTCATTATCCTCTGGATCAGAGAAATGCATTAAACTCTGCATTTACTTCCTGAGCTCCAGCTACTAATGAAATTGATTCGCTAGTGATATGTGCCGAGGGTGCCTGTGAAGCTGTGGGGTAGAGAAGGATGTGTCACCATTTGTGAACCTGGAGATCAGTATGTGTCTGTGTCTTTCCTAATTCACCCACCTGCTGCTTCCTGACCTTGTCCTAATATGGAGCAGATTAAGCCTGAATATCATCATAGGAGTAGATACTTCTGTTCTCCCCGTTTACAGATGAAGAAACTGAAGCACAGAGATACTGGTGAGGCCTGGGTTTATTCTGAAAGTCAGAAGTCAACTTTCTCAACCTCTATTCCTTGTGGCCTCCTTCAGAGGGACAGGTTGGGTGGGTAAAACCAGACAGGTACTAAAGTTTTTGTCGGGGGGAGTGGGTCGATTTTGGCATCAAGGTTAATGAGTTCAAACACCAGGAGTCTTTTCTGGCAGCAACTTGTTATAAACAGTCGAGTTCTTTTCTGCACATTGCTCTTGTACATATATATACCAGGACTGTAGAGTAACTTAAAAGCCTCCTTCTTTACATTTAGATTTTAAGGTTCTTTGTTTGGGTGGCAATCGGTTCTTACTGCAGTTAACACTTGAAAACTAGATTTCTATACAACCCCCAAATCAGCCACCCATCTCTTCTCTCCTAGTGCTGCTGGGAAAAGATGACTGTGATTACAAAGCATCTCTCTCCTTACCATGAGCTCTTAGAAGAAAAGGTATCACAGAGACCAGGCGTACTTGCCAAGCTTGTGAATTTGGGGGAAAGGATAAGTGGGGAGATTCCTGGGTTGCTGCTGTGCGTTTACTTCTTGAGGTAGCTCCTCTCACCAGGTGAAGTGCAAGCCAGTTTCATTTTTGTACCTTTTCCCAAGCTCCTGTGGCTACAAGCTTGCTACAGCTGCACCTTCTAGACTCTGAACACCCCTCCACACCTTTTCTTTTCTTTTTTTTTTTTTTTTGTAAAATATATATACATGTACAATAAAATGCGAAAATCTTGGTTGTACCACTCAATGAGTTTTGAAAAATGCATACCCTCATATAACCCATGCCTCTATCAAGATATAGACTACTCCATCATTCCAGAAGTTTTCTTATGCACCTTCCCAATCATCACCCTACTCAGATATAATCCCTGGTGTGATTGTTTTTTTATACCAAGGATCAGTTTTATCCAGACCTTTTTAAAGAGACCTTGGAATTTGATTTTGTTATTTTGAAGAAAGCCTATTGGGTTTGGGGCCCATCTAACCTGGAGCGTTGCCCTGTTCACATACGGTGGCGCTTACTCCTTTAGTGTAAACAAATATGAGGTAAATGGAGAAAAGGGCTGGGCATTTATGCCCTTCCCTCAGACTCCCATTCCAAGCATCCTTTTCTAGCATCAGTGTCTAGATGCTAAAGAGTGGTTTTACCTAACTTTTGTTTTTCAAGACACCAGGTAAGGTTATAGAGATGAATTAATCTTCCAACTTGACAACACAGGAATGTATTGTAAATTGAACCTGAACACCAGAGTATTCATTTCTCTAATTACCCATGTGCTTTCCGTTATAATTGCTTTTTTCACTAGGTTAGCCATGACAGAACAACAATCATTCTTTGCCCAGATTATACCATGTCATTGTACCCTTGATAACTGCTAGGTGTGTCCTCTGTCTGTGAAACTTGAGTTGCCCACTACATGAGGAATAGCACACATTCCACAGAAATAGTGTAAGGTGTTACTTGTCATGAAGAAGCCTTTACTCTAGCAGAACTGATAAGAATAGCTGCATAAATGTAAATGACATAAACCAACATCTATGTAGTTCAAATCATTTGTAACAAAACTATACAAACTTCCAGGACTCTGGATTAGACGCTCAAAGTGGAGAAATCATTATTAGAAAGAGGCATGATTGAGGTTTTATGGGAAGCTTTTAATGCTTAACACTATTGCTTCATTTCAGGTAAATGACTTCCTAAATGAACTATATTGCCACAGTGAGGCCCTTTGATTCCATACTACTACTATTACTATTACTATTATTACTACTACTACTGGTTACCATTTATTAATATTTTGCACCTAGGGCCTGCCGATCCTTGTGCTATATGCTTTACATTCATTCTAATTTAATCCTGGTAACCCCATGTAATCACATGATGAGTCCTTATAAGGGGAAGGTAGGAGGGGAAGAGTGGGAGAAAGTGATGTGACAACAGAAGTAGACAGAAGAAGAGAGTGGCAGATGCTACCTGCTGGCTTTGAGATAGGACCACGAGCCAAGAAGTGCAGAGGCCATCTCTAGAAGCTAGATTATATTCTAGATGTATAATTTTCAGTTTTACAGGTGAAGAAATTAGGGCTTTGAGAAGATGAAACTTGACTGAAACTGACAAGTCTGTGATTTGAATCTGTATCATTTCAGAGTCCATTCTTCTTCCTACTCTATGTTACTTCCAGCTTTTAAGTTACTGAAAATGACTTATTTCTTCCCATGAAGACTCTGTGAGGCTGTTCCTATCGGAAGACAGCTGCATCACTTTCTCCAGTGAAAGTCACAGAATGTAGTGCGGCATCACAGTAGTCATGCTTGGGCTAAGGAAGGCAGGGTACACCGTCTTAAACTCCAAATTGTGGCTCCTTGATGTTTATTTAAGCTGGAAATGACACAGTCATTCCCCTGTCCATGGGGGGGGAATTGGTTCCAGGACATCCCCCATTTCTGGATATAAAAATCTGCAGACGTTCGAGTTCCTGATAAGAAATGGCATAGGATTTGCATATAACCTATGCACATCCTCCTGTGTATTTTAAAGAATCTCTAGATTACTTATAACACCTAATACAATGTAAATGCTGCGTAAATAGTTATTATATGTATTGGATTTTTTTATTTGTATCATTTTTGTTTTTTTCTATTTTTTCCTCCGAATATTTTTGATCTGAGGTTGGTTGAACCCACAGATGTGGAACCCATGGATACCGAGGGCTGACTGTACTGGCAAAGCTTTATGCTCTCTTTCTCTTTGATACTCTTTATCCATGGACTAAGACTCCCTCTTGTGGTAGAAGCATGTCTCCTCCAGGCACAGACTGAAGGCCTGCTTCTTTCTCAAGAGGTGAAACTCACCTGGTTTAGTGAGATGTGATGCACTCTGAGATTGGCTCCCAAGTGACTTGTCATCTAAGGTTTTATCTTGTGAAGTGGGTTGAAGTTCAGTAGGTTTGGAACAAACAGAGAATTCTGTCCTGGAAAATTAATCGATTTTTGCCATATAAAATCTAAGAGAAGAGAAAAGGTTGTTATTCGCCTGAATTTTAGTCAACTGGCAATCATACAGGCTCTCTGATTCCACTGTTCACCTCAGTGAAATATGAATTCTTTACTACTTCCTTTCAATGTGAAATTGACCAGTGAATTTCAGAGTCCTTATTTCCTATTGCTGTGACATATCAGGAGAACAGTTTATTTTCAATGGTGATAGCATTTTTGTCATCTTGCCAGTCTGCACAATGTTTTAGAGACAGGATCTTTACTATGTCTCTGCATGGCTGTCCTCAGTTGACAGAAGGCAGCTGTGGTAGACAGAATGATGGCCCCCTCAAAGCTACCCATGTCCTGGGAACTTGTCAATATGTTACCTTTGCAAATGGGATTAAGTTAAAGGCCTTTCTTTGGGGAAGGTATCCTGGATTATCCAGGTGACCCCAATGTCATCACATGGATCCTTAGAAGGGGAAGGTAGGAGGGGAAGAGTGAGAAAAAGTGATGTGACAACAGAAGCAGAGAGAAGAAGAGAGTGGCAGATGCTACCTGCTGGCTTTGAAGATGGGACCACAAGTCAGGGAATGTAGAGGTCGTCCCTAGAAGCTAGAAAAGGCAAGGAAACAGATTTTCCCCTAGAACTCCTAGAAGGAATGCAGTCCTTCTCACCCATTTTAGACTTCTGAAATCCACAACTGTAAGAGGATACATTTATGTTGTTTTAAGCCATTAAGTTTGTGCTTTGTTACAGCAGCAATAGGAAAGATTATACAAGACATTGTAACCAAGCAAATACCAAAACTTTATAATTGCCTATGGAACCTGTGTCTAGATCACCCTTTGTATCAGTCAAATTAGACTAGGTTATGCTTCAGTAACAAATAGTTTCTTCTATCTTAGCAAAAGCAAAGCTTTATTTCTTGCTCAGGCTATGTGTCCATCTCAAGTTGGTGGGGGGCTCTGTGCCATGTCCTTACCCAGGGACCCAGGTTGACAGAGCCTCCACCATGTGGAACATAGCTGGTCACCGTGGGAGTGTCAAGGAAACATGAGAAATAGCACATTGGTCTTAAAGGCTTCTTCCCAGAGGTGACACTCTTTTTTTTTTTTTGAGATGGCATCTTCCTCTGTTGCCCAGGCTGGAGTGCAGTGGTGCAATCTCAGCTCACTGCAGCCTCCATCTCTTGGGTTCAAGCTATTCTCCTACCTCAGCTTCCCAAATAGCTGGGATTACAGGCACCCGCCACCACGTCCGGCCAATTGTTTTGTTTTGTTTTTGAGACGGAGTCTCGCTCTGTTGCCCAGGCTGGAGTGCAATGGCGCGATCTTGGCTCACTTCAACCTCCACCTCCTGGGTTCAAGCAATTCTCCTGCCTCAGCCTCCTGAATAGCTGGGATTACAGGCAAGCGCCACCACACCTGGCTAATTTTTGTATTTTTAGTAGAGACGGGGTTTCACCATGTTGGCCAGGCTGGTCTCCAAAGCCTGACCTCGTGATCCGCCCGCCTTGGCCTCCCAAAGTGCTGAGATTACAGGTGTGAGCCACCGCTCCCGGCATTTTTTTGTATTTTTAGTAGAGACGGGGCTTTGCCATGTTGGCCAGGCTGGTCTTGAACTCCTGACCTCAGGTGATCCACCCACCTCGGCCTCCCAAAGTGCTGGGGTTACAGGTGTGAGCCACCATACTCCCGGCTTACGTGTGACTTTTGCTTAGTTATTGACTGTGGCAAGTTACAGGCCAATGCCTGATTGAAAAAGGGGCAGGGAAGGCCCATCCTACCATTCCATAAAAAGGAGAAAGATTATTGGTGAAGAACACTAATTACTACCAAACTCTTCTTCCTTAATAAGGATCTTCCTGGACACCATTGTAGCAGTTTATTGTAGGCTAAAGATTCAGGATTATATATCTCAGTCTGACATTGGGACTTATCAGTGTCAGTAGGCCATATATAATATGTATATATTTTTTTAAATCTTAACTAAATGCATGAAATACTTGCCAAATAAGGAGATGATCAATTTAAGGTGACTTGTAGAGGGCATACCTTCTTATATGATGACAGCCAAACTGTTATCTTATATGATTGGTGCCAAACTGTTAATATTACACTACAATAAACACCCTGTTTATACATGTGTACTTAAGAAGGTTAATTTTGTCAGCTGAAAGAGTAATTTGATCACAGGGTCATTTATGCAGAGCCTTATGGTTTTCATTGGCGATTACAGTATGATCTTTTCATTTGCTTTCCTTATGCCTTTGGTAAACAGATATTAAGGGGCTTCTATTAATTTGATTGATTTCAGGATTCAGAGTTTTCCCAGATTCTAATTATTTCTCAAATAGCCCTGATTCAGTAACATGATGACTATCTGTAATGTGGATTACAGAGATGATACTATGTTTTAACCTCTTTTAAAAGCTTGCTAAGAGTTCGTCAAAGTGAATAATTGTGATCATCATATAGACTACTTTTCACTTCCAGAGCATGTTTTATGTCCATCTGAGATATATAGAAATGGGAGAGAGGTGTAGGGCAAGTGAAATAGTTACCATTTTACAGATGACTGACTGCAGAACAAGCGTTAGCACCAGCGTCTTCCACATTTGACCAGAGTGACCACAGTTGCACTACAAAAGAAAAGAGAGAAAAGAAAAAATATCCTATGACTTGGCTAAGGCCATGTAAGTTTACTTTGATCACCTACACCAGAGTCCTTTTGCACACAGTTGAAACATACACCTCACCTTTTCTTCTCTGAAAACCGTGTGTTCTTCCTTCCCCTGCTGTGATCTCAGTGGATCTAGCTCAAATGTGTTTAAGAAAGATTTGTGGAGCTAGTTCATGGTTTATTATTTCAAATTAGAAAGGAACAGGGAACATCATACATAATCTACACATTTTTATAAGGAGAAATCTTTTTTTTTCCTGGTGAGGAAAAATACAGATCATATAATTTTGCTTTGTTGCTCAAAAACGACGTGGAAACTCCTCAGTGGTTCAGACTGGAAGAACTATGGGAAATGTAGCTGTTAATTTGGCAGGAATTTGCCATCATCCTGGGTCACCTCAGTATCCATGAAGACAAACCAACTGCCATGCCAGGCTCCCAGATGCTTGACTGCCTGGCCCACAGAGCCCTCGCTTCCCCTGCACTTCAGCCACCCACTGGCATCACCACGATGGGCTGTGTTAGCAAACATTGTGCAGCGCCTGTGCAGTCTCGAGCCCCGACATCGAACTTCCTGAGTCCAGATTGGCGACCCTCCCGTTGTCTCACTCTTCACTGGCACTGCTCTTGTTTTTGGTTCTCAAGACAGGATGTTGTCTCTTTTACTGTGTTCCTGTCAGCCCTCTTCTGTCTTCACTTCTTTTCTCACCTCCTTACTCTCCACAGTGCATGGGGCATCCCTCCTCACTCCCTTCAGTCATACTCATTAGACCAAACCCAACTGGAATCAGTGCAGCCATCCACCTTCTCCCCCCACCTTGACCCACTGTGTGCTGGTGGAGACAATCACACCTCCAGAGTTTGCTGCTTGGAGCTCACAAGGCTACTGCTATTTCAGACACAGCTGATGATCTCACCTCCTGCATTAGAGTGAGGATGAGCCCTCTGAGAGGAACTCCTCAACTTCTAGGCTCCCACCTGAGATTCCATTCTGTCGCACTAGTGTGTTAAATCCAGTTCTTACTGGCTTGCAAGAGTGGATTGTTAAATGTTCAGGAATTTTATGAGCCAGTTGTTAAACACCGTTATTACTAAAAATTAAATGAAGACTGGGTGCAGTGGCTCATGCCTCTAATTCCAACACTTTGGAAAGCTGAGGTGGGAGGATTGCTTGAGGCCAGAAGTTCTAGACCAGCCTGGGCAACATAGCGAGACCTCATCTCTACTAAAAATAAAAAGTAGCCAGGTGTAGTGGCACACACCTGTAGTCCCAGCTACTCAGGAGGCTGAGGCAAAAGGATTGCTTGATCCCAAGAGTTTGAGGCTGCAGTGAGCCATGATCACACACGCCCCTGCACTCCACCCTGGGTGACAGAGTGAGATTCTATCTCAAAAGCAAGACAAAACACAAATGATATAAACTTGCAGTTACATATATTATATTAAAAATAGTGGTAATACTTAAAACATTCTAGTTCTTAAATTTTACTCTTGTCTAGCTTTCAGGGTTATTTATGTCTATCACAGGGCAACCAACTGTCCCTGTTTGGTCAGGACTGAGGGATGTCCTCAGTGCTAAAAAGTGATGGAGAAAATGTTATTAGTGCAGATTAAACTTAAAAGTGTGTGGCCAGGCACGGTGGCTCACACCTGTAATCCCAGCACTTTGGGAGGCCAAGGTGGACAGATCACGAGGTCAGGAGTTCAAGACCAGCCTGGCCAATATGGTGAAACCCCGTCTCTACTCAAAATACAAAAATTAGCCAGGTGTGGTGGTGCACGCCTATAGTCCCAGCTACTTGGGAGGCTGAGGCAGAAGCATCCCTTGAACCCAGGAGGTGGAGCTTGCAGTGAGCCGAGATTGCGCCACTGCACTCCAGCCTGGGCTACAGAGCAAGACTCCACCTCAAAAAAAAAAAAAAAAAAAAAGTGTTAGCTGGGCATGGTGGTGCACACCTGTAGTCCCAGCTACTCAGGAGGCTGAGGCGGGAGGATTGCTTGAGCCCAGGAGGCGGAGGCTGCAGTGAGCCAAGATGACACCACCACACTCCAGCCTGGGCAACAGAGTGAGACCCTGTCTCAAAATAAATAAATAAAAATAAAAGTGTGCTGCGGGGCCGGGCACAGTGGCTCATGCCTGTAAACCCACCACTTTGGGAGGACCACTTGAGCCCAGGAGTTCAGGATCAGCCTGGGCAACATAGGGAGATAATCATCTTTACAAAAAAATCAAAAAATTAGCTGGGCGTGGTGGCATGCACATGTGGCCCCAGCTATTTGAGAGGCTGAGGATCTCTTGAGCCCAGGAATTCAAGGCTGCAGTGAGCTGTGATCACGCCACTGTACTCCAGCCTGAGCAACAGAGTGACTGGACGGCTTTCCAAGATTGAGACCTACCCTTTTAACCATTGTGTGTGTGTGTGTGTGTGTGTAGTGAATTAGATAATGCATATAAAGAGCTTAGTATAGTGCTTGAAAGTAAGGGCGTATTAGCTGTTGTTCTATTTATGGTCTTTAGCTGGTGACCTTCAGATCTCTCCACAAGCAGGAGGCCTGTATGTGTATCCAACCACCTGCTTATATAGCATGTGGCCTTCGCTGTCCCACAGGCAGCTCCAGCTCAGCTTGGACCAAACTGAACTCTTCTCCTCAGCTTCCATCCTCAAACCTGGTCCTTCTCTCACGTGTCTTATTATGGTGAATCCTCTCAGCTGCCCGGGTCCCCCAACCTCTCCCATCCAGCAGGTCACCCAGGCCTGCTCATTCTCCTGCCTCGTCAGCTCTTTCACGTGCCCATTTCTCTCCATTCCCCACCGCCGCTGCCTTCATTCTGACCATCGGTATCTGTCTCCAGGACTGCTACAGCAGACTTCTGGCTGAGGCCTGTGCCCTGAGGATTGCCACCCCCAATTCATTGCCTATACTGTAGCGAGAGGGATCTGTCAGTAATACGAACCTGGGCCTGTCGTGATCCAGTTGGAAGCCTTAGTGGCTTCCAGGATGCTCCTTATCTTCCTTGGAGTCCTCGTGCTGCGGCTTCATCTCCTCTTTCCCTGGGCCCTGCCCCCACCCTCTAGATTCCTTCCCATACCCCATCTTTAGCTCAGAGCCTTTGCCTGTGCTGCTTGTTCTGCATAGAATATCCTTCCCTCCCCTACCTCACCCAACCCTCCTGTCCCCCTCACCTAGCAGCTCCCATCTACACTCAGCCAAGGTGATTTTAGAATCTAGGAAGCAGGCCAGGCACGGTGGCTTATGCCTGTAATCCCACCACTTTGGGAGGCTGAGGCGGGTGGATCACCTGCAATCAGGAGTTCAAGACCAGCCTGACCAACATGGTGAAGCCCTGTCTCTACTAAAAATACAAAATTAACCAGACGTGGTGGCGCGCCTGTAATCCCAGCTACTCAGAAGGCTGAGGCAGGAGAATCGCTTGAACCCGGGAGGCAGAGGTTGCCGTGAGCTGAGATCACACCATTGCACTCCAGCCTGGGCGACAGAGTGAGACTCTGTCTCCAAAAAAAAAAAAAAAAGAAAAGAAAAAGTTCTAGGACGCAGTCTCTGGCTTCAGGCCCCATCCTCCTCGAGTTGGGCTAAGTGCCGCTCCCTTGTGCCCTGGCACTCAGGACTTCCCCCAAGTAAGCACACCCAGCACTCATGGCACTGCACGGGCTCCCCTGGCGCCCACCTGAGACTGAGTTCTCAGAGGTCAGAGGGCGTGTTGTACTGGTGCCGGCCTTCCTAGCACCTGGAACCGTGGCAGGTTCCCAGTGGATGTGTGGGAGGTTAATTCTTGTAGTGGTGGTGTTAGAGTACTGTACTTGCCGCTAGGCCTGCTGGGGGTGAGTGATGAGGGAGTGAAGTGAACAGCGTGTGGACTTGTGGACTTCTTACCCATTTGTCTTGTCGTCCTCACAGCCAGATGAAAACTCGCTGGATTTTTCCTCCTGTATGTTACGGCCTGGGATTAAAAATGCTCAGGAGCTTGCCTGTGGAGTGTGCCTCTTGAATGTGGACTCGAGGAGCCGGGTAAGTCACGCAGCCTCCTTGCAGACAGCAAAGGGCTTCCCTAACATGACTCTGGACAACCTCATCTGGCCCACTTTACTGCAGAGTTTGTGACCAGAGGTGGGGATTTTCTCAAGTCCTAAAAGCTGATGGTAGGAGCAGACACATTCCCTCGAGAGGGCAGCGGGGGAGCTGTGGAGGGAATGGACGCGGCTCTCATGCCTGCAGCACCCTGTGCATAGTGGGGAGGTCAGGGGAAAAGGGTGAACCTGTAAAGATGTGTTTGGAGGCAAGAGGCCCTGTTCTGGGAATGTTGTTGACCTGTGGTTTCAACGTTATTTCAGAAAGAAGAGAAGCCTGCAGAAGAACATCCTAAAAAAGTATGAACCAGTTACACCTTATCTTAGCGTCTCCATTTTAATTTTGAGTGTGGAGGGCAAATTGGATGATTCTATCCATTGCCATCCTGAACTGTTCCAATCATGAATCCTTCACTGAGTCAGTTTTGTTCCCATAATGTTTGATGGAGTCTCCTAATGTGTCTGTGTGGGTCCACTTCTGTCTTATTTGCATGCTTGTTTCACATAATTGGCTTCTGGTGTTGCAGTTATTTTTCTCTGTGATGAATGGGGTGACAGAATGAGCAACTTCTGGAAGCCTGGAAGTTGTAGTGACACACAGATGGAGATCAAAGAGCTTCAGGATGTAGCCATTTAGCCATTTTAACAGACAAGCAGCAAATTGGGTTTTAGAGTTTTGTTTATTTGCAGTGCATATTAGAAAACTAACCCCAGGAAGTGGTTGAGGTTTGGACTCTACTTTTCCATGGCTGACTGTAGCTTACTGATAAGCCTGTTCATCTGGAAATAATTCTTATGTGTTTAATGCCCATTCATTTCGAGGCATTTTTTTTTAACTCCATACCTGTTTGGACTTTTTGATAATGTAGATTCATTAGGCATTAGGGTCAATGCCATTAGACCCTAAGAGTTGTTATCTGTCGTTCTCTAACTCTCTCGTTTTCTAACTCTCTCGTTCTCTAACTCTCTTGTAATTTTTTGTCATGATAGGCTTGTGGTCAGCTACAGGAGTGTAAAGGATTGCATGCTGTAGTCAGATGCCGGCCTTAGGAGGAGGGCTTCCTTCAGCACAGTGAGGGATGAAAGCTATCCACAGCCCTTGGCTACTTCAGTTCCCCTTATCATGATTCCCCCCCTCCACCCCATAACCTCTGTCTGCCTTTTCCATGGAAGATTTGGCCACCTTTTGCTGAAACTAGGTTTAGTGGTAACAATTTTATACCTTTAATTAGCAGTAAAAAACCTTCTCTCTTGAATTCCTGTAGCTATCCGCTCAGCTTTTATGTGTGTGCCATTTTGGCCTCAGCCTCTGTGACCTGGAGAGATAGATGTACATGTTGGTTGCTGAAAAGCTCTGAGATGCAGAAAAAGCCTGACTTGCCCCACATCTCTGTTTATTTCTGGCAGGCATTCAACTCAGAAACAGACAGTTTCAAGCTGGCCTATGGAGGGCACCAGTATCACGCCAGCTGTGCCAACTTCTGGATCAACTGTGTCGAACCAAAGCCTCCTGGCCTCGTCCTGCCTGACCTGCTCTGAACAACTCCTCTGTGAAGCATTGACTTTTTTTTTTCTGTGACACCCCACGGGGTGACAGGGACCAATAAATAGAATGCGAGCACTGCACAGTTCGCTTCCCTGAATCGATATGAAGAACACCGCAAGGGACGGGGCCCCCGTCATCCCCACGGCCAGTCTGCAGGACTTCAGGTAAAATTGTCCCACCCAAACTGCACGTGGCACCAGAAGCTTGCTCACTTATCTCTACTTAAGATTTTCTGAAATACGGACCACGGCTTTCTTGATCTAAGGAAGAACTTGCTGCTGCAGTATTGAAACTGTGAAGAACTGACATTTGAAGAAAAATAGATTACCGTTGCGGGACTAGAATGGGCGACTGCTTGGAGCCAGTGCTTGTTTTTATCTAGGACACTTACTGTCCTGTGAAGTAGAATACATTTATCTGCATTTAGTTTGTTAATGTCTGAAATGAATAAAAAGAGGAAATTGCGATTAAACTGATGTTCTGCTTTTTATGGAGAAGATTCTGCCCATCTCCCCTGGACAGTAGCAGGCAGGTGAGGGCAGATTTTACCCACTTGGTTGTCACAACTGAACCAGTTCTCTACTCCTTCCCTTCACTTCTGTCCACTCTCAAGACTTTTTCCCAAAACATGCCTGGGCACTCTGCAGCCGTGAAGAATGCTCATTTTGACAGAGGCCCAAATCCTGTGTATTAGGATAATATCCTTCCCCCCGGGAGCCTTCGCTGCAAACCTGTTCTGCCGCATGCAAAGACTGTGACCATGGAGTTTTCTCAGACAAGATTTGGAAAGGCAGTGGAATGAAATCTCTTTGCAGTGGCCTCTCTCCAAATTTCCAAAGATGACTGCATAGGGACCAACACTGCCTGACTTTGCAGTATCTGTGAGAAAAACCTGAAAATTAATTCAGGGTGAAAATGTGGAGCTCTCGGCCTAGTGTAAAGTATCAAGATGTATATTTATGGGATAGATACATGACTTAGAAGAAGTAGAAGAAAATTGTCCAGAAACAGTACTGAATTTTAGATAGAAAAGGCTCATGCTTCCTGGAGTAGGGAATTGTCTTTGCCATTTAATGTGAATGCATAAAATTAGGGGAAAAACCCAAGTGGCTAAGAGCTGTGTTATTCCTGGGAAGAACTACCAATCTAGGGCACACGTCTCTCTGAATTGTTGATTATGCGCTTTATGAAGAGATTTTTCAATCTCGTGTGCTTTACTTTGTGTGGTTTAGACCCTCTGACCTAGACTTTTATTTTTAAACTGAAAAAGTTGGTCTTGTCTATATAATTGCTGCTTTTACATAATTTATTTTCCCCTCTCAGGACAAATTCTGTCTTGCTCCATCTTACAGCTTTTCCATGTTCTCCAAGAAAGGTGTGGAACATTTTCATTAAACAGCTGTTGCTGAGGCTTCTGCTTGACCTTCTGCGTGCCCGAATGCACAGAGAGGCACCGAGGAGAGAAAGGCTTTTCTCACTCGCTCCCGATGATACCGTCTCTGGCCATTCCTGACTGAGGCAGCTCACTCTGAATGGGCACCTTTGGAGCTTTTGCCCACCACAAGGCTAGTGGGGTGTTTCTAACAACACAAGTGGGACAGCTTTTGGCAGGCTTTTCCTGAGGCCTCGGCGCTTCCATCCTGGACAGCACCACTTCCACATGGAGCTGGAATGCAAGCAGGCTGCTAATTGGCCTTAAAAATTCTTTGTTTTTTTTTGAGATGGAGTTTCACTCTTGTTGCCCAGGCTTGAGTGCAATGGCACAATCTCAGCTCAGTGCAACCTCCGCCTCCCGGGTTCAAGCGATTCTCCTGCCTCAGCCTCGTGAGTAGCTGGGATTACAGGCGTGCACCACCACGCCCAGCTAATTTTGTATTTTTAGTAGAGGCAAGGTTTCTCCATGTTGGCCAGGCTTGAACTCCGGACCTCAGGCGATCCGCCCGCCTCAGCCTCCCAAAGTACCGGGATTACAGGCGTGAGCCACTGCGCCTGGCCTAAATTTCATAACAGAACCATGACAGCAGAATCTACCTTTGCAATAAGAATGTTTCCCAGGAGTTAGAGACCAGCCCTGGGCATGATGGTAAAGACCCCAGCTAATTATACAAAAAATAATTAGCCGGGTAGGTGGAGTGCATCTGTGGACATTCGTGGTCCCAGCTACTAGGTAAGCTGAGGCGGGAGATCACAAGTCCAGGAGTTTGAGGCTGCACGTGACAGCGTAGGTGATGACAGAGCGAGACACTGTCTCTTAAAAAAAAAAAAAAAAAAGTTTCCCAGTTTGAATTTGTATTGCTGAAGCATTTTTTTGAAATGCTATATAGATGCCTGTCATGTCACAGTGGCCCAGTATCAACATTTTAAAAAGCTCACTTGGTAGCTGGGCTGGTTTCTATTCCTGAGAAATTCCAGAATGCCTCAGATAAAATTCCTTAGTATAATCCCCATTTTCCTTACCAAGGATGGTAGGCTTAGTCACTCCTTGGGAGGTGCCACAGGAAAATTCAGCAGATGTCAACAGAAAAAAAGCCTTTGCTATGAAAAGTATTCACTACCTTTCATATCTCTTGAATACTTGAAATGTTTAATTAGATGCCACCAATAGGGATCCAAGGAGTGTGGGACACGGTTGCGCTGCTTTTCTTTATAAACGTTTATTAAAATGGCTCAACGCTGCATTCAGCTTCACCTCAGCTCTTCTTGTCAGCCAGGAGCCCCGTGTCCTTGGAAACTGTAGCCAAGGTTACTTATTTCCATACTGTGCATTGTGTCAGCCCGCTTCACCCCACTGCTTGAATGGCCATTAATAAGCACTTTTCTTTTTTTGGTGGGATGTTTTGCCTTTAAAATTTTTATGGCTTAGTGTGTAATTTAATTTTTGTCTGGACATGCTTGAGATAGAAGAGGTACTGGATATATGAGGATATTTTCCATGCTTTATTTTTCCTGTGGCTACTAGTTAGCATTCCATAGGGGTTGTGAATTTTTAATTATTTGAATATTTTGTGTACATATACATATTTGAAGGGTTTTGGGGGGGTCTTATTTGTTTAAAGGTGTCTTCTGTTTGCCTATTTCAAGTGTACTTCAGCTTTGCAAAGATTATAGGGCTGTATGTTACAGAAATAGGAAATGCTGGCCCTGTACTGGGGACCACTACAAAAATTCCCTTTAGCCGGGCGTGGTGGCTCACGCCTGTAATCCCCAGCACTTTGGGAGGCCGAGCCGGGTGGATCACCCGAGGTCAGGAGTTCAAGACCAGCCTGGCCAACATGGCGAGACCCTGTCTCTACTAAAAATACAAAAATTAGCTGGGCATGGTGGCAGGTGCCTGTAATCCGAGCTACTCGGGAGGCTGAGGCAGGAGAATTGCTTGAACCAGAGAGGCGGAGGTTGCAGTGAGCCGAGATCGCGCCACTGCACTCCAGCCTGGGCAACAAGAGCGAAACTCTGTCTCAAAAATAAAAAATTCCCTTTAACACCTTCAAGGTCAAATGCCTGCCTTTGTGAACAGTTAATAAACTGACATTTTCAGACATTTGCCATTCAGAAGGGAGCATTGTAGCCTGCTGTAGACCATTCCAGCAAATGTCAGAATGCAGGGCAAGATGTGTGTCGACTATGTTTTTTATGTTTAAGTTACTTACTTATTTCTTCAGGTAAGTGTGTACCAAATAACAATACTGAAAAGCCCTCCCCTTGCCAGGCCGAGGAAATAAAGCTTAAGTGAAACAGCTCTTGGGGGAAAAATGCCACTTTACAAATACTTTTCTAACAAAATAGCATTATAATGAAGTTTTTACTTAATTCCATTATTTATATGTTGACGTGAATGTAAGTGGTTAAAAAGTATTCATGTGGGACATCTCATTACTTTGTAGCTGTGGCTTTATTAACCAGTGAATGCTGTGGCCCTTAGCGAAATGCGTTGTCTTCTGCGTGATGTGGAATTCGCGCCTGTATTTTAAAAGATGGTGTGGTTTCTCCCTTGTTTGTATTTTAATAAACAACTGCTCTAATTGATGTGTTTAGACATTATAAAGCTTTACCTTTAAAATATTTTCAGGGTCTGTTCTGAAATCACCCCTTGTTAAACTTCTCTAACCAAAATACAAGTGTAGAAGAATGTCAGGCTACTAAGCCTTTTCTTGGTCTTGTCTTTGTTGGGTTGATTTCACATAGATGCAAGTCACTAGGATGAACAGGGGCCCATGCGCTTAAGATTACAAAGGTGTTCAGCTTCCCACGTGCGAGGAACTCTTAGTTACAGCCCCGTAGTGCTGCTTGCCAGGAATTCTACAGGTAATTTTCATTAATTACCAAGAACATCTGTCACCAGGTGTCTTCTCGCCCTAGGACAATGGTTATTTGGGTGCTCTTATTCAGAAACTCCCAGACTCAAAGCTGAGCCTCCTACTAAAGCAGCCAGAGCCTCCCTGGATTTTTTTTTTTTTTTTTTTTTTTTTGATCTTATAGCATTTGTTGTTTCCTCTGATTTCCCATAGAAACTATTAATAATTTTTTTCATTTTAGTTTTTCTAGAGAATAATGATGCATGTTTATAACAGTGGGCAGCCACGGGTATAAAGCAATAAAAGGTAGAATTTAGATGGGAAAAAACCATTGCCACAAACCAGGTAAAATGTGGAGTATATTTGTCTAAATATGTAGCTACTGGCCTATGTATGGCTTCCTGCCAAAACTGACCCAAAAAATCTAGAAAACTATTCCTCTGGTGAGCAAGCTACAACCTTCCTGATAAATGAAGCCAAAGAGCAGTGCCGCAGCGGGTTCCCATTGCACGGGCAGACGCCCAGGATGCCCTCCATGCAGAAGAAAGGCATGCCCTAGGACAGTGGTTACTTGGGGGCACGTGGAAAGTGCCCAGGAGTGTCCCAGGAGTGGGACAGGGGCGAGCTCATTCACCTTCTACCATGTATCTGATGATGATGAGCGGTGCTGCCCGTTTTATCAGGAGCAGTGAACTGGGTGACAGACAGTCCCAAAGTTAAACAAAGGCAGCCATTGTTTGTTTTTGTTACTTGCTTATCGCTCATACTGAGGTTTGGTTTAGGGCATTTTCGTATGTGGTAATAATAGTCAAGCAGAGGCACCTTTTATTGAAAACCAGTTTCTCTGATGGAGGACACGCTGCTTCGGGGCGCTCCACTAACCAAGAGGAAACCAAAACCAGCACCCCTGATCAGAGCGTGCACTATCAATCATCTCCCACCGGCCCAGCACCGGGGACGGTGTGTCTGCCTGTCCACCAGGATGTGACGCGCCGACAAGACTCTGCTGGGATGTGTATTTTAAGTAATGTTCCCAACTGGCACAGGAGCCACATTTCAGCAGTTAGTTAGTTAGTTACTGGAGAGCACCTTTTTCCCATCATCGACACACACACACCTTGAAATTATTAGTAAAAATTCTAATATGTTAAGCATATAGATTTATTAAAAATAATGCTAATATAATCCTGGGCACATGGATTCCAAGAGAGATTTTGCAGCAGATTTCATTATAGTTACTTAACAGCTAAATAATAAGGGTGTATTTAACTTACTTACAGAGTCACTAAATAATGGAGGGGAAAGGAAAGAGTAGGGCTAATCCAGTAGAGACTGAAGCTGGTTATCAACCTTCCCTAAGCATCTGTCTGGTCCGCAGCCTGGGGCAAAGCTTGTCTCTAAAGGGTTAATGAGGCCCCAAAGTGATTTTTGCACTGAGCTCCTCCTGCACCTACCAAGGTGCCAAAGGCATGAGATTCAGAAGAGAGCAGAACCAGTTTATTAAACTGTTCAAATTGGTAAAAATGATTAAAAGCTAAAGATTTCCATAAACACTATTCCAAAATGTTAATTTTAAAAATGTGACTAGCAATGTATGCATTCCCTTTATGTCCCCTCCCTCCCTATCTCTTAAAATAAATTTGAACACCCAGTGTAAAAAACACTTGAGGGAGAACCAGAAGTCAGCCATTTGAGAAGAGAGTGGAGAGGGAGCAGACGGCGGGGAGCAGATGCCGGCCCCGCTCGGGCTGCTGACGCAGGCTTCAGTGGCACTAAATCCCCCAGTAAGGCATCAGGTGTCGGGACTCCTTCTCATAGACGTCGGGAACTATGCCATAAGGTGTCTGTACCATTTTAACTGTCGACTTCCCAAAGAGCTGGCGCTCGTAGTCTATCAGTTGCCTCCAGAAGCCTACGTTGGGCCTGATGACAGGTCGCCGGGCTTTCACCCAGTTGTACGCCTCCAGCAGGCACACGTTGTGGAATTTCATCAGGTACGCGATACACAGCGTGGCTGAGCGGCTCACCCCTGCAGCACAGTGCACCAAGGTGGCCCCGTGCTTCCTGCTCACACTGTGGATCTTGTCAGCCACGGTGTCAAAGTACAGTCCAATGGGGGCATGCGGCATGTCAGCCAGAGGCACTTTAACATACTCAAATTGGGGCCAGTTGAAATTAGGGATCTCAATGGTAGCATTAACAATGCAGGTGATGCCACGAGCCTGGAGGAGGTGCCGATTGGAGGCCACACTGCCTCTGCCCAGGAATAGAGAGGAGGTGATTTGAGCAATGCCTCCTATGTCTCCCTCGGAAATCATCCGAGGGGCCATGAGAGTCCTTGGTAGCGTGCTGTGACCTCTGGAGCTCATGAAGACGCCAGCAGTCACACTTGCATCGTTGGCGGCAAGACCAGAGTGTTTTATTTTCCTCCACCAAGGAATCCAAAATTAGAGTCTCCTTCCTGCAAAATACAGGTATGTGTCAGTACTTTAAATGCTACTGATTCATCACAGCCTTCTGTCACATTTGTCAAATGGGAAGATTAGAGGGTTTTTTTTTAAATAATACAGTACAATCTTTCAAGGATACAGACAAATCATTTTCTATCAATTAACAGTTGGGAAAAGTCACCTAAGACACAAACATGTGAAATCAATGTAAAATTCAGCTCTCTGGTGATTGTCCAAAAAAAAAAAAAAAAAAGTGGGGTGGGGGGGGGGTGGCTGGGCATGGTGGCTCATACATGTAATCCCAGCACTTTGGGAGGCTGAGGTGGGAGGATTGCTTAAGCCCAGGAGTTCAAGACCAGAAGACCAGCCTGGGCAACACAGTGAGACCCCATCTCTACAAAAAAACTTTTTATTTTTTATTTTTTATTTTTTTTTAATTAGCTGGGTGTGGTAGTGCATGCCTGTAGTCCCAGCTACTCAGGAGACTGAGGTGGGCAGATCACTTGAGCCTGGGAGGTCGAGGCTGCAGTGAGCTGTGATTGCACCACCACCACACTGCAACCTGGGCAACAGGGAGACCCAGCTTCTAAAAAAAAAAAAAAAAAAGGAAAGGCCAGGTGAGGTAGCTCATGCCTGTAATCCCAGTACTTTGGGAGGCTGAGGCGGGTGGATCACCTGAGGTCAGGAGTTCGAGACCAGCCTGGCCAACATTGGGAAACCCTGTCTCTACTAAAAATACAAAAATTAGCTGAGCATGGTGGCGAGCACCTGTAATCCCAGCTACTCGGGAGGCTGAGGCAAGAGACACGCTTGAACCTGGGAGGCGGAGGTTGCAACTAGCTGAGATCGTGCCACTATACTCCAGCCTGGGTGACAGACTCTGTCTCAAAACAAAAACAAAAACCCAAACCAAAAACTATTTCCTATCATTTCGTGACAATGTAAACACAGTAGCATTTCCATGGAAATAATCCCAGGCAATTTGAAGGCCATGGTCTTCAAAGTTCATTCCTGTAAGTTAAATGAGCATTTTACCTGACCTGACCTTGGGTGTGGCTAAATAACTTCACCTTAATTCTGAGCTCCACGATGAATCCCACTGGCTTTTAACGTCTGAACGTCACTATCCTCTCATTATTCCAGTGTTTGCTATTAAATGTCAATATATACATTTACATATATATTGATATATATTATATATATATTGACATTTAATAAGAGCAGAAAAGGAAGTTCTCAGTTTCCTGAGATCTTAGATACATCCGTTCCTCTCACCAAAAAAAAAAATCACAATGCTTTATCACCTGTGCCCAGTGGCAAGTGCGCCTGCCCACACACACCCAGGGGATCGTCGGGAAGCCTGCAGTGATTTCAGTCAGACAAGAGCCTCCCCGGGTTCAACAGGCAGGCAGTGGTGGGGTACTCACTTCCTCAAGAGTCCAGTGTGCGCTGCCTGGGTCCGGATCCAGAAAGTCCTAAGTGAGCAGTGCTGGTGACAGTGGATACAAATCAAATCTGCGGGAAGACAAGGAGGCAAGGACACAGCCAATCAGGAAGTTCCAAAGAATTCCTCACCGACTTTCACTACGACCTCAGGTTTGACTGAAATAGAGCCAGGAAGCGGAAGGTGCACTGAACATTCGCAGGTGTGCATTTAAAGGCTGCACCAGTAAGAAACACCGGCCTAAATCTCAGCTTTTTGTTACTGACACATAACCCGCGGCGTGACAAATAAGAGTTTTGACAATAACACAGACAAATCTCATCCTCTTGAGAGGAGGAGACTCAGAGACCACAACCTATCCGCGAAATGTCCGGCACTGCTGCCTCCTCGGTGGGCTATGAGGACACAACACGGACTCGAGTCTCTTCCATGCACCGTTAGCCAGCCCTGCAGTGGGAAGGCCTGGGCGGCACCGCGGTGGGAGGACGGACAGGCCAGGTGCAGCAAGGGTGAGCCAAGCAGCCCTGTGCCTGAACACAAGGTGGAGGACAGTGTGCACCAGGAAGCTAAGGACAGGCATGGCCGGGACATGGCACGGAGGACGGCTTCATGAGGAGCAGGACCGCAGATGTGGCTGCAGCCAGGAACGCTAATTACAGGCGGTGCTGGTGTTCAGGATGGCAATTTGACATTTTCCTTCATTTTGTTTTCTTTTCCATGTTGGCCCTATTTTATTCATTTATGTTATGTAAGTACCATGAACATCATAAAAAATGTGTTCTTCTACCACCTGTTCCCCCACCTTTCCCAGGTAACTGTCAGACCTGTCGTGTTTTTTTTACAGCTCTGTTGAGGTGTTCTTGACATATAAACTGCTATACAACTTGATCAGGTACATTACCTGATGAGTTCTGACATATGTACACAATGGAGACACCAGTACATCATAATAATAAACACATCCATCATCCCCCTCAAAATTTCCTCATTTTTTTTAATAATCCAACCCTTTCTTGCTCTTTACCCCATTCCCAGGCAACCACTGATCTTTCTTATCACTATGGTTTGCACTCTAGACTTTTCTATCAATGGACTTTTATATATTTATAGCATATAAATATATATAGGCCAAGCGTGGTGGCTCACGCCTGTAATCCCAACACTTTGGGAGGCCGAGGCGGGTGGATCACTTGAGGCCAGGAGTTCGAGACCAGCCTTGCCAATGTGGAGAAACCCAGGTCTCTACTAAAAATACCAAAATTATCCGGGCATGATGGCACACACCTGTAATCCCAGCTACTTGGGTGGCTGAGGCAGGAGAATCACTAGAACCCAGGAGGAGGTGGAGGTTGCAGTGGAGCCGAAATTGCACCACTGCACTCCAGCCTGGGCAACAGAGCAAGACTCTGTCTCAAAAACTAAACACACACACACACACACACACACACACTATATATATATATATATATATATATATATATATATATATATATATATATAGTGTGTATATAGTGTGTATATATAGTGTATATATACATATATAGTACACATATACATAGTACATATATATATAGAGTGTGTGTGTGTGTGTGTGTGTGTGTGTGTGTGTGTGTATATATATATATATATATATATATATGGGTTTTTTTTTTTTTTGGTCTGGCTTCTTTCACTCTGCATAACTTAGACATTCACCCATGACGCTGGGTTATCAACAGCTCACTTCTTAAGTACTCTGCTGTGTAGATACACCACACTCTGTTTATCCATTCACCTACTGATGAACCTGGGTTGTCTCTAGTTTAAAGGTATTGTGAGTACAGCTGCTATGAGCATCCACGTACAGGTCTTTGTGCGTACATATGCCTTCCTCTCTCAGTTCAATACCCAGGAGTGAAGGGCTGGGTCCTATGACACGTATGTTTAACATTTTAAAATGGTTTTTGAAAAAAAAAGTTTATAAATATACATATATATTTATTTATACATACATATATATATATATATATTGAGATGGAGTCTGGCTCTGTCACCCAGGCTGGAGTGCAGTGGCGCAATCTCAGCTCACTGCAACCTCCACCTCCCAGGTTCAAGAGATTCTCCTGCCTCAGCCTCCTGAGTAGCTGGGATTACAGGCGTGCACCACCACACGTTGCTATTTTTTGTACTTTAAGTAGAGACGGAGTTTTGCCACATTGGCCAGGCTGGTCTCAAACTCCTGACCTCAAGTGATCCACCCACCTTGGCCTCCCAAGGTGCTGGGATTACAGGCATGAGCCACTGTGCCTGGCTCCATTTACAACTATTTCTATCATTATAATGCAGGGGCTCTCAAACCTGAGCATGCCTCAGAATCCCCCAGAGGGCTGTGCGCACAGACTGCTGGACCTTTCCCCAGCTTCTGATTCCGTCCCTCCAGAGTGGGGCTGGAAGAGTTGCCTTTCTGAGGTGAGGCTGCGGGTCGGGGGCACGTCTGAGAACTGCTGCAGAGGTGAGTGCTGTGGCTCTGTCTGCATTCCCCCTGGAAGACTGAGGCACCAGGTGTACTGGTGCTAACAGACCACAAGTCCCTCCTGGACACTGCCCTTCTCTGAAGGGAGCTGCCTCCTCACTCGAGGCTAGGCCTCGCTTTGGGAGCCCACATCCCATGACTGGTTAATGCTATGGGAGTACACAGAGCAGTCCACAGGTGAAATCACAGCATGAGGAGGAACAAGGACGCAGTCACATAAGGAAACTGCGTGTGTGTGCATTGGATGTAAACTATGAACAGGGCAGAAACTCTGAGAACATCCTTTCCTACAGCAGAGCAGGGTCTCCTGCCACTTCCAAGTCTTCCCTGGCAGAATCCTACTGGTTTAAAAAGCAAAGTCACTGTGGTAATAAACACAAAATTAGGCCTTCAAGCTGCTGGGGATGACGCTCCTCATTGTGGAAAATCTGGAAGATGCTAATCAAATTTCCAAGTAGGTTATCTAGTTGTTGTCTAATTCAGAGAGGCTTGGCCATAGACACGGTGGCTTACGCCTATAATCCCAGCACTTTGGGAGGCCGAGGCGGGCAGATCACCTGAGACCAGCCTGGGCAACATGGTGAAACCCCGTCTCTACTAAAAATACAAAAATTAGCCAGGTGCAGTGGTGCATGCCTATAATCCCAGCTAGTAGGGAGGCTGAGCCAAGAGAATCGCTTGAACCCGGGAGGAAGAGGCTGCAGTGAGCTGAGATCGCGCCATTGCACTCCAGCCTGGGTGGCAGAGCGATGCATCCTCCCAAATTACGCTGTCTGGGAAGCCACTTGCCTTCCTGAGGCAAAGGAGCCCAGGTTCCCTGTAGAAGCCGGGCTGATTCCGTTAACTCGCATTTGCTGAGTGGCGCTAGGGTACTTGGTGCTGCAGGGAAAACAGATTGTGAGCCCTCGGGGCAGAATCCAAGTGAGACAGACACATTGCTCCCTCCCTGCTGCTGCCAGTCCATCTCTTTGCCAACAAACCTGCTTAAAATGCCAAAGCTGGTCCAAAGTTTCAGGAAAACAACTTCCGCCAGAGGGCACGTAGAGGGCACAGATGCTATAGATGCTTCTCTGACAAACACTCCTGACCCCCTTGACAGATTGGAAAATACATGGTTCAGAAAGGGTGAGAGATTTCAACTTGAGAAGTGAAACTAGGAAAAGATGGAAGGTGTCCGGATTTCTAGCTCAAGTCCACACACTGCTTCTCTGCGGTGACTAAATCGTGGCTGTGTTCTCATCACCTGCCTCGCGGCGCTCCACACCACCAGCCAGCGTCTGCCACACACGCGGGGGGGTGTGGATCTGCCTAAGAAGGTGTTTCAGTGCTACTTACAGAAAGGCTAAGCCCAGATGGGCCGAGCTGCTCCAGTTTCCCCTAGTGCCAGAACAGGGAACTACTGCCACATCCTGGTACACCATTTGGTGCACAAAACATCCCCCTGGCTGCAGAGGGTGGACCTCAGCAAGGAGCAGCCCCAGAGTAGGCACTACAAGAAGCCCTAGAGTCAGCCAGTTCTCAGATCAGATCAGTAGAACTGGATGGTAAAAAATAAAAAACCCATGGGTATTATATCACAGGTGCATGAAAATCTACTCAGTAAATGTGTCCTGGGAGACAGGGAAAGGAGATAGGGTAGCAGAGTTTGACCCGTATTTGAGGGATCACAAATTGCATGGTGCTCTCTGAGTGAACATGCCATCCCACTGCAGGACAATGGTCTCTGGGACGATGATGACCAGGAAGAATGCTTAAGAATGACCACATCACTGTCTATGGTGTTCAACTTGGCCTTCCCAAGATGCTCTGGCAATGGCACGTGCTTCTTGGAGGAAAAAATATTTTCCTGGCTTGGGGGATGGGGGTAGGGTAGAGTGAAAGACAGAAAGGAAGAGCTGTCCTAAACCAACCCCAGGGTTTTTTGGGTTTTTTTGTTTTCTTTTTTGCAGGGGGACGGGGGCGGGGGGGAGATGGAGTCTCTCTCTGTCACCCAGACTAGAGTGCAATGGCGCTATCTCGGCTCACTGCAACCTCCGCCTCCTGGGTTCAAATGACCCTCCTGCCTCAGCCTCCCGAGTAGCTGGGATTACAGGTGCATGCCACCATGCCCAGCTAATTTTTTGTATTTTTTAGTAGAAACAGAGTTTTGCCATGTTGCTCAGACTGGTCTTGAACTCCTGACCTCAGGTGATCCACCTGCCTTAGCCTCCCAAAGTGCTGGGATTACAGGCTTGAACCACTGAGCCCAGTCTGGTTTGTTCTTAACATCTTCTCAGAGACGATGCTGGTCTTTTTGGATAATAAGCATCGAACACTAAGTACTGAACAAAATACAAGATTAGTGTCTTCCCAGCGGGCCTCTAATCTCAGTAATGCATACACTAATATTAATAACACCTGATTGCTCCCTGCTCCACAGAGCTCCTGGGATGCGGGCATCAGCCTTGTAGCCTTGTGGTCAGCACTGGCATCCATACCTGGAGCAGTGGTACCTGACACTCAGAATTGCTACATGGGGTCATGGCCTAATCAGAGACAGCATCCATCCTAATGCCACGGAGGTTACTTTTCTTTAAAAAAAAAAAAAAAAAAAAAAGATGACAACCACCAGAATCAGCAGTTAACTGAAATTCTATCTACGGCTTTTCTTTTCATGTTCAGTCAACAGCAGAAAATGGCCACAACAGTGCTTCAGATGACTGTGTAAAATGCTCTCACTAAAATACTTTCAGTTTTAGGAATTTCAGAGGGCCAGAGTATATACTGGAGAGGCCTACACTGTTACCTTTTTATATTCAAAAAGCTTTTGTAATCACATTTTCTCCTTCTAATAAAGTAAATGTCTGTCTAGTTCTTTTTGTTTTGAGACCGAGTCTCACTCTGTTGCCCAGGCTAGAGTACAGTGGCACAATCTTAGGTCACTATAGCCTTGATCTCCCAGGCTCAAGAGATCTTGGGATTACAGGGGTGAGCCACCAGGTCCGGCCCACATTTCTGATTTAGTAATGAAAATGATAATCCTAGCACTTTGGGAGGCCAAGGTGGTTGTATCACTTTAGCTCAGGAGTTGGTGACCAGCCTGGGCAACATGGTGAAACCCCATTTCTACCCCAAAACTCAAAAAACAGCTAAGCCAACATGGTGAAACCCTGTCTCTACTAAAAATACAAAAATCAGCCAGGCATAGTGGTGTGCACCTGGAATCCCAGCTACCTGGGAGGCTGAGGCACTAGAATCGCTTGAACCCGGGAGGCGGAGGCTGCAGTGAGCCAAGATCGTGCCATTGCACTCCAGCCTGGTTAACAGAGCAAGACTCTGTCGCAAAATATAAAAACAAAAAAGTAAAATTTCAGCCAGGCACAGTGGCTCACAACTGTAATCACAGCATTTTGGGAGGCTGCGGCAGGAGGACTCCTTAAACCCAAGAGTTTAAGACCAGCCGGGGCAACGTAATGAGACCCTGTCTCTGCAAAAAAAATTTTAAAAATTAGCCGGGCATGGTTTCATGCGCCTATAATCCCAGCTACTCAGGAGGCCGAGATGAGGAGGTCACTTGAGTCTGGGAAGTCGAGGCTGCAGTGAGCCATGATTGTAGCACTCCAGCCAGGGTGACCCTGTCTCATATATACATATTAAAGTAAAATGAAGTAAAAGATATTCACAAATTGTTCTGTCACCTGGAAAGCTTTAGCAATTGTGGTAAAACATCTCAACATCTTCTACTTACTTTGGAGGAGGGATCGTTTTTGCTTTTCTCACTGTATTAATTAACTGATATCATAGGATAATACATGAGGATATGTACACGATGAGGATATGATGAGGATAAATACACATAAGATACATAAAGCCAAAGACTGAGAGTCACACTCCGGTTCAGCCACAGATAGTCCCTCAGTGTGACATGCAGCCACAGAGCAGCTGCCTATGTAGGTGTGACCAGGCCAGCCATCTCGATGTCCGCAGATGGACCAGCGCCTGTTCACACTGCATTTGCTGAGGCTAAGAGAAGCCGATCATTGGTTTTTGTTTTTGTTTGAGATGGTGTCTTGCTCTGTCACTCAGGCTGGAGTGCAGTGATGAGATCTCGGCTCACCGCAACCTCCACCTCCCGGGTTCAAGTGATTCTCCTGCCTCAGCCTCCCGAGTAGCTGGGATTACAGGCATACACCACCACACCTGGCTAATTTTTGTATTTTTAGTAGAGACAGGGTTTCACCATGTTGGCCAGGCTGGTCTCAAACTCCTGACCTCAGGTGATCTGCCCACCTTGGCCTCTCAAAGTGCTGCTGGGATTACAGGCATGGGCCACCACGCCCAGCCCCATCACTGTAAGATACTAGCCAGCTGCTGGGATATGCCACAGCCCAAGAAGGAGAGGGGCAGTACACTAGATAAGCAGGAAAAACCATGCCAGCATCGTGACACAAATGCAAAGATTTGAAGAAGTTCAGTTCCACGTGATCAATTCACAGATTCTCCATGTTGGAAACAGAAAGAGTAGAGATAGCAAGAAGAGACTATCAATAACTATAAAAGGTGGAAGGTCTGCATTTATCTTGGTACCATGGGGTAATCTGTTCACATCTGGAATTGAATTCTTGTATTTGGTCCTCACCCACCTTGGTGCTTAAATTACCTACCACTCATTTACACAACAGTCTTTCACTGAGTTTATATAATGCGGTCAACACCCTGCTGAGTGTTGTTCCAACTGCTGCAGAATGTATTCACCAGAGATGGCCACAGCATCTCCCATCTCACATGACATTCTTACAATGTAACCTTGTTTTTTGTTTTGTTTTTGACACAGGGTCTCCCTCTGTAGCCCAGGCTGGAGTGCAGTGGTATGATTTTGGCTCACTGCCACTTCCGCCTCCCAGGTTCAAGTGATCCTCCCACCTCAGCCTCCTCACGTTGCTGGAACCACAGGTGTGCGCCACCATGGCTAGCTAATGTTTGTATTTTTTATAGAGACAGGGTTTCCCCATGTTGCCCACGCTGGTCTCAAACTCCTGGGCTCAAGCAATCTACCTACCTCGGCCTCCCAAAGTGCTGGGATTACAGGCATAAGCCACTGTGGCCAGACCCTACAGTGTAATCTTGACACTCCTCCCATCCAACAGTGGGGCTGATGTCCCCTCATTTGAACCCTGAGAAACCTTTGTGATGGCTTCAACCAAAAGAATACACTAAAGGCTGGGCGTGGAGCTCATGCTTGTAATCCCAGCACTTTGGGAGGCTGAGGCAGGACGACCGCTTCAGCTCAGGAGTTCAAGGTTGTAGGGGGCTACGATGGCGCCACTGCACTCCAACCTAGGCGACAGAACGACGCTGTCTTTAAAGCAACAAACAAACAAAAAAATACAGTAGAAATGATGCTTCCGAGGCCAGAGCACAAACATGTCGCACACTGCTACCTTGTTCTCTTAGGACTTGCCCTTGGAACCCAGCTGCCATGCTGTGAGGAAGCCCAAACTAGCTCAACAGAGCTACCACACGGAGAGGCCATGGGTGTTTAGCTAACATCCCAACTGAGTCCCAGCTGATACCCAAGCTCAACCACTAGATATGTAAGTAGAGATACTTTATTATGATTATAGCTCCCAGCCATCAAGTCACCCCCAGGCTTTGAATCTCCTACCTAAGGCCTCGGACATTGTGAAGCAAAAGCAAGTTGCCCCTACTAGTGAGGTCCAAATTCCTGACCTACAGGAATCTGTGAGTACAATACAAATAGTCATTTTAGGCCAGGGGCAGTGGCTCAGGCCTGTAATTCCAGCACTTTAGGAGGCCGAAGTGGAAGGACTGCTTGAGCCCAGGAGTTCAAGACCAACTGAAGCAATGTGAGAAGACTCTCTCTCTACAAAAAAAAAAAAAAAAATTGCTGGGCATGGTGATGTGCACCTGTGGTCCCAGCTACATGGCAGGCAGAGGCAGAAGGATTGCTTGAGTCCAGAAGGTCAAAGGGGCAGGGAGCTGTGATTGCACCACTGCACTCCAGCCTGGGGAACAGAGCAAGTCTCTGTCTTAAAAAAAAAACAGGGACTTGTAAACAAGTTTTGTTTGATAAGCAAACAAAACAAATAGTTATTTTACAACGAGTTTTAGAGCTGTGTTATGCAGCAGTAGTAACTAGAGCAGGGATATACAGGTAACATAAGGCATAACCCTGTGCTAGGATTTTATCATCTAACAGAAATGACACAAGATACACATATAAAAACAACTGAATAACAGTAAGAGATGGACTACCATTGAGTGAACGAAACAACTGGTACAAAAAAACTGGTGATCAAAGCAAAGTAAAAACAGCCCATAGTACTGAAAACCTGAGTTGTTTCTTGGGGAGTTGTTTTATAGATTGTATACCATGCTTTTTCTCCTCCCATTCTTGCCTTTCAAGAGCCCCCTTGGCCAGGCACGGTGGCTCATGCCTATAATCCCAGCACTTTGGAAGGCCGAGGCAGGCAGATTGCCTGAGGTCAGGAGTTCATGACCAGCCTGGCCAACATGGTAAAACCCTGTCTCTACTAAAAAATACGAAAATTAGCCAGGCGTGGTGGTGGGCGCCTGTAATCCCAGCTACTTGGGAGGCTGAGGCAGGAGAATCACTTGAACCCAGGAGGTGGAGGTTGCAGTGAGCCGAGATTGCTCCATTGCACTCCAGCCTGGGTGATGAGAAACTCCATCTAAAAAAAAAAGAGCCTCCTGTTTTAGACTTGGAATGGGGGCTATTCTCCATTGGAATGGAGAATACAGCCCTTTTCTACAGCCCTCACCATTTAGCAAGTGTGATCCAAGCCCCAGCAGCATCAATACCACCTGGAGGCTTGAAAGAAATGCAGAACGCAGGCTCTATTCCAAGACCTACCGAATCGGCTCCAGCAGGTTAACAAGATCCCAGGTGATCTGTATACACAGTTTTTGAAAAGTGCAAACTGAAGATTAAACTCATTAAAAACTAACTTAATACAATGTGAAAATCTGCCTCATTCTGCCCCATCTGACCTGTGGCAGCACGTTCGGGCATCTGTCCCACATAAGCCACGTAAGCACTGCTCAGCCTCTCCCGGATCAGTATCATTCTGCTGTTGCAGTTCCCAGAGAATCAGAGGTAAATGGAGGTTAAGAAGCTTTCCCAGACTCTACATTGAAAATTAGTAGCCCCACTGGGACCAGAACCGTCCTTCCATGAGTTGTCTATTTGTGGCTCAGTCATACAATTGGACCACAATGGATCCATCCATTCAAAGTCTACCAAAATGTACATTTCACTGGCTGGGGCGGGGAGGGGGCGGGAAACTGCAGCAAGAAAGGAGTTAAGGAACATAAGGTCAGGTCGATGTGATTGTGCTTTACGTCTACAGTCTAGGGAGTAATCTCTAAGAATCCTAAACTGTTGGTGGTACAAGATGGTCTTCGGGTGTGAAATATCCAATAAAAAGCTCGCAAAAGTCCACAGCTGTATTTAAACTTGTTTAATGATAACTGGAAACCAATTTGAGCAATGGCTTATATAAATAACATTTTAAAGTCTTCCAGGACTAAGTGGTAAAAATTAAATGTGAATCATATGTGCTTGGTTAAATGATAAACTGTTATTTATGTAACTCAGAACATCTAGAGGCAAAGTGCTTAAAAAAATCACTAATCAGCAATAAAACCCAGGTAGGTGTGAGTTTGCCTCAAAACTGTCAAAGTTACTACTGCCCTCTGAGAAGCAAGACCATGACATCTCAGAAAATGCAGGTCTTTTCATAAATAAGATTTCAGTCCTTACAAGCTCATTACTACTTTAAGGGAAGATAAAGAACAGAATTTATAAATTAGAATAAAGTTCACAGGACTAACAGCTCAGTAGTTAATAATCACCCTTTGATCATCTTTGATGTCTCATCAGACATATCAAAATCCTTAAAGCTCCAGCGGAGAGTTTCAACCTTCACCCTATGAGGACTTCCTTACCATATACCTGGCCCAATTCCACATCTTTTAGTGATTTTATACCAAATTAACTTCACTTATAATGTACTAATAAATTAATTTCCCATTTTTCTTTACAAATCAAAGGCACCTATAATTACCACGCTAGAGTTTCCGAGCAGGGTGAGGTAAACAGCTGAGTCTTCTGCTTCAGCGGGATGGAGGCAACTGGCGAAGGCCATGCCCGCTCCCATGCTGAGAGCAGTCCGACTGCACTGTGAGGGCAACTGGGTGTCTGTGCCATCCTACAGCAAAGGGAGGGATGAAGTTTTCAGCTGAACGAGAGGGGTCCCAAGGCAGAGGATCCTGAAGTTATTCCCTTGGCTTTAACTGAAAAAATACTGTCTGGAAACACAATATGACAATGTAATAGTTCCCTTTAGAAGACTACATTACTAATTAGTAAAACATTTCTAGGCTGGGCATGGTGGCTCACGCCTGTAATCCTAGCACTTTGGGAGGCCGAGGTGAGTGGATCACCTGAGGTCAGGAGTTTGAGACCAGCCCGGCCAACATGGTGAAACCCCGTCTCTACTAAAAATATAAAAATTAGCCAGGTGTGGTGGTGGGCACCTATAATCCCAGCTACTCGGGAGGCTGAGGCAGGAGAATCGCTTGAACCCGGGGGGATGGAGGTTGCAGTGAGCCGAGATCGCGCCAGTTCACTCCAGCCTGCGTGAAAGAGCGAAACTCTGTCTCAAAAAACAAAAAACAAACAAACAAACAAAAACACTTCTAGAGGGTCGGGTGTGGTGGCTCACACCTGTAATCCCAGTACTTTGGGAGGCCAAGGCAGGAGGATTGCTTGAGCCCAGGAGTTCGAGGCTGCAGTGAGCCAGGATCATGCCACTGTACTCCAGACTGAGCCAAACAGTGAGACCCCATCTCTTAAAATAAAAAAATTTAAAAAATAAAAAAAAGAAAGTTTGCCAACTGATATGGTTAGGCTCTGTGTCCCCACTCAAATCTCACCTTGAATTGTAATTCCCATAATCCCCACGTGTCAAGGGCAGGACCAGGTGGGGGCGGTTTCCCCCATGCTGTTCTGGTGATTTTGAGTGAGTTGCATGAGACCTGATGGTTTTATAAGCGTCTGGCATTTCCCCTGCCTGCACTGACTGTAAGTTTCCTGAGGCCTCCCCAGCAATGTGGAACAGCGAGTCAATTAAACCTCTTTCCTTTATAAATTACCCAGTCTCAGGCAGTTCTTCATAGCAGCGTGAGAATGGGCTACTACACCAATCCTTGGTTGAAATTAGTAAGTTATAAAACCATCACAGCATAGTAGACGCATTCTTCAAAGTGTGCTCCCAAGGAGTCCTACACGAGAATCACCTGGGCTGCCTGTTAGAATGCAGACTCCTAGACCCCACCCCAGACCTAATTAATCAGAATTTCTGGAAGTGAAGGCCTGGGAATTCACATTTCTAGTAAGTACCTTTTTAGAAGGAATCTAAAAATATTATTAAGAGTAATCTGATATTGTGGAAAAAATATCTCCTGTACTTTCTAGGAGGATAAATGGAATAAGAAACTCCGTAAGTGTAATTTTTGTAAAAAAAAAAAAAACTGATTACTTTCATATAATACAGTAGTCATTTGGATTTAAGATACAATCTAGGCCGGGTGCGGTGGCTCACGCCTGTAATCCCAGCACTTTGGGAGGCCGAGGCAGGTGGATCACGAGGTCAGGAGATCGAGACCATCCTGGCTAACACGGTGAAACCCCGTCTCTACTAAAAATACAAAAAATTAGCCAGGTGTGGTGGCGGGCACCTGTAGTCCCAGCTACTGGGGAGGCTGAGGCAGGAGAATGGCGTGAACCGGGGAGGCGGAGCTTGCAGTGAGCAGAGACTGCGCCACTGCACTCCAGCCTGGGCGACAGAGCGAGACTCTGTCTCAAAAAAAAAAAAAAAAAAAAAAAAAAAAAAGATACAATCTAGTACACAAAACAAGTTCTACTCCATTTCCATTTTGGATCACCTTTGGCTGAAAGTTTACACCAAGTAATTGAAGCTCTGTAAAACACTAAATACTTCTCCAATTTTTGTTAACAAGAAACATCATGTGACAAAAAGGAAAAAAAAGAAATATCATGTGAAATGTGAAATGCTCTAAGAGTTCCATCCCCTAAACATAGAACATATGTGACAGTACAAAATAAAGGCTAGTAAAGATTTCTGTCCTTTTTTTTTTTTTTGAGACAGGGTCTTGCTCTGTCACCCAGGCTGGAGTGCAGTGGTGCAATCTAGGCTCACTGCAGCCTCAACCTCTGGGACTCAAGCGATCCTCCCACCTCTGCCTCCTGAGTAGCTGGGGCTACAGGGGTGCGCCACCATGCCTGGCTAATTTTTTGTAGAGACAGGGTTTTGCCACGTTGCCCAGGCTGGCCTTGAATTCCCGGGCTCAAGTGATACTCTGGCTGGCCTCAGCTTCCCAAAGTGCTGGGATTGTAGGCATGGGCCACCATGCTTAGTCTTGTCTTGTCTTTTTTTTTTTTTTTGAGCAAGAATCCTGGAGCACAGTGGCACAATCATGGCTTACTGCAGCCTCGACCTCCTGAGCTCAAGCAGTCCTTCCACCTCAGCTTCCCAAGTAGCTGTAACGATAGCCATGAGCCACCACATCCGGTTAATTTGTGTTTTTTGTAGAGACAGGGTTTTGCCATGTTGCCCAGGCTGGACTCGAACTCCTGGGCTCAAGCCATCCACCTCCCTAGGCCTCCCAAAGTGCTGGGATTACAGGCATGAGCCACCACACCAGGCCTCTATGTCCTTTTGACATTCATCAAAAAAGCAGTTTGAAGGCAGGGCGCGGTAGCGCATGCCTGTAATCCCAGCACTCTGGGAGGCCAAGGCAGGTGGATCACTTGAGGTCAGGGGTTTGACCAGCCTGGCCAACACAGTGAAACCCCATCTCTATTAAAAATACAAAAATTAGCTGGGCATGGTGGCATGTGCCCGTAATCCCAGCTACTCAGGAGGCTGAGGTAAGAGAATCACTTGAACCTGGAGGGCGGAGGTTGCAGTGAGCTGAGATTGTGCCACTGAACTCCAGCCTGGGGAAGAGACTCTGTCTTTAAAAAAAAAAAATGCAGTTTGAAGTAAAATTGATATTTAAATAGAGTTGGAAGGAAATGTACCAAATTCATGGGAGTGGTTGTCTCAGTGGGAAGGGAAGAGAAATGGCCCAAGGAAGCTCTGACTTGATAATACTTAATTTCTAAGCATTATAAAAGATAAAGTATGAGCAATGATTTTTGAATGGTGAGTTATGATGCTGGTTAATTTGCTTTCAATAATTTTCTTTTCTTTTTTTTTTTTTTTTTTTGAGACAGAGTCTTACTCTGTTGCCCAGGCTGGAGTGCAGTGGCTCAATCTCTGCTCACTGCAACTGCCTCGTCCTGGGTTCAAGCAATTCTCCTGCCTCAGTCTCCCAAGTAGCTGAGATTACAGGTGCATGCCACCACACCCGGCTAATTTTTTGTTTGTTTGAGATGGAATCTCGCTCTTTCACTCAAGCTGGATTGCAGTGGTATGATCTTGGCTCACTTGAACCTCCGCCTCCCAGGTTCAAGCAATTCTCTGTCTCAGCCTCTGGAGTAGCTGGGATTACAGGGGCCCACGACCACTCCCGGCTAATTTTTGTATTTTCAGTAGAGACGGGGTTTCACTATGTTGGTCAGGCTGGTTTCGAACTCCGGACCTCATGATCCACCCGCCTCAGCCTCCCAAAGTGCTGGGATTACAGGCATGAGCTACCGTGCCCGGCCTAACACCCGGCTAATTTTTACATTTTTATAAGAGATGGGGTTTCACCATGTTGGTCAGGCTAGTCTCGATTGAACTTTTGACCTCAAGTGATCCACCTGCCTCAGCCTCCCAAAGTGCTGGGATTATAGGCGTGAGCCACTGTGCCCAGCATAATTTTCTATATGATTTCAATTTCTAAAAGTAAAAAATATTTTTAATAGAAGAAAATTAACAACACATAGTTGTCGGTCCAAGCCCCCTCTCCACTTCTGGCCTGAGCCTGCCAGTGCTCTTTATATAGGAGCCAGGATAACACCAAAGATTTATAATGATGACATGAAGTGTGTCTTCATTATAAATGTTTTGTGTTTTATAATGAAACACAAAGATTTAAAAGATTTAGTTAAATCTAAGATTTAGATTTTAGCTAAATTGGCAAAATTCTTCATTATAAATCTCCAAATTTGTATGTAATTTGTATGTTGACAGTACTTCCAGATTTTATTTTTACAAGTGCTTCCTTAAAACTTAAAGCAGGCTGGGCGCGGTGGCTCATGCCTGTAATCCCAGCACTTTGGGGGTCCGAGGCAGGTGGATCACGAGGTCATGAGATCGAGACCAGCCTGACCAACATGGTGAAACCCTGTCTCTACTAAAAATAGAAAAATTAGCTGGGCGTGGTGGCATGCGCCTGTAATCCCAGCTACTCGGGAGGCTGAGGCAGGAGAATTGCTTGAACCTGGGAAGCGGAGGTTGCAGTGAGCCGAGATCGCGCCACTGCACTCCAGCCTGGTGATGGAGCAAGACTCCGTCTCAAAAAAAAAACAAAAAAACAAAAAAAACAAAACTTAAAGCAAGTTCACCTACTGGTCACTTTCCCAGGCAGGGAAGGCTGGTGCTTTGAAGGCGCTCTCTGCCACATAATGTTTACTAGTCAACAGAAGCAGCATGCTCTAGTTAGGGAGTTTTCTCATATGTACCCACACACTCAAAGACATAGGAGTCAAAACAAACAAACAAACAAACAAAAAAACTTGCCCTAGGTCATTGATGCTGAAACTGTTCTGGGACAAAGACAGAAGTAAACCCAGCAGTTGCATATGAACTTCAAAAGAACCTTCTCGTCCACTGAGGTTTCAACATGGCATGGGGTGTGAAAAGCTGACCCAACCGGACCTCTGGTTGCTCTAGGTTGGTGCAAGAACAGAATGGGACGTGCCCAGGTGAGCTGGGTGGGCTGCACATGAAAGGGCATGGCTGTGATCTCAGCCCTAGGCCTCCTCCCTCGCCCAGGCTGAGGCTGCCCCTGCCCTGCAACAGGTGGAAAATGGAGCTCCTTTGTGAAAGCTGCCCGCTGGAAGGCCGAAGGGGTGACAAAGAACACGACAGGGCTCCTCCCCCATCACTCAGATCAACAGGTTCTCATACTAACGACTTCTTACTCCTCCTCCTTTGGGTGTCTTTTCCTGAAAACTTCTAATTTATCCGCATGTGGTTTCTAAAATTATCATTATTTTAGAGAATCTGAAAAAAAATCTTTACTATAATGAGCAAAAAAGTCTTTGTGACTTATGTAAATAAAGACTGAAAATAGAGTGATTTAGCTATTTTCCAAGATGCTTTAGAGAAGAAATAAAAAGGATCTACAAATCTCAGTCTTTGTGCTAGTGTTCTTCCATCATCCCTCCAGCTAAAAAGGATTCCCCTGAGGTATTTTGTAAACCTACAGAATTGCGTAACATTCTGCTCTAAGGGCAGAAACACAGCACATAATACTAGGCACATGGTAAGTACTCAATGAACACCTGAATTTAACGGCTGCCCTCAGGTGAACTGCCCACCTCTCCCCACACCCTCCCTCCTGCTCCTTCTCTTTCTCACATTCTCTCACTCTCTCTCACACACACACTTCAAATCCAGCTGGCAAAACTAAACACGGGCAATCAAAGTGAGCCTGGTAACTGTCTGTTCACAAAGCAGGAATTCAAGCTGGATGTGGCACATGCTGCAGTCCCAGCTTTTAGGAGGCTGAGGTGGGAGGATCCCTTGAGCCCAGCAGTTCAAGGCCAGCCTGAGCCACACTGCTAGACTCCATCTCTTACAAAGAAAATGAACAAAAACGACAAAAACTCTGCTCTAAGCTACTTCTACTTTCTCAGGCAAAGGAAAATTTGGAGAAAAATACATTTAAAAGATTTAAAGGCTGGGTGCGGTGGCTCACGCCTGTAATCCCAGCATTTTGGGAGGCCGAGGCGGGCGGATCACGAGGTCAGGAGATTAAGACCATTCTGACTAACATGGTGAAACCCCGTCTCTACTAAAAATACAAAAAATTAGCCGGGCATGGTGACGGGCACCTGTGGTCCCAGCTACTAGGGAGGCTGAGGCAGGAGAATGGCATGAACCTGGGAGGCGGAGCTTGCAGTGAGCCGAGATCGCGCCACTGCACTCCAGCCTGGGCGACAGAGTGAGACTCTGTCTCAAAAAAAAAAAAAAAAAGTTTAAAAGAGTCATTGATTCCTGTAGCACAGAGTCTGTGGTTACTTTGGAATTGCCAAGAAGTATGAGTTAGGGTCTGTGCACAGTGCCTCTTAAGGAGTCTCATCCTCAGAGGGTACTTTAACAAGGATAGGCCTGGGTTCCTGCACACTACACTGTCCTACACATTTAGGGCTGGGCACAATGGAAGCATTCACCAGAGGCAGGATTCATTCAAGAGCCTTAAAAAACATCTAGGTACTAGCCACTTATTTTTAGTACTTCATTTTGCATATTTAAAATTTCCTGTAACTACTCATCTGTTCCAAAAAAAAAAAAAAAAGATTGATGAAAGGATTCCATTAGATATTTGTCAACCAAACACAGTGGGAAAACCATTTCTGGTATTTGGGTGGTTAGTCCAAACCATATAACTAAATAAAAATACGCTAGCACATGACAGGCCAGGGATCGGACTACCCAGGGACCTTTATTCATTCATTCAGAAAATATTCAAGCATAATTGTGGTTAAACAGCAAATACAGTGACTTACAAACTCAAGGCTGACACCACTGAAGGAATGTAAATTGGTACAACCACTTTGGAAACCAGGTATCAACTAGTAAAGCTGAAGGTATGCACACCTGACTCAGGGCTGTTCATAATTGCCCCAGACCAGAAACAACCCAGATGTCCATCAACAGTGGAAAGGTAATTTGTGGTATGTTCATAAGACAAAAATGTACTAACTGGGCTGGGTGTGGTGGCTCACACCTGTAATCCCAGCACTTTGGGAGGCCCAGGCAGGAGGATCCCTTGAGCCCAGGAGTTCAAGACCAGCCTGGGCAATATAGTGAGACCTTGTCTCTAAAAAAATTAAAACACAAAAACTACAGGCATAGGCAACGATATGGATAAATCTTTTAAAATAGCATGCTGCAGAAATTTAAAAAATTATATATGTGCGTGTGTATATACATACATACACACACACATACATACACATACACACACACACACACGATGCCGGCCAGAAGGAAGGATTCACAAGAGTATCTACTTTTAGTTTGCACTGAGGTTAAAAACAAGCAAAATAAAACTATGTCAATTAGGGATTTATATTTAGGGGATAAAAACTATAGAAAAGAAGGAAATGATTTCCATAAAAGTCAGGGTAGTTTCTGGCTAGGACCTCTGGGGGAGGGAGAGAGTGTGGAGTCAGATTCTTGACCTGCAAGACAGTTACACTTATGTTTTCGTTAAAATAATCCATCAAATTATCCATTTGTTTTAGACACTTTTTTACATAATTCACAATTCAATAAATCTAATGTTGATTTCTGGGAATTCAGAACCATGACAACAATTCTGGCCAACTCTCTCTGAATGTCACTATTTGCCTGTCAGCTTCATAAGGTCAGAGACCGACCTTACTTGCCTTCTTCCTCTGTATTCAGGCACAGCACCTTTAGCATGGTAAAAGTCCTCGGTAAATGTATAATATATAAATCCACAGAATCCTGACATGAATTTTGTTTTAACCCATCCATTTCCTGAAATTACCGGTTTGAAGGGTGCCCACATTAACACTTTCCTTTGTCTTCACCCAGGTGAAGTGAAGCTTTCATAAATAATAAAGCCATCTTAAATGTTAGCTCTGTAAGTTTATACCCAGGCCTTGGTTGCTTTAGCAACTCTCCCTGTCTTCCACTCCCTTTGACGTTTCTTTATAAGCAAAGACAAGACAATAGGCTAGTAGTCCTAGATTTTTTTTTTAAATAGGAAAGTTTTATTCAGCACCTAAGAGTAAAACCTAGGATCGTAATGATTCTACTACTTTGAAGTTGTTTAAAAGGGGTAATTTGCCCCTTGCCCTGGGAAGTAACACCGTCTATCAGGATTATTAAAACTTTACCAACAGTTGTACTTAAACACATTACTTGTTCTTGACAGAAGCCAAATCTTTATAAACAGGACAAGTCAACTTTAAAATAATTAATTTCGGTTAAAAAACCACTTTGTGCAAACGGACATTTATAAAAATGCTTAGAAAAGTCTAAAAAGATATACACAAACCGATCAAGATGCACTCGGCAGTTACTTTTGAGGAAGAGGTTCAAAAGAAAGCTTTAACCTTATTAGTAAAGTTTAAATCTCACAGAGAATGGTTAATGTATTTCTTGTGATTTTGGGAAAAGCATTTTTAATCCATTTTGCCTTAAAATCCCAATTGCAAAGGAACCCATCAAACATAGCCCTCCCTAAAGCCCACTTTTTAAAAATGTTAAAGTATTAAAGGATTTCCTGGACTTACATACTTGGCTAGTCTTTTATGATATGAATATACATTTATGCCATTCTATTAATTATTATTACAGAATTCATACCTGCAGTCAACCGATATGAAAGCTTTCAGATGAGAACTCAGGACACACACGTTCAACAGTGACATTAAAACGACTTGGAATGAAGGAAACTGTCTCCAGTTTTATGGTGGAAAGCCAAAAATACCAAGCAACTACCTCTCCTCCCCCAAGCGTCAGAAGATGAGTCAGAGCTGGAGGCAGGAATAGGGCCCATGTGTCAAGCCTCCTGTGCAGGGCTCCTTCCTACCTCCTCGTGGCAACCCTCGTCCCTCCCTCAGGTCAGGGTCTCTGCCCCGGCCTGTCCCTGATGTGAAGTGTCCCTGATGTGAATTCTCAGGCGTCTCTGGCGAAGAAGAGGCGTTCACTGTGGGGGTGCCTCCTTCCCTGCATTTCTCAAGGGAACCAAGACTGGGGGCCTTTATGAGTCCACAACAACTAACAATAACCAAATCGCAGCTCAAGGGAGTGGAGCTTCCAGACACACGCACAACTCTGCAAAGAATACAGCACCTTTGTTCCCCTGGTTTTAGAGAGCAGGAAGGAAATGAGCGGAGAGAAACTGTGACTTGTCCAGTGTTACTTAACTTTGTGGCAGAGCTGAGTCTCAGGCATGGAGCTGCCGGCTGGCCTCGGCCTCTCTGACTCTTAAGTGATCTGTAGAATGTCAGGGAGGACGGTCCAACATTCCATCATACTTCTGAGTGGCCTTAGGGACTAGGAATTCCAGGAGACTCTGGGTTAAATCTCTTGGTCCCTATTCTTTTAAGGTTACTAAGGATACCCGGAGTTTGCTCTTCGCCTCCGTTTTTACATCTGTAAAACGGGATGGTAACGCTCTCCACCCCCCTCTCTTATAAAACGATAATGAACAGCTAACGAGTTAACACACACTAAATGTCCGGAGGTCCTGCTGGATAGAAAGTACAAGGTGGTTTTAAAAAAAAAAAATCTCTGCATGGTAAAACTGCATTTGTAAGTCGCTCCTCCTTCCCTAGCCTCTGGGATGCCCAGTTACCATAACACTGGCTGGTACCACTGGCAACATCCACCTAAATAAAATACAGTTATACAATCCACTTAAGGCGGCCACAGCACGCACCCCCTCTTTACAAACAACAACTCAACTTCGCTCCGGAGCAAGGGTACTTAGGAGAAATAAAAAGACAGATGTTAGCACCGCGCACACCCATCTACCACCGCAGAGAAAGACTCAAGTTGGACACTTGGCATCGCTGAAAGTCAAGTTGCTTCTATCCATGCACCAGAAACCTCGGGGAGATGCAAAAAGCGGCGGCGCGCTCCAGAGCGGGTGGATGCCAGCGAGAGTAGGCGGCCTCAGCGGGGTCGGAAGGCGACGGAGGAGGCGCGGCCGAGGCTGCTGGAGCCCCGGGGCACAGGGACAGGGTCGCGGGGGCGGCGCGGCGCGGCGGGGGAGCGGCAGGGGGCGCACGCTCAGGGCCGGCGAGGGTGCGCTGCGGAAGGTCTCGGGCCTCTCCTCCGCGGGCCGCCCCGAAGAGTCAAGGACCGCCAGGGAGCAGGTGGGGGCGCCGGCACAAAGTTTCCAGAGGCGGGGTCGCGCGGGCCTCTGGGTCCCCCTGCGCCCAGGGACCCGAAGCGCGAAGTCCCGCCCTCCCGCCCCACCCCAACACCTTCCCCACAACCCCCACCCCCGGGCCTGCGGGTCCCCTACCGGCGCGGCGCGGCGCGGCGCGGGTTGCGGTTAGGGCTCCGTCCTCCTGCGCGGCCACCGGCTTCTGCGGGCTGGGCGCCGCGCGCGCCGCCTCCTCCTCCCTCCGCCCGCGCCCGGGGCGGGCCGCGCGCACGCTCCCTGCGCCTGGCCGCCCTCTCCCGAGGTGGGGGGACGCGACGCGGGGCGGGGGGACGCGCGGGGCGGCAGGCGGCGCGCGTGCGCGCTGGGCTTCTGCGCCGTGCGGTGTGGTCCGGGCGCGCCCTAGCTCCCGAGGCAGCAGCCTCCCCTAGAGCGCTCCTCCGTGCAGGTCCCCTGGTCTCTTACCCTGCCTCACACACCGGCGACCCCTCGCTTCCCCAGTCAGCGTCTGCGTATGAGCCGGGCTCGAGGCGGGCTGCGGGGGCGCTCTGCTGGGGTGCTTTCGGGATTGGAGAGGATTAAAGGCGAGAAAGCAAATCCGATACAGGTGTGAAGCCGCCGCGGGTGGCTCGGGACGGCCTCGACCCCACCCCACCGCCTCCCTAGCCCGGAGAGCCCGGGGGTTGGGACCCAAGAGCGAAGGGAAAATCAGTAGCGCGGCAGTTCCTGGCTGACGCTTGCTGGAACAGGTACGGGCAGCCGTGGCGCCCGAGACCCGGAGGTGAACATGCAACCTCCGTGCGCATCTCCACCTGCTCTCGCCACGCCAAGGTGCCGTCCGAGTCTCGGAGCCCACACCCACCTCCCGAGTCCCCGAGGCAGGGCAGGGGTTCTCCGGAGCGCAGGCGGGACACGGGCATTTGAGGGCTCATTTGCTGTGTGACTCTGAGGGTCTTTTAAAATTCAGGTCTGCCCATCTGTAACATAAGTCGGTGCGAAACGGACGTTTTCCAGCACAGCCCCGCCTCCCCTCCGCCTCTGGCAGGTGAAGGGAGACACGTGGGAGGCAAAGCGACTTCCTCAAGGCTCTGCCGTGAGTCAAGGCACCTAAGAGTCCTGACTCCATGCCCAGTCCTTGACTCACCAGCCCCTGCTCCTCGCCGTTGCAAATGGTTGGCCTCAGAATTGCTGAGCAGTCAAAACGAGTAGGCATGGGTTTGCGGGGAGGGGTGGAGGGGAGAAGTAAAACCCGCGTTTGGGGTTTACATCTCCCGATGTCCTCAACCAAAAGCTTTGAAGCTTTTTCATGTTCTTCCCGATCTCCACTGCCCAACCGGCTTCAGAGTCATCCGGTGCGTGCTGGACTATCTAAAAGTTAGTGATAATTTTAATCATAATCCTGGGAAACGAAAAAGGCCCAGACTAGAGAGATTTATTTTCGTCTTCGTAAAAAGAGAATCAAAGCTTTAAAATTAGGCAAAATTAATCTAAGAGAAAACAAAGCAGCATACTTTGCTAGATTCAGGAAACCACTGAGTTCAAATCGTGCCTGGGAAAAGCATCTTCCTAAAACTAAATTGTGACGTCAGTTCACTTAGTGACTTACTTGTTTACATGCCAATACGAAAAGAGCAAATCTCTAACAGAAAGGATTGTGTGTTTTCATTTCTGCTCAGCACCCCCTAGTCCTTGAAGCTTCAGTCAATTCAATGACTCAGCAACACAAATAGATGCATCCCTCTTCACATTCCAGCTTGTTACACTGTAGGCAGGTTTCCAAAACAAGCTCTAGTGACAAGGAGCTAGGCATTTTCATGGATTATGGGAACTAAACCTACCATGAAGAGTCAGTGAAGAGGGAGGTGGGCTAAAATAGAGTTTGTGTTGTGTGCGATGTGCGTGTCAAGATTTAGAGATTTAGAGATTAAGTAGAAAGAAGTGCTGGAGTCAGACCATTTAATGACTGTACAGACATGCCCTGGGGTAGGGAGGCGCTTTATGCCTTTACAGAATGTGGAAGTGCGGGCTTATACATGCCTGTACCAAAAATGCAATTTGAAGTTATTCTCTTCTGGACCAGCACTGTCCAGTAGAACTTTGTGTGATGATGGACATGTTCTGTATCTCCACTCTCCAGTACAGTAGCCACTAGCCTCATGTTGCTACTGAACACGAAATATGGCTAGTGTAACTAAGGAAGTGAATTTAAAATTTTATTTTAGTAAATTTAGATAGCCACATGTGGCTAGTGGCTACCTTACTGGACAGCACATTTCTGGACTATAAGTATGTGAGTTTTTTTATAGGTGTCACTTTTTCTTCTTTTTTTTTTAAGATAGGCTTCAGGATGGAGTGCAGTGGTGCAATCATGGCTCACTGAAGCCTCCACTTCCCGGGCTCAGGTGGTCCTCCCACTTCAGCTTCCCAAGTAGCTGGGACTACAGGCACGCCACCACGCCTGGCTAATTAGTTTTTATTATTTTGGGGGGGACGGAGTTTCGCTCTTGTTGCCTGGGCTGGAGTGCAATGGCACGATCTCGGCCCAGCGCAACCTCCGCCTCCCGGGTTCAAGTGATTCTCCTGCCTCAGCCTCCCGAGTAGCTGGGATTACAGGCACGCACCACCACGCCTGGCTAATTTTGTGTTTTTAGTAGAGACAGGGTTTCTCTACGTTGGTCAGGCTGGTCTTGAACTCCCGACCTCAGGTGATGCCCCCTGAGGTTATAGACGTGAGCCACCGCACCTGGCCTTGTTATTACTAAAGAGACCTAGTCTCTTTAAATAATATGTTGCCCAGCCTGGTCTCGAACTCCTAAGCTCAAACAATCCTCCCACCTCAGCCTCCCATAGTGCTGGGATTAGAGGCATGAGCCACTGCGCCTGGCAGTGTCAACTGTTGTGGATGTAGAAACATTTTAGAGGCTGTCTGCTATAAAATTACAATTTGTCTATGCCCAGGGAGGGTTTGGGTTCTCCTGACTCCCAGCTAAATAACCAGTGCTTTCGAGCAGGGCAGCATCTACGAAGAGTGAGAGCTGATATGATTAATACAGTAAGTAGAGGGTGGAAATTTGTACTCTGCTTAGCTTCTGATGTCTGCCTTTCCAAAAATATTCTCCTTAACTGCTTGGGCAATGACTGCTCCTTAGATTAATCAGACTTTTATGCGTCCCTCAGAATGAATAGTTGCATCTTCCATTTGTATCACTGCCTCTGGTTAACAAATTAGCAACAGCTTTGATCTGTCAGAATTGGGGAACAGCGGTCAACAAGGCTCCCAGTCTACAGAAGTTTGATTTCAGGGTGCCATCGGGTCTTGTGGCTCACAGAGATTCGGAAGGCCTGCTTGCCTGTGCCTCTAATTCCAAATTATATGCCATTGATGGCTATAAAAATGCAACTCCCCTGAGATAAGTAAATCTTTAAGCTACTGTCCTTTGGCAGATTTGAGAGGGACACTGGACACCAGGTTTCTGGGAGAAAAGATATCTTAAAAACTAGCAAGATAGAAGTCTCAGAAGTCTCAGAACACATTTCTTCTACTACAGAAGTTTGCCTAAGGCTTGTGCTATTTCATAAGATGTAAAGTAGCACCTTATCTAGATATCATAAGGATTAGCTAGATGTTATTAAATGTAAAATACTTTGAACTTCTACTTTCCGAGTTTTCACAGTTCTCATAAAATGTACTTTCCAAGTAATAAAGAATTGTCACATTACAGATAAGAAAAAGAAAAAAAAGCAAAAAGAGAAAAAGCATTGCTTACCACCATTTTATTACTTAACAAAACAACAATTAGCATCTGGATTTCTTTCTGGTCTTGATTGTATGCAAGATTTTTTACTATTGTTAACACAATTACAATCAAAGAATGCATACAGTTCTGTAACCTGACATCAAGCTTTTTGAGCCAGGCATTATAAAAGGGAACATTACAACATGTCTAGGATAATTAGGTAATTTCAAATCTGTCTCTGAAATGTTTTGCCCTTAATTCAACCCTTGGGCAGTAGCAATGATGCAGTGATGAGAATTTCAAGATAAACAACATCCTTGTAAAATGCACATCTGTCTGTTTTAACATTTGTTCTTGCAGATCTTCATGTCCCTCTCTGTGAGACTTTTGCATGATGTGAATTGGGTGGTACAGGAAAATCATGTACTTGCTCATACCTGACCGCAGTGAAACTAAATGTCAAAGGCTCAGTGGGAAAAGAAAAGGAAGGGAGGCACCAGGTGTGTTATATACCTTAACACATTTAATCTTTTGTTGTTTTTGTTTTGTTTTTTTGAGACAGAGTCTCACTCTGTAGCCCAAGTTGGAGTGCTGTGGTGCGAGTAGCTAGGACCACAGGCGTGCGCCACCAAGCCCAGCTAATTTTTTGTATTTTAGTAGAGACAGGGTTTCACCATGTTGCCCAGGGTGGTCTCAAACTCCTGAGCTCAGGCCGGGCGCGGTGGCTTACGCCTGTAATCCCAGCACTTTGGGAGGCCGAGGCGGGCGGATCACGAGGTCAGGATATTGAGACCATCCTGGCTAACATGAAACCCCGTCTCTACTAAAAATACAAAAAAAAAAAAAAAAAAAGCCGGGCGTGGTGGCGGGCGCCTGTAGTCCCAGCTATTCAGGAGGCTGAGGTAGGAGAATGGCGTTAACCCGGGAGGCGGAGCTTGCAGTGAGCAGACATCGCGCCACTGCACTCCAGCCTGGGCGACAGAGCAAGACTCCGTCTCAATAACAAAAAAACAAAAAAACAAACAAACTCCTGAGCTCAGGCGATTCACCCGCCTTGGACTCCCAAAGTGCTGGGATTACAGGCGTAAGCCACCACACCCGGCTCATTTAATCTTCATCAACCCAGTCAGGTAGGTATTACCAACCACACTTTAGACATAAGTATTAAGAAACTGCCCAAGGTTGCATTATTATTAAATACCAGAACAGGGATTAGTGCTCAGATCTTTTCAGTACACCAGGCAGGTAAACAAGAAAGCATTTAGCTGTAGAGAGCCAGTAATGTCAACAATCCCTACTTCTTCCTCAGTTATTTGCTCTATAATTTTTTTTTTTTTTTTTTTTTTGAGACGGAGTTTTCACTCTTGTCGCCCAAGCCGGAGTGCAATGGCGCGATCTCGGCTCACTGCAACCTCCAACTCCCGGGTTCAAGCGATTCTCCTGCCTCAGCCTCCCTAGTAGCCGGGATTACAGGCATGAGCCACTGTGCCCAGCCTGCTCTGTAAATCTTAATTTTAAAATGGGTGTTTTGGTGGGGCGAGGTGGCTCGCGCCTGTAATCCTAGCACTCTGGGAGGCTGAAGCAGGTGGATCACTTGAGGTCAGGAGATGGCGACCAGCCTGACCCAACGTGGTGAAATCCTGTCTCTACTAAAGATAACAAAAATTAGCTGCGTGTGGTGGTGTGCACCTGTAATCCCAGCTACTCGGGAAGTTGAGGCAGGAGAATTGCTTGAACCAGGGAGGCAGAGGTTTCAGTGAACCGAGATCACACCACTCCAACTCCAGCCTGGGTGACACAGTGAGACTGCATCTCAAAAAATAAATAAATGGCTGGTCGCGGTGGCTCAACGCCTGTAATCCCAGCACTTTGGGAGGCCGAGGCGGGTGGATCACCTGAGGTCAGGAGTTCGAGACCAGCCTGACCAACAAGGTGAAACCCCATCTCTACTAAAAATATAAAAATTAGCTGGGCGTGGTGGCAGACGCCTGTAGTCCCAGCTACTCAGAAGGCTGAGACAGGAGAATTGCTTGAATCTGGGAGGCATAGGTTACAGTGAGCCGAGATTGTGCCACTGCACTCCAGCCTGGGCGAGGGAGCAAGACTCCGTCTCAAAAAAAATAAAAATAAAATGAGTGTTTAAAACGATTTTGTTTACAACTGGAATGTATTTGAAGAAAAGAAAATTTTAAAGAGACCTTTTTAAAAAGGGTAAACGAACTATTCTTCCCTCAGGAGTCAGTTATCTCTGGTAGTAAGTATACCAGAAATGGTAAGAGACCTACCTTTAAAGACAAACAAGCTAATGAATGATGCTTTGCGTAAACTCATGGAACAAAGAAGAAAACCTGGTCTTACTGAAGGGGAGTAAATTTCCAAACCAGCCCAAAAAACCTGGAGACTTCTCCTCTAGTTATAAACTACTACATGTGTCATAACCAAACTACTGAATATGCAAATGAAGGTGTGCTGAATATGCTAAGAAACAGAATGTGAATGGAAAGGTAGTGGAGGTTCCCAGATTGATTAAAAGGCAACATCTAACCTACAGTCTTGCTCATCTGCTCTTTGCTTTGCCAAATAGTAGCAAATCTGTTACAGGAAGTCAGAAGACTCAAATTAATTCATCACCAGACCCAAGATGTACACATCGTTGTAAACAAATCCTTGATGCAGTGTCTCCAGAGCCCTGGAGCAGTGTCTGGCCACATCCTGGATGCTAAATAGGGGTATCAACTTTCATCAGAGGGCCTCTAAGCTTCTGGTCCCTACATCCACCCCATCTTGCCACATGTGCTAGAAATCTGTAGCTTGTCTTCCCCCCACCCCTCAACACACACTCCTAGTTTCCATGGAGACGGAACAGTTTACTCTTTTCCCCCAATTGTAAGCCATGGTTATTTTTAACTGGAAAACTCTGAGCCAGGTCACAGCTGGGATCTGGATGATGCAATGACGTCTATAGTCACCCTTCTCTCCCACAAACGCCTTCTTTTGCACAGTCGCTGGGGGTGGGTGGAGGCACCCCTGGGAGACTTTGCTCTCAAAAGCATTTCACTTTGCATCTTCCATTTGTATCATTGGAAGTTGAAATTAAATGAAATTAAAACCTATGCCCATCTTAGATCTGACAAGTGTCCTGAATCTGAAGCTATGCACGCCCAGAACAAGGCCAAGATTTTCTTGTTGGGGTTGACAGCCAGGTGAGGTTGACATTCCTATCACCTGTCTGTGGCTAGAGCTTAAATGTTTCTGCCTCCACGGGAGTGGCTTTATCAGCTGCCGTTTGCCCTTAAAAAGGCTAAAAAGAGGTTCCTACTAGGGATATTGTGTGGAAAAGCTGTTACCCCACCTCTCCAAAGCAAATAACCTGATCTCAGGGTCGGAATCCTGCTGTCTCGTCTGCTACTAAAAGTTCGAATCAGTCCATCCATCTCAGCTAGAGTCTTCAAGGCATTTCTGAACTTTTTGCTCTTTTTTCAATAATTTTTGGGAAAAGCTATTAAATTACCCCAAAAATTGGACAACTTCCTAAAGATTAGAAACTGAAATAAGATTAGAAACTGAAATAAAAACATCAGTTTTCTTATAGGGGGACATCAATTGGGCAAATGCACTATTCTCTCCCTCGGTCCAGGAGCTAGTTATCTCTGGTAGTAACTGTTATCAGAAATGATTAAGAGCCCACAGCCCAAATTCCTTTTTTTTTTTTTTTTTAAAGACAGAGTCTTACTCTGTCGCCCAGGCTGTAGTGCAGTGGCACCATCTTGGCTCACTGCAACCTCTACCTCCTGGGTTCAAGCGATTCTCCTGCCTCAGCCGCCTCAGCCTCCCAAGTAGCTGGGATTACAGGCATGCACCACCACGCCCGCCTAATTTCTGTATTTTTAGTAGAGACGGGGTTTCAACATGTTGGCAAGGTTGGTCTCGAACTCCTGACCTCAAGTGATCTGCCCACCTCAGCCTCTCAAAGTGCTGGGATTACAGGTGTGAGTCACCACGCCTGCCCTCCGTTGATTTTTAACTTCTTAATATGTTTTTCTGTTTTAAAGGAATTCCCTAAATGATGATAATGAAAGGTGAGGGGCGAGGGAAGGATCCAAATCAATAGTTATATATTGTTCAATAGGAAGAAAGTCTTACGTCATTGCGAACAATTTCAGAAATGGAGAGTATACTCGGCAGCTAGCTTTCCAACAAGAGGAGAGATATGTTAGAAGTGTCATGAGTTGGCACTTGGCTGTCAGTTCACTGAATAAGGGTGATTTGATGGCAGCATTTCAGCATTTCTGCTTAAGAAAGTGCTGGTTTCTTAAAACAACTGTGAGACCTTCTCCTTTCCACATTTCCTAAGATGCTGATTCTGTTCAACACAACTCTGGACCAAGGCAGGATTATTATAAGCTACCTGGAAGCTTTTTGCCACCCACAGCCTCAGGGGAGACCAGACCAAGATGAAAAAAGTGTTGCTTGGTTAAGAAGAGGGGGTTAATTCAACCAAATGATTAGTTTGGTGCCACAAAAATCCATTCTGGTGCTCTAACGTAGAAAATAGGTGCATCAGACTCAATTATCCAGACCAAGTCTGGGCTGGCAAAAGTTAACTACAGGGTTTTCCAAGACAAGGGTAAGTACAGTGACCTTCAGGGCTACATCTATGAAATAAATTTTTTGTAGTTTTCAGGGGTTGGAACCTTTTAGTGGTTAACTTCCTGTGCTATCTCCATTTCCTTATTCCTACTGTCAACAGGGAAGGGGGCCTAGGACACAATGCATAACAAGCTACTCAAGTGACAAAGGAATTGTGATGGCAGATGCACGACATTCACCTTTCCCTTAAATAATGTCTCTGATTTGTAGCTTAGTCAATCAAATCAAAGGGCAGTTTGATTGCAGTACACCTTAACTGCTGGAAGCCAAGGCAACAAACAACAGAAAAAGAACTCCCTGCCATTAGACAAAGAAACTGGTTTTCCATACCTCTCAGCAACTGTTCATTTTTCCCTCCTCAAACACAGCACACTAACACGTCAGTTCTGATGCACACTTCAAGGACTGGCTACTTAGGTTCCAAATTCCCAAGTTAAAAGCTCCTCACTTTTTTTTTTTTTTGACAGTCTTGTTCTGTTGCCCAGGCTGGAGTGCAGTGGCGCAATCTCGGGTCACTGCAACCTCCACCTCCTGGGTTCCAGTGATTCTACTGTCTCAGCCTCCCTGAGGCTGGGATTATAGGCGTGAACCAGCACGCCTGGGTAATTTTTATATGTTTAGTAGAGACGGGGATTCGCTATGTTGGCCAGGCTGGTCTTGAGCTTCTGATTTCAAGTGATCCGCCCACCTCATCCTTCCAAAATGCTGGGATTACAGGCATGAGCCACTGGCCTAAAAACTCTTCACTATTGTTCTCACTCCCAAATCAAGTGCCTATGTCAGCAGGACTATTACTATTCAGGCTGCTGTGACCCTGCTCTTGCTCTGTTTCACTTACATTTGGCTCAAAAGGACTAGGTATCGTCTTTTTTTTTTTTTTTGGTAGAGACAGGGTCTTGCCCTGTCACTCAGGCTACATTACAATGGCACAAATCATGGCTTACTGCAGCCTTGACTACCCAGGCCCAAGCAATCCTCCTGCCTTAGCCTTCCAAGTAGCTAGGAGAAAAAGCGTGAGCCACCACACCCAGCATTCTTTTTTTTTTAATGTAGAGATGGGGGTCTTGCTGTGTTGTCCAGCCTGGTCTCAAACTCCTGGCTTCAAGTGACTCTCCCACTTCAGCCACAAAAAGTGCTAGGATTACAGGCATGAGCCACTGCACCCAGCCAGTGTCTGATTAAAAAGAATTCTTTTAGCTTGGCCAACTCTTCTATGCAAGGCCACAGACATGGCAGTGTCCTCGTGTTCCAAAGATGGTCCCTTCTGGCAGATGTGGGAAAGGTTAGCTGCATTTGGCTAAGCACGTTGGAAAGGAAAGCAAAGCTTCCAGATCAGCAGCACCTCTTGAATCAAACTTTTATTTCAATATAATTTTTAGAAATTCAAACAAAAAGCTAGGTGCATATAAGATACAGAAAACCCTTTTGTGTTGTCAAGAATAATGCAATGTACATTTAGAAGGTGTCCACAAAGATATCCTTAAAAATGAATGGGCGAAGTTCCCCAGAATGCTGTTGAGAATACAGTACCACTGTTTGCTTAAAGATGGGTGAAAAAGTGTTTTTTGGAGGGATTCTAGGCATAAAGCTTTGCAAAGCTGGGTTTACCAAAGAAATAATAAAACTCATACATATTTATGAGTGAGTTTTCCCAAACTGCTGTGTAATGTGGCCTCTGATTCTTCAATGCAGATTTTTTCTCTTGTTACATACCTACATATTTCCTAAAGCTAGAATGTCCTACAAACTGGGATTTTGTTGTTATTGATGAATGCCATTGGTTTTCTCCCTTTTCCAGCTAACCCCCAGTCATTTCAATGACTGGTTGCTTAACTGAGTTCAGATTTTTAAAAGCGGGGGAAGTGAAGACGGTTAACAATAAAAGGAAAGAAACTGGGACCCAGGAAAAGATAAACTGAATATTTAGTATTAATTGGTATCGCAAGAGACAGAGTCTTGGTCTTTGAGCACAGAGAAGAGTCATTACATGGAAAGAGATTTGTTCTTTATTTCCCACCACTTAGAGAGAAAAATATGCATAAAACTCCAGCAGAAACTTTTAACGTTAAATTGCAATAAAAATTTCAGTAAACAGGTTTTATTCATGTCATTAAGTTTCAGGGTAAACTCTCTCTTCTGAGACAATCTGGAGAGACCTCTATCAGTGTAGTTGGTTTATGGCCAACCCTGTCTAGAAGCAAAGAGGAAGGATGCAATGCTACGTATCTTTGCAAAGTTCGGTATACCAAAGAAATAATAATCCTACTTTCAAAAATCCAGTCATTTAAAACTTCAGTCTTATTTTTCTATTACTATTTTCAACCATGCCATTTTCCTCATGAAATCTGATTTGCCATCAGCTTTTCAGAGTTCAACTGTTTCCAAGGTTTCTGTCAGACTGTCCTACCATCCTCCCACTCCTAACTACCCAGCTGCCCCTTGTGTTCTAGCCAAATAAATCTCTTGGCACCATTGTCCTTACACCCACTGCTGCCTCCACATCATTCTCCACCCCCTGTGTGTGGAATTGTCTCCCACTTCCATCTGCCATTTTTCTCTCTCTTCTCTATCATATAATTGCCCCAAAAGCCCACCTCTCCCAGGAAGCCTTCCTTAATCAAGGTTAAGGACTCTTCAGACTACAACAGACGTCACCTAACACTGATGGCTAATGCATCCCAACTTTTCAGAACAGGAGTTTCCTTTCAGGGATAAGAGGCAATCACTTCACAACCAACTAGGGGTGATGGTAGTGGTAAAATGTTTTCTACGAGATATGATTTTACAAGGAAAACAGGTCATTTCCACGTCATTCTTTTTAAAAAATCGAAGTCCTCTATTTGAATTCCCTCAGGTCCTTAGAGTGTCTTTTTCATTTCTTATCCCTTAGATGAATCCCTTCCCAGCTGCATGCATATTTACAACAGTCAAAAGTTTGAGCAGATGCTTCCAACAAAGCACACAGTATTTTAATTAGATATTTGAATGTAGAAGGAATTAAACAGTCAACTATTCGATGTGATTTGTGTCGATTCTGACGAAGTTATTTCTATATACAACTTTGTTTCTAACAGAAACAAGATAACCATAAGTTTGGCTTCTTATTCTGCAGAAACGTTTGAGGACCAAGTTTTACATGTGGTGGGGCTACTTACCCTCATATCTAGTGAGTCCCATATATAAAGCTGCTTTACTTCTGTTTTAAAAGCAGCTTTTATTGCAGGCTAGCCTTTCACCATTGAGAAATAGGGTTCAAGTCACAATCCAAGCAAAGCTGAGGTTTGTTGCATCATCTCCATCCTCAGGGGCTTGGTATCCTGGGAAACCCAGGGCAAAAACAGGGTGAGTTCAGGACACATGTGACAGCAGACAGTGCAGCGTGATGGGGCAGGCATCCAACACCTTAAGTGTGTTTCAGTTACCAGAATATTTGACACACCCACAAATTAAATAGCAAAACATTTTAATTAATTCTAAAAATAACAGAGACATGTTATATCCGGTGCCACCTCCTCAAAAGACTACTGCAGATTAGACAGGCAGACTGCAAAGTACAAAGCCAGACATTAAAGGTTTTTTTTTGTTTTTTTTTTTTTGAGACAGAGTCTCACTTTGTTGCCCAGGCTGGAGCACAGTGGCGTGATCTCAGCTCGCTGCAACCTCTGCCTCCTGTGTTCAAGCAATTCTCCTGCCTCAGCCTCCTGAGTAGCTGGGATTACAGGCGTGTGCCACCACACTCAGCTAATTTTTGTATTTTTAGTAGAGACTGTTTCACCATGTTGGTCAGGCTGGTCTTGAACTCCTGACTTCGTGATCCGCCCACCTTAGCCTCCCAAAGTGCTGGGATTACAGGTGAGCCACCTTGCCCGGCCGAAGTTAAAGATGCAGTTTGGGATAAGACCATCATAAGGATATTTTCTTCCCCTTTACTCATAAAAGTTGTCAGCTTAGGCCGGGCGCGATGGCTCACGCCTGTAATCCTAGTACTTTGGGAGGCTGAGGCGGGCAGATCACCTGAGGTCAGGAGTTTGTGACCAGCCTGGCCAACATGACAAAACCCTGTCTCTACTAAAAATACAAAATTAGCCAGGTGTGGTGGTGGACACCTGTAGTCCCAGCTATTCGGGAGGCTGAGGCAGGAGAATCACTTGAACCTGGGAGGCAGAGGTTGTAGTGAGCTGAGATCTTGCCATCACACTCCAGCCTGGAGGACAAGAGCAAACTCTGTCTCAAAAAAAAAAAAAAAAAGTTGTCAGCTTAAAAAATCCTTCAACGAGAGCTTTCTTATGCTCTAAAACCTTTCTCTTTATTTTAAATCTGTCTGCAGTGTTTGAAGGCAAGACAGATAATCAGCAAACTTACCTCGCAATATAAGGATCTGAGCTGGACTCCTGGGATTACAGACTGTGGTTTAGTTCCATTTCTACCAGCACTGTGATGTGAGGTACTATGGTTCTTTTAGTTACAAGAGGTGTTAGGAATGAATGCCCACTCACATTTAATAATAGCTTATGTAGCACACAACTCTGCAGCATAATACCAACAACAGGAGTGTTTTAAAGCAGGATGGAGAAGAAAGTAGACAATACAACTTAAGGTTTCCTTTGTCCTTTCCCCTGTTTTCACCATGAGAATTCAGCTGAAAAACAACTCTCCAGAATGCCCACCCATATTGTCCTTTGACCCACCACATTCCAAACTTCTGACTTCTGATCCCAAGCTCTTGGAGCCTTAGCCTTTAGTGATGTATCCTTCTCTGATGAGGAAATCATAGATTTTCCGGGTTTTGTTCACATCTATCTTGATGAGTGCTCTTGCCTGCGCCAGTCTTAAGCCTCCTTGCTTGTTACATTCGTTCAATAGAGCAGATTTGTATTCTAAATAGGCTCCAGGGACCAACCTCACCATCTGACAGAGCTGCAAGACACGGCAAATTTAATAAACATTAACATCTGTCATTTTTGTAATTTAATCCAGCAGGTATAGCAAAAAATTTTTTAAAGTGACATCAACCTCCAACTATTTATAGGAGCTGATGGGTGGCTGGACTACATTCCATTTAGTCTCTTCCTCTCTGGAGAGAACACTCCCTAAGGACACACACCCAGGAAGAGAAAGCCAGGGTGTGATACTAGAAGAGCCTTTAGCACATGCCAGCTGGCTCAGGGGCCTGGGTTTGTTAGGGATTTACAACTATGTGCTCCTGAGGAGCAGCCTGGCTCTTTCAGGAGTCAAACACTAAATGCCCAGGTACAGTCCCAGCACCAATGGTCAGGGAAGAGCCATGGGGCACAGTGGGGGCAGAATGCACAGACACTTGGATTCTCAAGGCTGCATCACATTGTTTTTAGTGTCAGCATAAAGCAGTAGTCCCTGCTTTGGGGATTACATTTCCTACTTCAAAGGGAAAGGAGATAAAGAGACCTTGCTAAGAGGAGGTAACTTTAACTGCTAAAAATCTAGAAAATTGCCACATTATCCAGCAATGAGGAGTCTGAGGTCACCATTATGTGGGTAAGGATAAAAAAAGCTTGAAATTCCAGGCCATTCAATATTTGAATCAGGCTGACCTATGACCTCCTTCAGCAATACATAGATACTACATACATTTCCTTCCACTCCCAAACTAATCCTTACTGTTCCTGGTGGATAAAATAAGACTAACACTATCCCCTACACTATGACCCTTCCTTATTATCTGAACTGAACTAATGATATATGGTGGGAGATGGGGAACTGACCTTGGGAATTATAAAAGGAGCATATGAGGAGCAAAAGAGGAACTCCTCCAAAAGAGGAACAGACTTCAGAGATGTGACAAAGTTTTCTGAAAACTCCTGATGATGACTCTTATGAGGCTGGCTTTAAATTTTAGAAACAGATAAAATCAATATGAAGACATGTCTGATGATTGCAACTGGAAAAAGTAGGTCACATAATTTTTTAATCAGGCCGGTGCAGTGGCTCACATCTCTAATCCCAGCACTTTTGGAGCTGGTGTGAGTGGATCACCTGAAGTCAGGAGTTCGAGACCAGCCTGGCTAACAAGGTGAAACCCCGTCTCTACTAAAAATACAAAAATTAGCCGGGTGTGGTGGTATGCGCCTGTAGTCCCAGCTACTCAGGGGCAGGAGAATCGTTTGAACCCGGGAGGCAGAGGTTGCAGTGAGCCGAGATCACACCACTGCACTCCAGCCTGGGTAACAGAGCGAGACTTTCAAATAAAAAATAAAAAATAGGCCGGGTGAGGTGGCTCACGCCTGTAATCCCAACACTTTGGGAGGCCAAGGTGGATGGATCATGAGGTCAGGAGTTCAAGATCAGCCTGGCCAACATGGTGAAACCCCATCTCTACTAAAAACTACAAAAATTAGCCAGGCATGGTGGCAAGCGCCTATAGTCCAGTCCCAGCTACTCGGGGAGCTGAGGCAGAAGAATCGCTTGAACCTGGGAGGTGGAGGCTGCAGTGAGCTGTGATCGCATCACTGCACTCCAGCCTGGGTGACAGGGCAAGTCTCCGTCTCAAAAAATAAATAAATAAAAAAAAATAAAAATAAAAAATAATTTTTAAAATCAAAATTAACATGACTATATATGATGTAGAAATCTTTTCCTTAGGTTTATAAACATGCTCTGGAGACAATTTACAAAAATGTTTTAAATAATGATTATGTTGTTGGAATAAGTATAGAACTTTTCAAGGCAGCCATTCTAATAGGAAATATCTATTTTCATGTAGAAGTTACTTTAGGTTTACAAAAAATTAATTTTATTTACATAAAGCACTCAGTAGAGTAGCACATGGTAAGTGCTCAATAGATGATAGTTGCTATTATTATGTCATCTACATACCACATGTGCTTTCCCCAAAAGAGGAATGGTGGTAGGGTGACAAGGTAAGCAATTCTCTGAAATCTGCCACAAACGGCTCTTTAGCTCTTGGACTTCTAGGATTCACCAGAGCTGTGCATATATGTTAGATGAATGAAACAAAAGGGGTTTGACCCTGTAATGGATTTTTAATGACAACTCAATGAATAATCAGCCCCTATTCTCTTTCTCCCAGCCCCCTCCCTTTTGTTACCTCCTTTTCTTTTTCATTCAGCTTCTCTGTGCCAGGGAGGCCAGTGAGGTTCAAGGGTGGTGCACTCCGTCTACCTATAGACAGAGAAAGGAAACAGCATAGATTTAATAGGAGTGACAATTTCTCAGGTGTAAAGTATTAAAAAGTTCAGTGCAGCCAGGCCAGTTAGGTATAGGATCACTATATCCAGCTTAGGAAATCCTGTCCCATTCCCTCAGGCCTGTTTAGCTAACAACATGGGCACCCGAACATTCACTTGAAAATGAATTACATATTCAGGGCACATGAATTACCCATAATCTGCTAAAATACACATACAGTCACACATACCTTAGCATCAAATGTAACTACTCACCACAGTAGTTATCTCTTATTTATTATTATTATTTTTGAGACAGGGTCTCACTCTGTTGCTCAGGCTGGAGTGCAGTGTTGCGATCATAGCTCACTATAGCCTCAATCTCCCTGGCTCAAGTGATCCTCCTGCCTCAGCCTCCCAACTACCTGGGAAGACAGGCATATGCCACCATGCCCGACTATCACCTATTTCTTCCTAACCATGTAGGAGACTCTAAAATCTGATGCCCAGATGTCATCCAGTTAAGAAACATCACACAATGCCTGCTTTGACAGCTGACGAATGGAAATAATAACTGCAGAACAGACATTCCCTAATCCTTGCCACTCGGCCAGCAGTACAAGGCAAACATGGTAATTAACCAAGTACTGTGTGCCTTCAGATCAAAGAAAGACTGTTAGGCCAGCAAAAGGCCCTTCTTTTTTATTATGTGAGGGAATATCTGTTCCTTCCAAAGTAGCCCTGTTTACCTGCAAGATCCACAAACAGGAACAATGAGCCATTATATGGCAAAGCAGGGGCTGAGGTCAACTCACACACCTGAGAAAGAAACCCAAGTAGGAGGTCACTGGCCAGGAGGGGAAGCTTGATGAGCAAAACTTTTTTGGTTTTGTTTTGAATGTGTATTAGGGATTGGTATTCAGCTGGGAATGGATAGACTGAGTTAAGCAAAGAAAATGTCGAAGTTTTATAGAGGTTGCTTTTCAAGTGGGGCAGAGAAAGGGGAGGGACTGTTACAAGCTCCACTGGTGGAAAACAGGCTTCTCTGTTACATCAACAAAAGGCATAAGGGATTATTCCAAATCCTCAAAAAGGGAGATAAAACCATTTGGTTCCTCACAAAAGTCACCAGAGGCTAGGCTACAATCAAAGATGCCAGGCTTCCAATACATAGTTGCCTTAAGAACTCAGAACATAAAGGAGAGCAAGAGATCTCCTCAGCCTAAATATAAGGGGTGAGAAAGGCTAACACAGGCTAGGAACAAACAATGAACAAGAGGCCGGGTGCAGAGGCTCACACCTGTAATCTGAGCACTTTGGGAGGCTGAAGCAGGAGGATCACTTGAGCCCAGGAGTTCAAGACCAACCTGGGTGATATAGTAAGACCTTGTTTCTACCAAAAAAAAAAAAAAAAAAAAAAAAAATTTCTCCAGGTTTGGTGGCATTCACCTGTAGTCCCAGCCACTCAGGAGCTGAACTGGGAGGATCACTTAGGCCTGGGAGTTTGAGGCTACAGTGAGCCATGATCACATACTGCACTCCAGCCTGGATAGTAGAGGGAGACCCTGTCTCACAAAAAAAGAAAAAAGAAACAATGAACAAGTCAGTGCAGATAGTACAGAGAACAAAAATATATGATCATGTTAGCCAGTTCCTTCATTTAATTTAATTAATTAATTTATTTATTTTTTGAGATGGTCTTAACTCTGTCACCCAGGCTGGAGTGCAATGGTGCGATCTTGGCTCACTGAAACCTCTGCCTCCCGGATTCAAGCGATTCTCCTGCCTCAGCCTCTGGAGTAGCTGGGATTACAGATGTGTACCACCACACCCAGCTAATTTTTATATTTTTTTTTCAGGAGAGATGGGTTTTCATCACGTTGGTCAGGCTGGTCTCAAACTCCCAACCTCAGGTGATCTGCCCGCCTCAGCCTCTCAAAGTGCTGGGATTACAGGCATGAGCCACTGCACCTGACCCAGTTCCTTCATTTTAATTAGCCAGTATTAACTTAGTTGTATTTAGATTTTGGGGGTAGAGTGTTGGCAGTAAGAAACTTACAAAATAAAACTTTGATTTCACTGTCTTAGCCACTCCCCTAAAACAATACCTTTTTCTTCTTTCCATATTAAGAAAAAATCACTTGAAATAAAGGAATAAATGGGGGAAAAAAAAAAGTCCCTTCAGTGACCAGGCGCAGTGGCTCATGCCTGTAATCCCAGCACTTTGGGAGGCCGAGGCAGGCAGATCACCTGAGGTCAGCAGTTCGAGACCAGCCTGGCCAGCATGGCGAAACCCCATCTCTACTGAAAGTACAAAAATCAGCTGGGCATAGTGGCAGGCGCCTCTAATCCCAGCTACTTGGGAGGCTGAGGCAGGAGAATCGCTTGAATCCGGAAGGCAGAGGTTGCAGTGAGCCAAGATCGCGTCACTGCACTCCAGCCTGGGTGACAGAGCGAGACTCCATCTCAAAAAAAAAAAAGTCCCTAACGCGGACAAATCTGAGACCCAGATTCTGAATCTACTGAGACATACCTCCCCCAATTCCCAGTCATCGATTACCAATCACCAAGGATCATCAGATAGCGTATGGCTTAATCTTGCTCTGTATACTAATTTCAAAATAGGACATACTCAAAGAGGTAAAACGAAGAAATAGAAATACTTTAGGTCTCTAACTCAGAAATCCTTATGTTTCTGGCAAGTAACATGCTTCTTTGCTCATGTTATATAAAAATAAAAAGTTTAGGCTGGGCACGGTGGCTCACGCCTGTAATTCCAGCACTTTGGGAGGCCGTGGTGGGTGCCTCACTTGAGGTCAGGAGTTCGAGACCAGCCTGGCCAACATGGCAAAACCGTCCCTACCAAAAATACAAAAATTAGCCAGGCGTGGTGGTGCATGCCTGTAATCCCAGCTGTTCGGGAGGCTGGGGCAGAAGAATCACTTGAACCCGGGAAGCGGAGGTTGCAGTGAGCCGAGATCACACCACTGCACTCCAGCCTGGGCGACAGACCGAGACTCTGTCTCAAAAAATAAGTAAATAAATAAAAAATAATAAAATAAAAAGCTTTTAATTTATCTCCTGTGAAATAAGTCTCAAAATTAGTGGTAGACACAACTGCAGTAAACTAACTGCTCATGAACATTGGTAAAATAAAGAAGTTACCTCTCTGAAGTTCTTTTTTCCCCTGTCTCTATACTGTCTATACTCTATACTGTCACTCTGAGGATAGTCTCTGTCTGGCCATGAAGGTTCTGAAAACATACTGATGTTTATATATTGGGCTAACACTTGATTACTGTTACTCTGCCTAAGCACCCTGACACCACAGAGGAAGGAAGATTGCTGGGTCACTATAACCCCTACGATGCAAACTTCACAATTAAGACTTGTTCTGGCCTGAGAAATAATTACCTGAATTCGAAGCCATTGGAATGGAAGGACTCAGGCCGGAATCACTACAACGAAGAAGAGGAATTTAAACTTAGGTCATATCAAACAAGGTGATTTCCAAAAGCCCCGGTGAGACTGGGTGCCATTTATCAGGTAGGTCACCTTGAAGAAGTGTAATGAGATAGACTGAACTATGTTTTACAGATATCTCACTGTATTGAGCAGGAAAGAAAATCTGTTCTGAGGAAGAAAAATTCCTCAGATTTGTTAAGAAGAGCTTGTAATCTAGAACACCACTAACACCACTCAAGGGGAAGGGATACAAACATGATTCCCCAGTGAAAATCTAGGTATGAAGAGAGAGTTGAAGTCATGGGTAGAAGGCTGGGGGAAAATACACTCATTTTAAAAAATAGGATCAAAGTAGTAAAGTATGATTCTAGGAGGTCAGTTATTTCTCAAAACTGTCAGTATGGCACTGTTTCTGAGATGGACTGCTAAAATATTTCTGAATTCTTCCAGCTACTCAATTATTATTACTCTGCCATCTAGGGTGCCCAAAAATATATGTGAAGGCCAAGGCATCCCAGAAAGAATGCCTCCTTCACCCTGGAGTAATTACTCACATGTCAGCTTGCCGGCGGAGCCACTGCTGGCAAGCACTACTGTCCTGGATATACTGGAGAACTTCTGAGAGCATAGTGCGTTTAAGGCGCTCTTCCTCCCGTGTCTTCTTGAGGTGATCGTAGGTTCTGGCACCTGGGGGTATAGAAAACACAATGACCACAATGACAATGCAGCAGAACTGAAGGGCTTCCTAACTGACCAAGAAACCGGTTTTGGGTTTTGTTCTTAAAGTCTGTTTCCTTTGCAAAACTGCTTTCACAATTATTTCTCCAAGACCCAAGTAGATTTTCCCTAGTCTGAAATCCTTTTCTTAATACTAAGTATTAAATATTAAACATTTGTATTCCTTTTCTATCTGTAAGAAATAAGGGGAAAAAAACCAACAGAAAAGTACAAAGAAAGTAAGAATTGCTCATATTTCCACTCTCAAAAAGTAACCAACTTTTACTATAGTCATATTTGCTTCCTGTTTTTTCTATTTTTATAAATTTTTTCAAAGTCACACAAGTGCTATAAGCATATGCCTTTCCTTAAAAAACAATTAGAATTACAAAAAAAGAGTTCTCTTTGACATGTAGTACCTCTTCTCCATATTTCTTAGAGGCAGCCAATATCAGGAAACCAAAATTAGTTATCAGAGTCTCTATATGCATCTTGCTAAACAGAAGAGCTGCGTGGTGTTTTCTACATGTTAACAAAGGTTCACAGATTCCAAAATACTGCACCAGTGGGTTTCAAAATTCAAACTAGGTTCCACAGAGCCCCAGGATACCACAAGAGTATCTTAGAGGTTAATGTAAAGAGAAAGGGCACTGCCAGATACCGGCGGGTCCTGGGCTCTACACATAAATTGAACCATTAAAGTTCAACCAAAGTAATTCCACTTTTATCTTTTTTTGAGACGGAGTTTCGCTCTTGTTGCCCAGGCTTGAGTGCAATGGCGCGATCTCGGCTCACAGCAACCTCCACCTCCCAGGTTCAAGCCATTCTCCTGCCTCAGCCTCCGGAGTAGCTGGGATTACAGGCATGCGCCACCATGCCCAGCTAATTTTGTATTTTTAGTAGACACGGGGTTTCTCCATGTTGGTCAGGCTGGTCTTGAACTCTGGACCTCAAGTGATCCGCCCGCCTCGGCCTCCCAAAGTGCTGGGATTACAGGTGTGAGCCACCGTGCCCAGCCCACTTTTATCTTATTTGTAGATTGGGGCTCACACAAAATTTAATTTCAAAAATGGTTTCCACTGTTAAAGAGCCATTATACTAGGCTGAACTTACATCCATAAGGCTATGTTGCACCCACAGGGCTGTGTTAAGAAGCCAACTATTGCCGGGCGTGGTGGCTCACACCTGTAATCCCAGCGCTTTGGGAGGCTGAGGTGGGTGGATCACCTGAGGTCAGGAGTTCGAGATCAGCCTGACCAACATGGATAAACCCCATCTCTACTAAAAATACAAAAAAAAAAATTAGCCGGGTATGGTGGTGCATGACTGTAGTCCCAGCTACTCAGGAGGCTGAGGCAGGAGACTCGCTTGAACCTAGAAGGCAGAGGTTGTGGTGAACCAAGATGGCACCACTGAACTCCAGCCTGCGCAACAGAGCCAGACTCCGTCTCAAATAAAAAAAAAAAAGAAGCCAACTATTTCTTATAGATAGTAGGTGACAACTATCAATAATCACAAAAACTTCAAATAGGAAGAAGGAGGGAATGCTAAAGATCATTTCAACAATGACAGCAAAACAACAGAAACTGCCATTTATTGAGGAATTATTGTGTGCCAGATACTGTGCTATGCTTATATGCAGTATCTCTAATTAAATCTTTACACTAACTCTAAGAACCTTAGAAAATTAAAACTTGAATAGAGGCCAGGCACAGTTGCTCACACCTGTAATCCCAGCACTCTGAGAGGCCTAGGCGGGAGGACTGCTTGAGGCCAGGAGTTTGAGACCAGCCTGGGCAACATAGCAAGAGTCAGTCTCTAGGGAAAAAAAAAAAAGGAAAGAAAAATAAATTTGGATAGAATCACATCACAGAGCTGGCAAGCTGGAGAGCCAAAATTTATACTCAAGCTTTTTAAGTCTAGACCCAAGCTCTTAACTACTATAATACACTATCTCTTATGACCTGGTTCTAGTACTAACTAGCTCTGTAACCTCTTTATACCTTAATTTCTTCACTAAATGGAAGTAACGGTACTTTATAAGTTTGTCATGAGAATTCATTGACTTGATCCAAGTGAAATGGTTAGCATAGAGACTGGTACATGGTAAATATCTGATAGATGTTAGCTGCTAATAATATAATTATTGTCACTACCCCAAGTAACTGGGATGCAAGCACCTGGAGCCAGTTGAAGCTTCATTATTTTATAAAAATGCTAAGACCATGTATCATTAAATTTGAAAAGGGTGACACACCTAAAATATAAAATTCCTTTTTTTTTTTTTTGAAACAGAATCTCCCTCTGCCACCCAGGCTGGAGTACAGTGGCACCATCTTGGCTCACTACAACAACTGCTTCTCAGGTTCAAGCGATTCTTGTGCCTCAGCCTCCCGAGTAGTTGGGATTAAACGTGTGCATCACAACGCCTGGCTAGTTTTTTTATTTTTAGTAGAGGTAGGGTTTCACCATGTTGGTCAGGCTGGTCTCGAACTCCTGGACTGAAGTGACCCACCTGCCTTGGCCTCCCAAAGTGCTGGGATTACAGGTGTGAGCCACTGCACCCGGCCCAAGATTCCCTTTTTTTAAAGAGCCTCGGCAGAATCCTAAATCTAAAGCAGCACCTCTCTTTCCTTTGTCTCACAACTTTTGTAGTACCAAAGATAATCTATACAAAGGTATTTATAGGGATTAAATAGCCAAAACTTTACTGGAAAGGTTTAAAGCATTCTGGTAAAGGAAAGCTTGTTTTTTAAAAAAAAATTCACAACAATTCAGAGACTTCCTCTGTGTGTCTGGAAGATACTTGCCCTCAAGTACGGTATGTAGCTGAAGCATACTTACTACAAAAATTGGTAATGCCTGCTGTCCTGTATTCTTGGAGCCTCTTGATTTCCCTTCGGAGTTCAAATTCCACTGTTTTCCCCAAAAGGAATGAAGGAAAAAATTACAAAAACAAAAGCAACATTAGTGAGCACTTTTGCTATTGAGCATTTTCATTAATTCTGCCTTATAAGACTAGGGAAGTTCATTTGGAGAATCCTACTCGTTGGTAACTTCTCATTAGAAATTTTACCCAAGAGCTGAGGAAAACCTACTCCAGCTATCTTCCAGCTGCTGTCTCCAGATGCAGCAGCTGGAACTGTCTTCTAGAAAACTTAGTGAAATGGTTAAATTCATTTGTCTACAAAAGTAACAATTTTTTTTTTCTTTTTTTGAGACAGAGTCTCGCTCTGTCGCCCAGGCTGCAATGGCATGATCTCGGCTCACTGCAACCTCCACCTCCCGGGTTCAAGCAATTCCCCCTGCCTCAGCGTCCTGAGTAGCTGGGATTACAGGCATCTACCACCACACCCGGCTAATTTTTGTATTTTTAGTAGAGATGGGGTTCTGCCATGATGGCCAGGTTGGTCTCGAATTCCTGACCTCAGGTGATCCATCCGCCTCGGCCTTCCAAAGTAGCTGGCATTATAGGAATGAGCCACCGCACTGGGCAAAATATAATTTTTTTAACAACCAAGTTTCCCTGCTCTAACTATCTTCTATTAAAAGTTCTACAAATCATTCTAATTTGGCTGCTTTTGAAACAGAGAATGAAGGAAGAGCCTGGACAATCCATGGGGTGTAGTGTTTTGGAATGACACATAAACCAGGGGTGTGTCCCAAACTGGGACAGGAAGTAAAGGATCAGTCACCTGGTACAAACCACACAAAGAATGCTAACCAAACAAGGTGTTTGGTGAGGACAACCAACCTGGCTCAGATAAATGTCTGCAATGCTATGTAAGAAATATTTTCACGGTGAGAATAAGGGCCTTAGTAGACTACCTTCCCAGAACTAAACTTAGAAGCCACATACACAAATGTCATGATGAAAGGTACAGAACAAGCCAGAGTCCATATTATTTTAACAATCTAGGCCTTACTGCCATACCAACATATTTTGTTTTGAAACAGGGTCTCACTCTGTCGCTCAGGCTGGAGTGCAGTGGTGTGATCTCAGCTCACCGCAACCTCGGCTACCCGGGTTCAAGCAATCCTCCCACCTCAGCCTCCAAAGTAGCTGAGACTACAGGTGTGCACTACCATGCCTGGCTAACTTTTGTATTTTTGTAGAGATGGAGTTTTACTATGTTGCCCAGATTGGTCTCGAACTCCTCGACTCAAGCAATCCTCTTGCCTTGGCCTCCCAAAGTGCTGGGATTACAGGTGTGAGCCACCACGCCCGGCCTCATAACAACTTTTAATTTTTTATAGTGAAAAATCAAATGGTAACTATGTAGAGCTCTCACAGAAATACCACAGAAAGGCAAGAGATCGATGGAAGTACTATCTCCACAAGCTATCCATCTCTGTCCTCATTTTTAAAACTACTTTTAATACTAAAATATTTATGAACAAAATAAAATGATGTCTGGGATTTGCTTCAGAATAATCCAGTTGAGGGCAGGAGGGAAGAGTGAGTGGTAAAGATGAAACCAGACTGGCCATGTGTTGAAAACTGCTGAAGCTGGATGATGGATACACGGGAGTTCATCATATTATTATCTCTACTTCTATATATATTTGAAAGTTCCCATGATACAAAGTAGGGAGAAAAACTACTAAATTATTGTTTATCTGGGGCAATGGGGGAAGTCATTAGGGCTTTTTAACCTCTCTTCTGCCACCCCCATAGTCCCAAATTTGTCTCATGGTAATAAAGGGGAACAAAGAGAGAAATATCCATTTATTTATTTATAGAACTTCACATAAAACACACCATTATCTCTCCTATTTATATAAATATACACACACAAATACTGCTCAAGGCTCAAAAACCACCTACATGCATGGCTTTCAATGAATTTGTCATGTTCCACTGGCCCCACAATTCTTGCAAATCGCCTCATTGTTTCATACAGGTCCTGGACCTCCTTGGGATACCGCCGTTCCATTACTACAGAGAAAATAAAACATAAATGTGTCATGGGAAATGTAAGGATCCCTGAGTTTTCAGCATTTTTTTTTTTTTACAATTAGTAAAATGGAAGAACATTATTCATAACCTCATATGACTAACTTATCCATGACAGGAAGCAAACAGGAAAGCCAAGAATGCAAAACGCTAATCATAATGACAGCACCATAGCAACTATCCCACAGGGATGTTGTTAACACTGGAGATCATCTCCACCACTGAGCACTACTCATCTCCCACATCTACTGTCTTTTTTTTTTTTGAGATGGAGTCTCGCTCTGTCTCCCAGGCTGGAGTGCGTTGGGGTGATCTCGGCGCACTGCAACCTCCATCTCCTGGATTCAAGCAATTCTCCTACCTCAACCTCCCAAAGTAGCTGGGATTACAGGCGCCCGCCACTACACCCAGCTAATTTTTGAATTTTTAGTAGAGACGGAATTTCACCACATTGGCCAGGCTGGTCTTGAACTCTTGACCTCAGGTGATCCACCCGCCTCGGCCTCCCAAAGTGCTGGGATTACATGCATGAGCCACCGCGCCCAGCCACCTCACTGTCTTTTTTTTTTTTTTTGAGATGGAGTCTTGCTCTGTGGCCCAGGCTGGAGTGCAGTGGTGTGATCTCAGCTCACTGTAACCTCTGCCTCCCCAGGTTCAAGCAATTTTCCTGTCTCAGCCTCCCAAGTAGCTGGGATTACAGGCACACCGCCATGCTCGACTAATTTTTTGTATTTTAGTAGAGACGAGGTTTCACCATGTTGGCCAGGCTGGTCTTGAACTACTGAGCTCAGGCAATCTGCTCGCCTCGGCCTCCCAAAGTGCTAGGATTACAGGTGTGAGCCACCGCGCCCGGCCACCTCACTGTCTTTTAAACTACACAGGGGCAGGAACTGCTGGCAGTAATGGACGAGACAATTAAAGGCAGATCTTACATTCTTAGGAAGAATTATGGCCAAAATTTATGGTATTAACTCCCACAGGAAAACAAAGAAGCTACAGACAAAATAATCCATCCAGAAGATTTCCCATTAGCTGAGAAAAAGTGTGATTTCTTGCATGTCCCACCTACACATCCTCAAGCAAGGTAAGTATTTTTTTCATCCTTCATATGGGTCATTTTGCCTTTCTCCAAACTAAATTAACTACTACAACTTAATTTACTGCTAATGAAGTTTTATTTGACAACTGTCATGCAAATATCATGCAGAGACACCAGAGCAGCAACTCTGGGGATCACTACTGACCAAACAACTAATCCAAAGATGTATCTGCAAAGAAGATGGAGAGTAAAACTGACTAACAATAACTGGTAGATTGGAGCAGTCAGTAACTCTCGAACTGCTACTTGGGTCGTTTCAATCAGTAATTAGGTTAGTTCTATCTACTCTTGGACTAACGATACAGACTTTCATTTATGACAGCTATTTTTTTTTTTCCTAGCTTACCTTTTTATTTTTTTTGAGACGGAGTCTCGCTGTGTCGCCCAGGCTGGAGAGCAGTAGCACGATCTTGGCTCACTGCGACCTCCGCCTCCCGGGTTCAAGCGATTCTCCTGCCTCAGCCTCCTGAGTAGTTGGGACTACAGGCGCCTGCCACCACACCTGGCTAATTTTTTTTATTTTTTAGTAGAGATGGAGCTACTTGGGAGGCTGAGGTGGGAGAATCACCTGAGCCTGGGAGGCGGAGACTGCAGTGAGCTGAGCCACTGCACTCCAGCCTGGACAACTGGAGTGAGGCCCTGTCTCAAAAAATAAATAAATAATAAAGGACCTAAAATGTAACATACTTATGATGATGGCTATATTTTTAAAAAATATAGATTTTCTGTTGCCCAGGCTGGAGTGCAGTGACATGATTATAGCTCACTGCAGCCTTGAACTCCTGGGCTCAAGTGATCCGCTGCCTCAGCCTCCCAAGTAGCTGGGATTATAGGTGCAAGCCACCATGCCTGGCTAGATATTTATTTACACTAAAAAGACACTTAACCTTGTTGACTGAACCCTACGATGCTATATATTATTAAATAAATACCCCTACAAGAATCTATCAACTGGGATGTTTTACAATAACCATTAGGTTATTGTACAAACCTAACCATTAGGTTATTCTTTACAAAAAAAGAATATTATGACACACAACTATTACAAATATTTTAATACAAACATTGTGATTGTTATTATGACATCATCCTTCTTAGTTGTGGAAGCCTCTATGTTGTGGAAGAAGAAAAAGTACAGGGACTTTTTCTGCCCTGCTTAGGTATCTCTGATATTTAAAATAATAAAGGCCAGGCACGATAGCTCGAGCCTGTAATAAGGAGGCTGAGGTGGGAGGATCACTTGCACCCAGGAGTTCAAGGCTGCAGCAAGATACCATCACACCACTGCACTCCATCCTGGGCAACAGTGCAAGAACCTGTCTCTTAAAAAACAAACAACAACAAAAAACCACAGTAAGGTCAAAGGTGGCATTTATTTTAAAAATCACTATATGTATTTTTATCACCGTCATATAATATTAAATATCATTTATTTTGTCTGTCTATAACCATCCAAAATAAAGATCACTTTCTGTTATTTATCTAAAATATTTTTACAACCTGAAGATTAAGGTTATGTTATGCTTAACACATAGTTGCAAAACATGACTCTATCCAGAAAATTATTCATTAATATTCACACTGTAATTACTATACAAATTTTTAAAAAAGAATTTTAATACAAGTTTTATTGACTACAAATTAATACATTTATTTATTTGCTTATTTATTTATTTATTTTTGAGACTAAGTCTTGCTCTATCGCCCAGGCTGGAGTGCACTGGCGTGATCTCGGCTCACTGCAACCTTTACCTCCTGGGTTCAAGTGATTCTCCTGCCTCAGCCTCCTGAGTAGCTGGGATTGCAGGTGCATGCCGCCACGCCTGGCTAATTTTTTTTTTGTATTTTTAGTAGAGATGGGGTTTCACCATGTTAGCCAGGATGGTCTTGATCTCCTGACCTCGTGATCTGCCCACCTCAGCCTCCCAAAGTGCTGGGATTACAGGCAAGAGCCACCGCGCCTGGCCCCAAATTAATACTTTAAACTCTCACTATGGATCAGAATTGCCCTGAAGACTTTTTAAAAATGCAGGTGCTGTGCCTCCAACCCCAGAGATTCTTACTTCATTAGTCTGGAGTGATAGCCAGGCTAATATGCAACTTGGATTAAGAACTACAATACGTGATTTATTTAAAATTATTCAATAATATTGGAAAAAAATTGTAAAATAAAGAAAACTGCTAATACTTACATTGAAACTTTCTAAGGTTGATTAATCCATGGTCTCTTATAATTCTAGAATGAAAAGCCACAATAATTTGTGCATTAGAATTATTTTCACATTTACTAATGCTTTACACATATAGCTATCATCAGACATAAACATGCTGAGGTGGAATACAATACAGAGGTCCAAAGAAGTCACTCCCACAAATTTCTGCAGGTCAGTGAATCACTAACCCAATTTTAGACTCTCAGGCATCACGGGTTTTTCCTCTTGTTGGGCATAGTAGACTCTCCATGACTATTTGCTGAACGAATGAATCAATCAATAACCACTCACAAATGCTGAAAAACACATGTCTGTCACTTAAGATGAAACCGAAAGGAATCTCTGTCCATGTCATAAAGTTAATCTATTCAGCTTGTGGAAATAATTGAGAACAGCCATTTTAGAGAAATCTGCTAAAGGGCACCATGATCACATATTCAACATTTTCAACTGTGCATTCACACAACACTGGCGGTACTAGAAATAAATATTGTGCATGTTTAATGAAAGGGCATTATAAAACAAAAGATTTGATAGCAACATCAGCAACTGAGTTCTACAGTACTCTCTAGCTCGAATTGTGTTTTAAGCAAAAGAGAATTTAAACCAGGCAAAGTTATGTGTCTTGAATCTGATTTATACCAGAGGTATTCATAACTAGCAATGAAGCTTCTCATAGGAGCAACTGGGTATGCTTCTTCAGCATTTCATGGAAGCTAACTCCAGACATGCAGAGAGTAAGTTTTACTTTAGATCAGGAGTTCCCAACCCCTGGGCCATGGACCAGTTAGGAACCAGGCTGCACAGCAGGTGAGCAGCTTTACCGTCTGAACTCTGCCTCCTGTCAGAGGAGCGGCAGCATTAGATTCTCACAGGAGCGCGATCCCTATTGTGAACTGCTCACGTGGAGGATCTAGGATGTGTGCTCCTTATGAGAATCTAACCAATACCTGATGATCTGAGGTGGAACAGTTTCATCCCAAAACCATTCCTGCCCCCAGCCATCCATGGAAAAACAGTCTTCCATGAAACCACTCCCTGATGCCAAAAAGGTTGAGGACTGCTGCTTTAGATCACATCTTAGTTCCTCCAGAGTGAATCTCAAGTCCCTTTTTTTTCTTTTGCTTTTTTTTTTAAGAGATGGGGTTTTCCTAGGTTGCCCAGACTGGCCTTGAACTCCTAGGCTCAAGTCATCCTCTCACCTTAGCCTCCCAAGTAGCTAGGACCAGAGGTTCATGCTACCACACCTGGCTTCTCTCCTTTTTATTGCTGAGATATCACTGTGTCTACAGTTAGTAACATCACAGTAAATACATGCCTACACATACATACACACACATGCACACTTATACCCTCTGCATACTCTTCTCTGAAACCAACAGAGGTCTGAGATCCATAATTTCTAAGTCTGAATGTATACTTTTTGATATGTTGCAAAGAGAGGAAGAACCAGTATGCCTGAAACTTGTTCAGAATTTCTTTGAAATCCTTTTAGATGAAAGACTTCTCATTAAAAAATGAACAGTTAGAAAGAGAACATTAAAAAAGCACAATAGGGCTGGGGGCAGTGGCTCATGCCTGTAATCCCAGCACTTTGGGAGGCTGAGGTGGGCGGATCACCTGAGGCCTGGAGTTTGAGACCAGCCTGGCCAACATGGGGAAACTGTGTCTCTACTAAAAATAAAAAATTAGCTGGGCATGATGGCACGTGCCTGTAGTCCCAGCTTCTTGGGAGGCTGAGGCACGATAATTGCTTGAACTCAGGAGGCAGACGCTGCAGTGAGCTGAGATCGCGCCATTACACTCCAGCCTGGGTGACGGAGCAAGACCATCTCAAAAGTAATAATAATAAAATAAAAAATAAAAATAAAATAAAAAAGCCTAACAGTCCGAGTGCAGTGGCTCACACCTGTAATTCCAGCACTCTGGGAGGCCAAGGCAGTAGGATGCCTTGAGTCTAGGAGTTCAGGACCAGCCCAGGCAACATTGTGAGACCCTGTCTCAAAAAAAAAAAAAAAGGTTTTTTTTCTTTTTTGAGACGGAGTCTCACCCTGTCGCCCAGGCTGGAGTGCAGTGGTGTGATCTTGGCTCACTGCAACCTCCGTCTCCCAGGTTCAAGCAATTCTCCTGCCTCAGCCTCCCGAGTAGCTTGGACTACAGGCATGCACCACCACCCCCAGCTAATTTTTGTATTTTTAGTAGAGACAGGGTTTCACCATGTTGGTCAGGCTGGTCTTGAACTCCTGACCTCAGGTGATCCACCAGCCTCGGCCTCCCAAAGTGCTGGGATTACAGGTGTGAGCCACCGCGCCCAGTCTAAAAAAAGAAAAAGGTTTTAAAATTAGCCAAGTGTGGTGGTGCGCACCTGTAGTCCTAACTACTTGGGAGGCTGAGGTGGGAGGATTGTTTGAGCCCAGGAGTTGGAGACTGCAGTGAGCCATGATAGTGACACTGCACTCCAGCCTGGGTGACAGAGTAAGTGTGAGACTCTGTCTCTTATTTAACAAAAAAAAAAAAAGGTTGAACACGGTGGCTCACGCCTGTAATCCCAGCACTTTGGGAGGCAGAGGGGGATGGATCACTTAAGGTGGGGAGTTCAAGACCAGCCTGGACAACATGGCAAAACTCCATCTCTATTAAAAATGCAAAAATTAGCCAGGCGTGGTGGTGCACACCTATAGTCCCAGCCACTTGGGAGGCTGAGGCTGGAGAATCACATGAACCCAGGAGGCAGAACTTGCAGTGAGCTGAGATCACGCCACTGCACTCCATCCTGGGTGACAGAACGAGACTCCATCTCAAAAAAAAAAAGACAAAAGCAAAGAATGATTCACAAATATTAAAAAAAAAAAAGTGTAACAATACTGTCTTGATGCCTTTATTTTATCTTGTTCTTTTACTTCAAATAGCTTAAAACAGTGTACCCATATTATTCATTGTTCATCATAACGTCAATAAAGGATAAGGGCAGAGGATATAAAAATAACACAGGAATTACTATCCTCAATTGAGAGAAGGAAAAATTGAGGTCTAAGGAGGGTAAGAGTCTTCTCCAAGGTCAAAAGATGAGTCACAAGTGGAGCATTCTCTCATGGACTATATGTGGTCAATCACTCAAAGCTGAGGCCAGGCACAGTGGCTCATGCCTGCAATCCTAACACTTTGGGAGCTGAGGAGGGAGGATCACTTAAGTCCAGGAGTTTGAGACCAGCCTGGCCAACACAGCAAAACCCCGTATCTACAAAAAATACAAAAAATTAGCCAGGCATGGTGGCGCACTGCTGTAGTCCCACATGCTCAGGAGGCTGAGGTGGGAGAATCAATTGAGCCTGAGAGGTTGAGGCTGCAGTGAGCCATTATTGTGCTGCTGCTCTCCAGCCTGGGCAACAGAGTGAGACCTTGCCTCTCTCACAGACACAGACACAGACACACACACACACACACACACACACACACACACACACAAAACAATAATCCAAAGCTGAAAGGAGGCCAGGATGGTTTTTTATACTTACTTTTTTCGTCTTTGTCTCTCCTTTAACCTGGAATGATAGATATCTACCACAGCCATCTTCAGAGCTACAAATAAATTCATACATATACTATATATACATATCATATATATATTATATAAATAAATAAAACCAAGACAAAAATAAATCTTTTACCCAAACTTTGAACCTCATATTGCTAATTACTCCACACTCACTAGTCTAGAAAACATAAAAATATTCCAGCATAAAGAATTTGTCTATCAATAAGTAAAGTTATTTTTCCGCTATTTATATATCTTATGGCATTACTCAGATTATAAATTCTGCTTTCTGCAGTCAGAAAAATGAATAAGATCATGTCCTTTGCCAGGACATGAATGGAGCTAGAGGCCATTATCCTTAGCAAACTAACACAGGAACAGAAAACCAAATACCACATGTTCTCACTTATAAGCGGGAGCTAAATGATGAGAACACACGGACACATAGAGGGGAACAACACACACTAGGGCCTATCAGAGGGTGGAGGGTGGGAGGAGGGAGAGGATCAGGAAAAATAACTAATGGGTACCAGGCTTAATACCTGGATGATGCAATAATCGGTATAACAAACCCTATGATACAAGTTTACCTATGCAATATACCTGCATATGTACCCCTGAATTTAAAATAAAAGTTAAAAAAAATTCTCCTTTCTATTAAACACCTTTTTTGGACATTGTTATGTAACTATTACTATATATAGTGAATATCTGATCTTTGGTAATACATGGGCTAGAAATTGCATCAGAGTACTCATAAGAATGAATATTGGGCTGGGCGTGGTGGTTCACACCTGTAATTCCAGCACTTTGGGAGGCTGAGACAGGCAAATCACCTGAGGTCAGGAGTTCAAGACCAGCCTGGCCAACACGGTGAAACCCCATCTCTATAAAAATACAAAAATTAGCTGGGCATGATAGCAGTTACCTGTAATCCCAGCTACTCGGGAGGCTGAGGTGGGAGAATCGTTCAAAGCCAGGAGGTGAGGTTGCAGTGAGCCGAGATCATGCCACTACACTCCAGCCTGGGGCAACAGAGCGAGACTCGTCTCAAAAAAAAAAAAAAAAAAAAAAAAGAATTAATGTTGGTTGGGCACAGTGGCTCACACCTGTAATCCCAGCACTTTGTAAGACTGAAATGGATGGATCACTTGAGGTCAGGAGTTCAAGATCAGCCTGGCCAATATGGTGAAACCATGTCTTTACTAAAAATACAAATATTGGCTGGGCGTGGTGGCAAGTGCCTGTAGTCCCAGCTACTCGGGAGGCTGAGGCAGGACAGTTGCTTGAACCTGGGAAGCAGAGGTTGCAGTGAGCCGAGATGGCACCACTACATTCCAGCCAGGGCATTGCTGCAAGACTCCGTCTCAAAAAAAAAAAAAAAAAAAAAAGAATAATGATTGTGGTCATAACTGCACAGGAGTAACAGACAATGTCAAGGCAAGACTAATGTGAATAAAGGTACAGTGTAGACATTTTCCCAGAGTAGGAGTTTTCAGTTGGGGAGCAGCAACTGTTTAGAGTGTAGAGTTTTGCATTCTGTAGTGAAAAGTTCCATCAAGTATCCTAACCAGTGTAAAAGCCCTGCTTGGTTTCCTGGGACCCAATCCTTTCCTGGCTTTAGTCTCATGTTAAAGACACAGGGAAGAAGGAGGAAAGAGGCTGTAAATAGTAAAAGTTTTATCAGTGTAATAGTTCTGGTTCTTTCTTTCCCTAGCCACTCTTTCCATCTTCAGAGTTCCAAAGATTCTGTTCTAATTCCTTTTTACCCCTCACCTTAGTCCTATAAATTCCTCTACTTCTATGGGTCCAAGTACCATCAAAATGCATAATTTCAAACTCGATATCTATTTTAAGCTCCAGTTCCTACTGCATATAATTTACTCACATGCCCTTCAGTTGCAAACTTATATTCTACCCCTTTCCTATCCTCTAAAACTCCTATATTGGATAACTGCATCAGAGTAAAGATAGCTATCCAAGACAGAACTCAATCTGGATTCTTCCTCCTTCTCCTCCATAGTCGATGAGTCTTAGCCACACTGCACTTAACGCTTACATCTCTCAAATTCATCCCTTCATCCCTAATCCTATTCCCTAGCTCAGGCATCTTGTCTCTCCTGTCATCTTCATGCTATCTTGTAGGAGAGGCATCATTACTCACTTATCGACTCCATTCTTGCCTTACTGTAACTCACCTCTTCCAAATGGTACTTGAAAAATATTTTAAAGCACAATGTAATGGTGTAATTCCCTTGCTTATAATTCTTCAGTGGCTTCCCATCCACGTACAGTTCAAACTCTTGCATGTTACACAAGACTATTTATTGTCTTGATTACGCCTACCTTTCGACTCATTTCTTTTTTTGAGATGGAGTCTCGCTCTGTTGCCCAGGCTGGAGTGCAGGGGCGCTTGGCTCACTGCAACCTCTGCCTCCCGGGTTCAAGGGATTCTCCTGCCTCAGTCTCCCAAGTAGCTGGGATTACAGGTGTGCGCCACCATGCCTGGCTAATTTTTGTATTTTTAGTAGAGACAGGGTTTCGCCATATTGGCCAGGCTGGTCTTAAACTCCTAACCTCAAGTAATCCACCCACTTTGGCCTCTCGAAGTGCTGGAATTACAGGCGTGAACTACTGCACCCGGCCCCATTCTTGTTTCCTATCACTCCCGCATATGCCCTATACACCATGCATACAAAACAAATGGCCCAAGATCACACAGCTGTTAAGTACACAGCAGGGATCCAAAAATAAGCAGTCTGGTTCCAGAGTATTAAGTAGGAAAAACACTGAAATTGTCTAAATGTTTACTTTCTCTGTGTTTATGCTATATTCTAAATCTGCCTTAATTGAAAATGAAATGTGTATTTTAAAAAACCTCGTAAGCGGCCAGGCGCAGTGGCTCATGCCTCTGATCCCAGCACTTTGGGAGGCCGAGGCAGGTGGGTCACAAGGTCAGGAGCTCAAGACCATCCTGGCTAACATGGTGAAACCCCATCTCTACTAAAAATATAAAAAATTAGCCTGGCATGGTGGCGGGCGCCTGTAGTCCCAGCTACTCAGGAGGCTGAGGCAGCAGAATGGCCTGAACCCGGGAGGCAGAGCTTGCAGTGAACCGAGATCACGCCACTGCACTCCAGCCTGGGCGACAGAGTGAGACTCCGTCTCAAAAAAACAAACAAACAAACAAACAAACAAACAAAAAAACAAACTTCAGAAGCAAAAAACTCCCACAGGTTTTTTTTTTTTTTTTAATAACCAGAAGACCTCTAGGGTTAAGAAATGAATGCCAGATAGTAACAACGCTAGAAGAAAATATGAGTAATGCAAAACTTGGCACTATGCTACATTAAACCTTTCTTCTCACTTATGGATCCTGAAAGCACCTTGAGATTGAATGATTGCAATAGAATCTGAAATTTTCTTAATAAGTTATCAATTAAGCTTTGTGTAAGTTGAGAGTTTGGTGTTTTTTGTTTTAATTACTGAATGTATTTGTGGAAGAGGCTCTATAGCACAATATAACCTGCCACGTGTCCTCTGAAAAACTAAAATACGTTATTCAAATGTTAGGTAATATAATTTATATTTTTCTACAGTCCAATCTTTAAGAATCTGATCTGCCAACTTGGTGTTTTGAACCACCTCGGGGAGCTGACACTTTCACAGGCTTCACCATCTTTTGTGTAGATGCTGCCTTAGCAGCAGCCATTGCGGTCTTTTCAGATGCTAGCTTAGCCTTTTTTGCTTCCTTAGCAGCCCTGCTAGCTTGTTTTCATTGAGCCTTTTTAACTTCATGTTTCTCATTCCTCTTGGCCACTATATTAGCAAGAGATGCACCAGTAATGGCCTTCTGGAATTTGACTGCTCAGCAGGTTCTTTTCTTTTGAATTTCTTCCAAGTGTCCCTTTTTTATGCTTTCTTCTGTAGAGGACCAGTTTATTTGCTAAGGATTCCTTAGAAAGGAATGCCCTTGGCCAGGCACAGTGGCTCACGCCTATAATCCCAGCACTTTGGGAGGCCGAGGCAGGTGGATCATGAGGTCAGGAGTTCAAGACCAGCCTGGCCAACAAGGTGAAACCCTGTCTCTACTAAAAATACAAAAATTAGCCGGATGTGGTAGCAGGCGCCTGTAATCCCAGCTACTCAGGAGGCTGAGGCAGAGAATTGCTTGAACGCGGGAGGCGGAGATGGCAGTAAGCCGAGATCACGCCACTGCACTCCAGCCTGGGCAACAGAGCAAGACTCCAAAAAAAAAAAAAAAAAAAGAAAGAAAGAAAGTAATGCCCTCGCATTTTGCACTAAGGAACTAGAAAACCTTCCCATCGGTCCTGGCATAGCGCCTCTTGTGTCTGGGGTAGATCTTGTACCTGCTGAAACTGCATAGCTCAACTTTCAGGGCAGAAGCTCCAGAGGCTCAATGTTAGGTAATTTCTAATAACATACCAACCTTTGTAACAAAGAATTTGGCTACGTATTAGAATCAGTTCTTTCAGCCAGGCACGATGGCTCACGCCTCTAATCCCAGCACTTTGGGAGGCCGAGGTGGGTGGATCACCTGAGGTCAAGGAGTTCAAGACCAGCCTGGCCAACATGGTGAAACCCTGTCTCTACTAAAAAATACAAAAAATTAGCTGGGTGTGGTAGCGGACACCTGTAATCCCAGCTACTCAGGAGGCTGAGGCAGGAGAATCTCTTGAACCCAGAAGGCAGAGGTTGCAGTGAGCCGAGATCACACCACTGCACTCCAGCCTGGGCAACAAGAGTAAAACTCTGTCTCAAAAAAAAAAAAAAAAAAAAAAAAAAAATCAGTTATTTCAAGGTAGTAAGCTTCAATCCAAAATAGAGCCTAAAGCCTCTGGAATGCTGATTAACTCTGAAGAGTAATACAATCTCATTCCTCATCCAAAGAATGTGAGATCCAAGTTCCAGTTTAGCCCATGAGGGCAATAAGTCAACACATTATTTACATGTTCTACTACAGTAAGTTTTAAACTGTATGTTCAAATAAAATCTTATTTGGAACAGATAAGTCAGATCTGCTCTAGCTGAACCCCTTCTGCCTGTTCTAGCTCCAGCTGCCTTTCCCAGAAGTAGTCCCTGAAGGTGCCTCCATGGAACAACTGGAAGCCACACTTCTGCTGGAAGTAGATGTTAGGGTAGAAAAAAAGTGGGACCAATCAAGTAAAAGAACAGAATACGATGGCTCATTAGAATCAATAATTTCTTTTATTACATGAAAGCAAACAAAAATTGAGCAATGTACAATGCTGATGCACTGTTAATAACCCTGATAATAGAGATAAATTCTGATACCACATACTGACTCATTACTGTGCATCTCACTGCTACCTGCCCTTAAGATACTCTCTTTTTCTTTTCTCTCTCTCTCTACATGTTCTCATCTGAAGGATATTCTTAGACTGGAAAGTTCAATACCAAAATCTTACATGCTGGGCTATGAGCAGATGTCCTATATATATGTATGTAACTTCAATCACTGGGAGATGTCCAGGAGTACTTTATCCAGGTCATTCTCCCTTGGGTCTGAGATAAAAATAACCTAAGTCCTATCTGGATAATCTGAAGAAGGGAGGAAATGCAGTATTTTTAAAAGTTTAGGGTAAAAAAGAAAAATTAACTACCATGGATTCTTTTTGTTCATTTCTAACAAGTTCAAATATTTAAACATTGGTTTACTTTTCCTTATCCTGCCCACAAACTAAAAATAATTCAATACTGTCAGGTCCAAGATTTAAGGCAATAGTTTTCAAACTCTTTTTTTTTTTTAGGTAGCAGAACTCTTTCTACAAATGAAATATTTCTTGATTTATAGGGTTGCTACATATAAAAGTCCAGATATCATAGAATGCCTATACCTGTCACTGTTTTATAACACAGTTGCTGTGGAATGATGGGCTTTAGAATGTTATGCTGGTGGAGATGCACTTTACAAGCCTATGTGGTAGAAGTGGTGGGTAGAAACAAGGATAGGAAGTGCCTCTGACATACAGTATAACCAAATACAAGTTTTATAGTGGACTCTATCTCTTAAGAGAAAGGAAGGATTAGGAAGTCAACAGTTAAAGCCAGAAAGGGAAACAAATACAATAATGATAGCTAAAACACACTGAGTACTTACCATATTTCAGGATCTTTTTTTTTGAGATGGAGTCTCGCTCTGTCTCCCAGGCTGGAGTGCAGTGGCATGATCTCAGCTCACTGCAACCTCCACCTCCCAGGTTCAAGCCATTCTCCTGCCTCAGCCTCCCAAGTAACTGGGATTACAGGTGCACGCCACCATACCCAGCTAATTTTTGTATTTTTAGTAGAGATGGGGTTTTGCCACATTGGCCAGGGTGGTCTGCAACTCCTGACCTCAAGTGATCCACCGCCTTGGCCTCCCAAAGTGCTGGGAATACAGGTGTGAGCCATCGCGCCTGGCCATATTTCAAGATCTTTATAAGCCTTATCTCATTTATCTACTCAGTAAGATGAATTTAATAGGAAAGAAAATGTCTTGAAGAGCCAGTAAAATTACTGCTAATTTTAACAAAACATTTTTGTGATTTATTTTTTATTTTTGAGACAGTTTTGCTCTTGTCGCCCAGGCTGGAGTGCAACAGCGCAGTCTTGGCTCACTGCAACCTCTGTCTCCCAGGCTCAAGCAATTCTCCTGCCCCTGCCTCCCAAGTAGCTGGGATTACAGGTGCCCACCACCATGTCTGGCTAATTTTTGTATTTTTAGTAGAGACGGGGTTTCACCGTGTTGGCCAGGCTGATCTCAAACTCCTGACCTCAGGTGATCTGCCCGTCTCGGCCTCCCAAAGTGCTGGGATTACAGGCATGAGCCACTGCGCCAGGCCCATTTCTGCGATTTTTGTAAGATACAAGATGCCATGTTGTTTCCTGAGATTTGTGTAGGAGTGATTTAATTTTTAAAAAAGGCCAGGCATGGTGGCTCACACCTGTAATCCCAGCACTTTGAGAAACTGAGGTGGGCAGATGGGTTGAGCTTAGGAGTTCGAGACCAGCCTGGGCAACATAGTGAAACCCTGTCTCTACAAAAATGTACCAAAAATATAGCCAGACATGGTGGTATGTGCCTGTAGTCCCAGCTACTTGGGAGGCTGAGGTGGGAGGATTGCTATAGCCTGGGAGGCAGAGGCTGTGGTGAGCTAAGATTGCACCACTGCACTCCAACCTGGGCTACAGAGGGCGTCTCAAAAAAAAAAAAAAAGCCAAAAAACAAAAAAACCTGTAATCCCAGACTTTGGGAGGCTGAGGTGGGAGGATCGCTTGAGGCCAGGAGTTTTGAGACCAGCCTGGGTAACACATTGAGATTCTGTCTCTACAAAAATTTTTTTTATAAATTAGCCAAGTGTGGTGGCGTGTGCCTGTTGTCCTAGCTACTTGTGAGGCTAAGGCGGAAGGATCATTTGAGCCCAGGAATTCAAGGCTACAGTGAGCTAAAGATTGTACCACTGCATTCCATCCTGGGCAACAGAATGAGACTCTGTTTCTTTTAAAAAAAAAAGCCTCTGAATAAATACTGCTGATAATTGGTACTACAGTTTGATCACTTCAGTAGTTTAAACTTGTACAACTGGCTCTGGAGAACAAAAGGAAGAAAAGAAACACATAGGAGCAAATGGGAGGAGAACTGGAATTCTCCCAGATAAAAATTCATATTTGAAGCTATCTCTGAGCACACTCAGCAGCAACTGAATACAATATCTTAACTGTATGAATAACCTAGGGAGGACAACAGCACAGCAGGCAGAACAGAAATGAGAAGGCAGAATCTACAAGAATGAGAATCACTTGCTCACAGTCTACTTAAAGCAGCTGGAAGCTGCAGTATAAGCTAGCAAACAGAGAACCAGAGATCATTAAAAATAAACAAACAAACCAAAATCACCTGTAATTTGTCCATTGCTACAAGGCCCCTGAAATCTCAGCTTTGGGGGAAGCACAGTCTCCCTGTGATTACACTGGAGAATGATAAAGTTTCCAAACGGCTAGCCTTAAAATATTTCAAGAAGTGGGCAGAAGTCAGAGGCAGCTCCTTCCCACTGCAATGTATTTCTAACATTGTTCAAAATAGCTAACAACATGTTTCTGTTTTCTTGACAGAAGGCACTTACTGCTTGCTTGGCAAGAAAACCAACTCAGAGGCCTTAACTGCAGGGAGGCCAATCAAAATCCCTACTGCGACCAAACAAGTAGAAACCTGTGACACAGGTATTCCCCAGAAGCAACACTATTTAAGTCATTTCCCCCCAAGCTTTTGGCCAAGATGCACACAAACAATTTTGTGCAGGGAAGATCATGTGATCTAATGGCTAAAGTAAGCAACCAGGAAGCATTAGGCCAAGCTTATCCAACCTGTCGCTCGTGAGTCACATGCAGCCCAGGACGGCTTTGAATGCAGCGCAATACAAATTCGTAAACTTTTTTAAGACATTATGAGTTTGTTTGTTTTTTATTCCTTAGCTCATCAGCTATCGTTAATGTATTTTATGTGTGGCCCAGGACACTTCTTCTTCCAGTGTGGGCCAGGGAAGCCAAAAGATTGACACCCCTGGATTAGGCAAATTACTTAACTTCTTTGTCTGCTTCCCTGAATGTAAAACAGGAAAATATCTATTCCTCAGGAATGTGTTGAAGCTATAGAAGATAACAAATGTGAAACCTCACAAAAATGAAACAGCAACAAACATTCAAGGTTGAGCCTGAGCAACATAGTGAGACCCTGTCTCTACAAAAAAATTTTAAAAATTAGCCAGGTGTGATGGTGCACGCCTGGAGTCCCAGCTACTCAGGTAGCTGAGGTGGGAGGATAGTTTGAGCCCAGGAGGTTGAGGCTGCAGTGAGCCATGATTGTGCCACTGCACTCCAGCATGGGCAACAGGGCGTGACCCTGTCTCAAAAAAAAAAAAAAAAAATCAAGATTGTAAAGACAGCTAAGTATTGTACAGTATTAAGAACACAGACTTGGGGATGACTCTACCTCTTGCTGGCTGTATGATCTCAGGCAAGTTATCTAACCTTTCTATGCTTCAATGTCCTCATCCACAAAAATGAGGATAATAATAATATGCAACTCATAAGGTTTTGAGGATTAAATGACTTAATATATATGAAGAGCTTAGAATGGTAACTAATAGTAAATGCTATATGTATTAGCAATTATTACTGATAGTATTCATGTCTAAAATATCCTATGTATAAAACAGTGAAATCAGGCCGGGCACGGTGGCTCACGCCTGTAATCCCAGCACTTTGGGAGGCTGAGGCGGGTGGACCATGAGGTCAGGAGATCGAGACTATCCTGGCTAACATGGTGAAACCCCGTCTCTACTAAAAAATACAAAAAATTAGCCAGGCATGGTGGCGGGTGCCTGTAGTCCCAGCTACTCGGGAGGCTGAGGCAGGAGAATGGCGTGAACCCAGGAGGCGGAGCTTGCAGCGAGCCAAGATCGCGCCACTGCACTCCAGCCTAGGCGATAGAGCGAGACTCCGTCTCAAAAAAAATAAAAAAAAAAAACAGTGAAATCACTATAAGTGAAAGGAACTGCCAGTAGGTGAATATACAGAGACCAGGCTGGACCTCTGCTCTACTAATTGTTAAAGGATTTAAAGGCTAATAATATGTGCCAAAGAAATACAATTTGAAAAATACAGTGAAAGGTGAAGGGGTCCACAGATCCAAGCCTAGGAGAGAAAACTTTCTAAAATTACCTTTCCAGAACAGAGGGAGAAGAAATTGTGAACTGTACTAAGGTGCAACCCTGAGAAGTACTGGAAACACAGACCCAACACATAGGAGGAGCTCATCATATCTCTTGCTTGCCTGGGTTATGGGGCAACAATGACTTGGAAGACATTACAACCAGGACTTTAGGATCCTGAGAAACTCAGGGAAAGAGTACTCTAAAAATTTAGGAAGAATTTTTACAAATGAAAGGAGATGGGGAAAGAGATGGCAGCAAGAAGGAACTACACTAAGCATGTGCATTGAGATCTCACAACATACATGAGACAAGACAGTTCTAAGATATGAGTCTTCTCTCTCTCTCTTTCTGAACCAAACATTTCTGCTTATTTCCATAAAATATGAGTAAGTACCAATTAGGGATCACGGAACTTCCTTATTTTTCCTTGGATACTGCTTCACTTGCAGTATACATTTGAAATACATTCTGAAAGCCTTCTGGTATGGCTGCAATACAATTATCCCTCCATTGTGTCCCAGGTCTCTATAATGAACCATGCAAACCAAATTTATTAAACAAATTCCATGATTCAAGGCAAAAATCTTTGTGTGGGTGAGGAAAAGGTCTTGGTGGCATCAGCCAATATTCTGGATAGGTTCTAAATACAAAACCCAGCCAAACAGTCTGCAACCTTCCAGTAGTTCTAAATGAGGAACCATAAAAATAATGTTGTTAATGCTCAGTAATATTAAGAGCATAATGGTATAATGGAATGGTAACAACACAAATCTGAATTATGTACCATGTTTCATTAGAGACATTTACACTCTGACTAATCAGTGTCACCTCTTCTTTAATGGCAGAGGACATAAAGAAACAGCAAGCAAGATTCCAAGCACTTACTCATGATTATACCATGACTCAGAAGCAAGCCAGAGGCTGAATCAGTGTCCTGATTTCTACAAAATCTGTGCCCCTCTAACTGTTCCAGGTGTGCTTATAAAGCCCCTTTTCATTCCTTCCTGACTTTCCATGGGCTCCTAGTGCACTTCACTGAGTGTTCTGCGAGTGACAGCTCAGGGACAATATGCTCCTGGACATGGTCATGCTGCCACAGGAGCTGCTGTAAAGACTCAGAGCTGTAAACAAAATACCTCTCTGTGGCATGAGCAAGTCATTCCTTTGGTCTGTAGTGCTGACAAGCTTCTTTAAACTGTTATCATCTTTTTTATTTTTTAGAGGTGGGGGGTCTCACTTTGTTGTCTAGGCTGACCTTGAATTCCTGGGCTCAAGAAATCCTCCCACTTTGGCCTCCCAAAGTGTTAGGATTACAGGTGTGAGCCAACCATACCCAAATCTGAAGTGTTATCATCTTTTTAAAAGCATTCATTTAGGGCCGGACGCGGTGGCTAACCCCTGTAATCCCAGCACTTTGGGAGGCAGAGGTGGGCAGATCAGTTGAGGCCAAGAGTTTGAGACCAGCCTTGCAAACATGGCAAAACCCTCTCTCTACTAAAAATATAAAAATTAGCTGGGCATGGTGGCGCTAATCCCAGCTATGCCAGAGGCTGAGGCACGAGAATCGCTTGAGCCTGGGAGGCAGAAGTTGCAGTGAGCCAAGATCACGCTACTGCGCTCCCGCCTGGCTAACAAGGTGAGAGTCTGTCACAAAAAAAATAAAAAATAAAAGCACTCATCTAAACATCTTACAGTTTACTATGGGGCAGAGGGAAAGAATTATTATTTATGTTGTGTTAAAGCTAACTATGTATAAAGATTAATAACATAAGTTCCAGTTATAGCTCAAATGAAAATCAATAATTTACAGGGCTATAGAAACTTCAGGGAGAGTACAAATACCTAAAGTATGTTATGGGTTTGAAAAGCTAACTGAACTATAAATTGCTGATCAATCAGTTGCTTCTGTTTCTTTTTATCCCCACTTAATTACAAAAAGGACCCCAAGTGAACCAGAAGGAACTGCAAGTCCTACTCCCATGAAGAATGAAGAATGAAATTAAACACCGACCATTACTATAGTTTTCTTAATAATGTTGAGAAGTATGAATGAAGACCTTGGATTAGGCTCTAGAGAAGTGATTCACCAAGTCAAGCCATTATTAACATTATAGATGTTGACTTTAAAATTCTGTAAAAAATAAATATATAGGTAAAAATAAAAAGCAGGGAGGAGGAGGAGGAAAAACAATAATAATATTTTAAAAATTTGTTTTAAAGGTTTTTTTTTTTAGAGACAGGGTCTCACTGTGTTGCCCAGGCTGGTCTTGAACTCTCGGCCTCAAGTGATCAGCCAGCCTCGGCCTCCCAAAGTGCTAGGATTATAGGTGTGACCCACCATGCCCAGCCAAAAATTTGGTATTTTTGAGCAGAATCTAAAAGAATGATATTTATGAAGCTGCCCCTTTTGTGCAGAGTAGTCTGGCATTCTATAAGAAAGATACAAGCCAGAAAACAATACCATTTCAATTAAAGCTGGTGTCTATGAATGGCAGTCTGCATACTACCTTCAAAGGGAACACCACAAGAGGTGAGAAAAGATAACATGAGTCACTGGGATTGACGAGACTGACACGGAAGACTGAACAAATACAATGGATTTAGTTAATGCTAAAGTAGTTTGCTTTCAAGCTTTCCTCTTTTAGTTCAATCTGCGTCACTTTGACTTTCCTTAAAGTTGTGTGGGAGAAAAGGAGGAATAAAATGTTGCCAAAAAAAAAAAAAAAACCCCCCCAAAAAAAAACCCACCGCTCAAGAAATGTGTAGAGAAAAATTTCTTAAGGTAAAATTTTTAGGAAGACTATTTCTTTATCTTAGATCTGGTATAACAAATATCCAGGCAGCTCTTCTATGGAGAGAAAAGAATCAAGTTCCCCTTCTAGGGACAGTGTACCAGTCCATGCAATATGAAAACTTGATTTATAATTTAACAAGTATACTCTACTTGTCTTTCCTGCCTGGGATGTAAATTTAACAGAAATCATGAAGATGCTCTTTGGGAAATACAGATTCCAATAGAGAATTACTGATCTACTGTATCATATTCAATTCTGAACTAAAATTAAAAAAAAAGTATTGGGTATTATTATGTAGTATTAGTATATATTAGTATGTAGTTCACTGAAAATGGAAAGAAGGAAAAAAGGGACTCAAAGTCTAACTATCTACTCTTAACAGCTCTTTGGCATTCACCACATAAGTTTTAGGAAAAGAGTTAACATAAACCCTTAGAGGGCTAATCAAAGATTAGAATTCAGCAATGCTGGGGCAGGCGTGGTGGTTCACGCCTGTAATCCCAGCACTTTGGGAAGCTGAGGCGGGCAGATCACTTGAGGTTAGGAGTTGCAGACCAGCCTGGCCAACATGGCGAAACCCCATCTCTAATAAAAAAACAAAAATTAGCTGGGCATGGTGGCAAACACCTGTAATCCCAGCTACTTGGGAGGCTGAGGCAGGAGAATCCCTTGAACCTGGGAGACAGAGGTTGCAGTGAGCCAAGATCGCGCCACTGCACTCCAGCCTGTGTAACAGAGTGAGACTCCGTCTCAAAAACAAACATAAAAAAGAATCCAGCAGTGTTGAAAATTCAACAGTCCTGAGAAACAAGAAATTCCCCATTTGGGCCTAAAAACTCTTGAGGAATTTCCATTCTTTTTCCTTGCTAGGGGAAATTCCGGGTAACAAAATATAGTGAACATTTAGTGATAGCAGTTGCTAGTGAAGTCCCAAGAATTCAAACTGATTCCCTTCCTTCTAAGAATGCAAGTGAGGGCCATTTAACCAATTACCTTAGTGTAGATTTACCTCAGATAAAAGTAAAATCACACAGTCCAACAGATATTTCCTACTACTATTATATAATCAATATTTTTACCCTCATCACAAGTCTTATTCACTGTGGTCAAAATCCAACAACACAGTAAGTTCAGCAACTTAACCACTAGATTTCTGAATTCTATAAGGGCAGGGGACATGTTCTATTCATCCTTCAATTCCTAGCACCCAAGACAGTGTCATCACACAGTTGGCGCTCGATAAACATTTGACAAAATAAACTGTTACCATGTAAAATGTCCGAGTCATCTTCAACAAAATCAATGTCTCTCAAGTCCCATTCTGCATAATTGTCAAATTCCTGTTTAGGGGAACAAAAAAATCCCCACCCCAAACCCATCGGCTTTGATTAGTGTCTTTACAGCAGCCATGCTTTAGAAGTAAACAGAAAAAACACAAGCAAACAGTTGTTTAAAAAGTCTAAATATGGCAAAAGGCCACAATACTGGCACAGGTAATAGGAAGTCATGGGAAAAATCTAAGAGGCTTACAAGCAGTAGTGACAACAAAAAATTGGAATAGTTATGAGTTTAGGAATGAAGCTAAACATACTGCTCTAAAAACTAAAATTAGTCTGAGCTGGGCACAGTAGCATGCACCTATAATCCCAGCTACTCAGGAGATTTAGGTGGAAAAATCACTTGAGACCAGGAGTTCAAGACTGCCTGGGAAACAGAGCAAGAGCCTGTCTCTGAAATAAATAAATAAAGTCAATTCATTCTTTTTTTTTTTTTTTTTGGAAACAGGGTCTTACTCTGTCACTCAGGCTGGAGTGCAGTGGTGTGATCTTGGCTCACTGCAGCCTCGAACCCCCAGGCTCAAGTGATCCTCTTGCCTCAGCCTCTCAAGCAGCTGGGTCTACAGGCATGTGCCATCACACTCAAGTTAATTTTTGGTTTCGGGTTTTTTTTGTTGTTGTTGTTGAAGAAACAGCGTTTTGCCATGTTGCCCAGGCTGGTCTCAAACTCCTGAGCTCAAGCAATCCGCCTGCCTCAGCCTCCCAAAGTGCTGGGATTTACAGGTGTAAGCTACCGCATTTGGCCAAACTATCTTTCAAGTTGTGAATTAGATGATAAATCAAGAGACTTGTGGCTACATTCACATGTCTTTTAATTCCATAGCTGAGCAAGGAACATATAGTTTTTATACACATTCATCATTCTTTATATACTTGTGGATATAGTACAGGAATCAGTAAACTACTATTCAGCCTACTGTCTGTTTTTGTACATAAAGTTTTACTGGAACACAGGCGTATTCATTTATTCTTATATTATCCCATGCTGCTTTAGCACAATAATGACAAAGTATAGTTACAATAGAAACTTTATAGCATACTAAACCTAAAATATTTACTATCTGGCCTTTAATAGAATAAGTTTGTCAACCCCTGATACAGTACAATCTTGAAAGCCCCTAGATGTACAATAAGAACCAGACTACAAGCCAGGTGCAGTGGCTCACGCCTGTAATCCTAGCACTTTGGGAGGCCGAGGCTGGTGGATTGCCTGAGGTCAGGAGTTTGAGACCAGCCTGGCCAACATGGTGAAACCCTATCTCTACTAAAAATACAAAAATTAGCCAGGCATGGTGGCAGGAACCTGTAGTCTCAGCTACTTGGGAGGCTGAGACAGGAGAATCGCTTGAACCCAGGAAGTGGAGGTTGCAATGGGCCAAGACCATGCCATTGCACTCCAGCCTGGGCAACAAGAGCAAAAACTCTGTCTCAAAAAAAAAAAAAAAGAACCAGACTATAGGAATTTCATACCTAAGGAAGTGGAAGCCAGCACTGATGCAACTTAAGAGGTGGGTTTGCTGGGGTTTTTTTGTTTTTTGGAGACAGGGTCTTACTCTGTTGTCTAGGGTGCAGTTTAGTGGAATGATCACCACTCGCTACAGCCTTAACCTCCCAGGCTCAAGTGATCCTCCCATATCAGCCTGCCAAGTAGTTGGGACTACAGGCATGCACCACCACACCCAGCTAATTTTTTATTTTTTGTAGAGACAGGGTCTCACTACGTTGCCCAGGCTAGTCTCGAACACCTGGACTCAAGCGATCCTCCATTCTCAGCTCCCAAAGTGCTGGGATTACAGGTGTAAGCCACTGAGCCTGGCCAGAAATAGGTTGTTTGTTTAAAGAATTTTTACTGTTCCATATGTGAAAATGTTTACAAATGAGAAAAGGCACTCAAACCTAAGAAAATGTGGCTGCCTAAAGGTCCTACAAATTATAGTGCCTTGAAAAATCTCCTTTTAGTGGTATGGAATCTATGGGTGAGACAGAAGGCTCATGAGAAACAAAAATGAATTTTTCCTACTTTGTGCTAAAAACACATTTATCCTACCTCAATGAAATCTGCTCGAGCTGGCATGTACCCGGCCATGTCCCGAGAAAGCAAGGAGTCAAAGGTAGGTCGGGGAGGGTCATCTGTAGCTGGAAGAATTTAGAAGGTTTCTGAGTTAACTAATACAATATTGGCATGAAAAAAATGACATAATAGTCCAAGAATAAATAAAATTTAAAATGGTTTTTATAAAAGGAAATGTGAAAAAGATAAAGTATTATGAAAACAGGTTTTTTAAAAAGAAAAACCAAGACTCAGGCAATCCTTTAAGTAAATATGGGGAAATTTCTTCTGATTTCTGCTTTCCTAAAATGAAAGGAAATCATGACTTTTTTCCTTTAATATTACAGAACCTAAATATTTACCGTTGGCTTCGGCTCCCTTATCCCTTAGGATGAACTTCAATTTACAAAACTCATCCAACTGAGAGGCAAAAAAAAAAAAAAAAAAAAAAGACGGGAAAAAAACAAACACTGGAATTGGAAGTTAGCTGAAATTAAGTCCTAGCTCCAACACACACTAGTCCCATGACCCTGCACAAACTAACCTGTCTGCATCGGTCTTCTCGAATGTAAAACAAAAGCACTTGCTCTGCCTATCTCACTGGGTTGCTGTTAGGAAACAAATGGTCTAATGGATTTGAGAACAAAGTGCTAACACCAAAGTGCTATCCAAATAGGAGGTATCAACCAGGCACGGTGGCTCACACCTGTAATCCCAACACTTTGGGAGGCCGAGGCGGGCAGATCATAAGGTCAGGAGTTCGAGACCAGCCTCGCCAACACAGCAAAACCTTTTCTCTACTAAAAATACAAAAAATTAGCCAGGTGTGGTGGCATGCACCTGTGGTACCAGCTACTCAGGAGGCTGAGGCACGAGAATCGTTTGAACCCTGGAGGTGGAGGTTGCAGTAAGCCGAGGTTGTGCCACTGCACTCCAGCCTGGGAGACACAGCGAGACTCTGTCTCCAAAAAAAAAAAAAAAGGAGGTATTACCAGCCTTTAAGTTAGTCAGCTATAAAACTGTTTCTAGAGAGTATGAGGAAAGAGAAAAGGGAAGTGAAAACATTCATATCTCATTACTTGTACCCTGAGAGTCATTCAGGAAAGATGGTCATTTATAATTCATCATGTTTTTGGTTATATTTTATTAAGAGACCCACTGGTCCCACACGCACATGAGATTAAAAAGTTCGCCATCACTGACACAACCAAGCGAACAAAAATAACAAACTGATTCTTGGGCTTGACACCAAGGCAATTAATAATAATGAGTCAAATACTGTATTCTCTAAGCAACTCATATGTATAATCATAAGCTCTCCAAAGGGATTGAAAAAAAACTTGCACTCATAATAGCATAGAAAAGGTTTTCCCTTTTTGACATCTTATTTTACAAAGGAAAGCACTAAGTTAACTGATATGTTCAAAGGACTCAAGGTAGGTGGAACTACACATTGGCTTCAAGCACCTTGATGTCCTGTATAGAACTCTGACCCTTAGAGTATGTTCCTTCTTTGCCACATTATAATCCTGACTCTTTTTTTTTTTTTTTTTAAGAGATGAAGTCTCACTCTGTCACCCAGGTTGGAGTGCAGTGATGTGATCTTGGCTCACTGCAATCTCCGCCTACCCGGTTCAAGTGATTCTCCTGCCTTGGCCTCCCCAGTAGCTGGGATTACAGGTGTCTGCCACCACGTCCAGCTAATCTTTATACTTTTAGTTGAGACAGGGTTTCGCCATGTTGGCCAGGCTGGTCTTGAACTCCTGGCCTCAAGTGATTTACCCGCCTCAGCCTCCCAAGGTGCTGGGATTACAGGCACAAGCCACCATGCTGGGTCGATCCTGACTCTCAATAGCTGCCATACTAACTCCTCCTATCTTCCGTGATATCATTAGCTGTCCAAGTCATCAAATCACTCTTTATCTGCTACTGAAACAGGGCCCAAGGATGAGCTAAGTATATCTTATCAAGATAGGGAGGCACTTACAGTGAAATGGAATGGCTGTGTCAGCAGTTTTTGCTTCCTCTGCTTGTTTCAGGTTCAGCAGGGTAGATGCAAACAGAGGGTTATTGATGAAATGCTTCATATAGTGCTTCTCACACTCCTCCTTGGTCTTGGTGCACATTTGATTGGCTACATCCTGCCTAGAGGATTGTGGGAAAAAGAGAGAAGTGGTACTTGTATTTACACATAATACTAAAAGCATCATTTGCTCTTTTCATATTTTAAGTCACATCCATATAATATACTCTCATATTTCCAAATTGATATCAAAAAGATATCAGCAGAAAAATGACATAAATATAAGCCTAGATTGGTGTAATCTGGTGTTCCATATCTTGCTAGTCTAAAACACAGAAATAATGACTAAAAAGTCCTTTCTTTTCCACTTAAAGAAAGATGACTGAGGCCAGGCGCAGTGGCTCACACCTGTAATCCCAGCACTTTGGGAGGTAGGTGGATCACCTGAGGTTGGGAGTTAGAGACCAGCCTGATCAACATGGAGAAACCCTGTCTCTACTAAAAATACAAAATTAGCCAGGCGTGGTGGTGCATGCATGCCTGTAATCCCAGCTACTTGGGAGGCTGAGGCAGGAGAATTGCTTGAACCCAGGAGGCAAAGGTTGCAGTGAGCAGAGATCACGCCATTGCACTCCAGTCTGGGCAACAAGAGCGAAACTCCATCTCAAAAAAAAAAAAAAATAATAAATAAATAAATAAATAAATAAATAAATAAATAAAGATGACTGGAAAATTTGTAAATTTTCCTGTGAGCTAGGCCCTACAGAAATAATTGCTGTAAATAATAAGAAGTGACTTCAGAACATTCAAAATATACAGAAATATAGTTTTATTTTGCCTAATATTTTACGGTTTACCAAACACTTAACATAAACATTTCTTTACTAGAGCTGCTATGAGATGCCAGACACTGAGCTAGAAACATTCACAACAGAATTTAAGTTAAACCTAGTATCAAATTTGTGGTATGGATATTGTTACTATCTCAATTTCAAAGAAGGAAAAATGAGGCCCAAAATAATTAAGAAACTTGCTTAAGAATCTGGCCAGGCATGGTGGGGCACATCTGTTATTCCAGCACTTTGGGAGGCCAAGGTGGGAGGATGGCTTGAACTCAGGAGTTCGAGACCAGCCTGGGCAACACAGTAAAATCCTATCTCAACAAAAAATACAAAGATTAGCCAGGGGTGGTTGCACACGCCGGTAGTCCCAGCTACTCGGGAGCCTGAGCTGGGAGGATCACTTGAGCCTGGAAGGTTGAAGCTGAAATGAGTCAAGCTCATGCCCCTGTACTCCACCCTGGGCGACAGAGCAAGATCCTGTTTCCAAATAATAATAATAATAATAAAATTTAAAAATTAGCTGAGTATGGTGGCGCACACCTGTTGTTCCAACTACTTGGGAGTCTGAGGAGGGAAGATCCCTTGAGCCCAGGAGTTCGGGGTTATAGTGACTGTGATCACACCACTGCATTTCAGCCTGGGTGATAAAGTGAGACTGTCTCAATAAAAAAAAATCCCTGACTTGAGCCAAGGTAATGGAGAGGTACAGGTGGAAGTCCTTTCCTCAAGGTCTCTTTTTCACAGCATTTCACTTGACCTCCCCTAAGGCATCACTGTGCTGTTTTGTGTACTTCAATCACTTGTATTTTTAAGTCCCCTGCTAAACTATAAGCTTTCTGAAGACAGGATGCATCTCATAATTCTTAGCTCTAGCCCACTCACTGCCAAACTTAGTGCCTTACCCACAGCGGATAGAGAAGCTATGTCTTTTTTATGTTCTTTGTTAAGAGGGAAGGAGGACAGAGAGGTTTAGACTATTTTAGAGAGAATGGTAAGCAAAAAATGAAAAACTAGGCCAAAGATGACTAGCAAACTCCTCACAAGTGATTACTTTTCTACCTCCTTTGGTATTTCTCATTGTACACAGTATTTTATGATGCTTAATAAATACTGAATGAATGAATACAAGCAAAATGTGAACTAAATTCAGGTCTCCTTCTTCAGGTCCCTGGACATAAGGGAGGCAGGCAGCAGAGTTTATTCTGATGAACACCAAGAAAGGTTATATACACTAGTAAGTCAGGACAGGGAGGACCTAATTAAGAGTCCTTCAGTAATAAGCTATGTAATCACAAGAAATCATTTCAACCCCCTAGGCTTCAGATAATTTGTGAACAAAATATATTCAATAATGCCTCTGCTATCTAGTTCATAAAATAAAAGCATCCATATGAAAGTGTTCCCAAAAGATAAAAACGAAAGTGGTAGTATTAAGTGGTGCTGCCCCCTAGGTCAACAGCAATAAGTGCTATTCAATTCCGCCGGTTTTGGACTAAGGCAGGTAGGTGTTTGAAAGCTAAAAACAGAGAATGCTATCAGGAAGTCTGTGAAACTTGAATCTTACGTATGACCATCTAGCTAAAGTCTGATTCACTTAAATGACTAGGGCATCTACAACTAACAAAAATTCATAAAATCAGAAGGGAGTAATAACTAACGAAACTAAACTTCCCTACTATTCAGAAAGGAATAATAATCAATCTTCCCACTGTTGATACATCCAAAGTGGCCTTTTAAAGCTGCTCAGTCATGGACCGCTAAACATCCCATATCCTCGTGACACATTTCGACACTGGAAAAATAATGTACAGAGGGGACTAACTTGCCTCTAAATCATGGGTTGATAGGAAAGCAACACATACTTTCTCTTCCTGAGGTTCCTTCCTTTACTCTTCAACAACAGCTTCTTCTCTGAGTCCACTAGGGCAGGACAACTCTTAACACCAAGCTCTTACCAATTTCCAAAGCCACAGTCCATCACAGCTTCTAAAAGGGCCATTTCTTCTTGAGCAGTCCAGCTGGGATCAAGGACAGGAAAATCTGAAGTCTAAGGAGAAAAAAGTTTTGCTTAAGAACAGAGATACAAATGGAATCTAGGGGCCAGGCACGGTGGCTCACGCCTATACTCCCAGCACTTTGGAAGGCGGAGGCGGGCGGATCACCTGAGGTCAGGAGTTCGAGACCAGCCTGGCCAATATGGTGAAACTCCATCTCTACTAAAAACACAAAAATGAGCTGGGCATGGTGGCACACGCCTGTAGTCCCAGCTACTCAGGAGGCTGAGGCAGGAGAATCACTTGAACTGCGGAAGCAGAGGTTGCAGTGAGCTGAGATCACACCACCACACTTCAGCCTGGGCGTCACAACAAGACTCTGTCTCAAAAATCAAAAATAGGCCGGGCACAGTGGCTCACGCCTGTAATCCCAGCACTTTGGGAGGTCGAGGAGGGCGGATCACGAGGTCAGGAGATCGAGACCATCCTGGCTAACACAGTGAAACCCCGTCTCTACTAAAAATATAAAAAATTAGCCGGGCCTGGTGGTGAGCGCCTGTAGTCCCAGCTACTTGGGAGGCTGAGGCAAGAGGATGGCATGAACCCAGGAGGCGGAGGCGGAGCTTGCAGTGAGCTGAGATCGCGCCACTGCACTCCAGCCTGGGCGACAGAGCAAGACTCCGTTTCAAAAAAAAAAAAAAAATTAAAAATAAATGGAATCTAGGAACTTCAACTGTAGTAATAGTTTACAGCCGAATGATGAGAGATACCCAGGGTACATTCTTATTAGTTGTCCACCTCTCCCACCCGTTTCCACCATTAGCTAGAAGGGCCTCCATATCACCTATAAATGCCAAGCAATTCATGCAGATATACATATATTTTTAAACTTAACACAGAGGTAGAGATAAATATTTCAGTACGCTCCCATTTAGCTAAGAAAGAGGAAAAGACAAATATGTATGTATTTTTTTAAATGGAAGAATAAAACACACTTTAAAAAAAAAAAGGTTACTATGGGGAGGAAGAAAGAGAACAGGGTAGAGACATCTATCCAGAAGCTAGATGTCTCTGAATATTCCTTGCTTGTAGATTTAACTTTGAAACATAAAGAGTATAATATTAAACTTTAGGCTGGCCTCAGTGGCTCACGCCTGTAATCCCAACACTTTGGGAGGCCAAGGCAGGTGGATCTCTTGAGGTCAGGAGTTCAAGACAAGGCTGGCCAACATGATGAAACCTCGTCTCTACTAAAAATACAAAAATTAGCCGGACATGGTGGCACGCACCTGTAGTCCCAGCTACTCGGGAGGCTGAGGCAGGAGAATCGCTTGAACTGGAAGGTGGAGGCTGCAGTGAGCCGAGATCATAGCACTGAACCCCAGCGTGGGCAACAAGCAAGACTCCGTCTCAAAAAATAAAAATAAAAATAAACTTCAAAATCTTAAGAATAAAATGCAAAATATAACGAACTCAGAAATCAATTTGAAGGCATAATCACACAGAAAGGAACTATTTCAAGTGATTTTGAAACACTTAATTTGACTAAATATCTCTAAGTAGGATATACCTTAAAAACAAAAGAAATTGCCAAATCTTAAAATGTTTCTTTAGTATTGACAGTTATTTTGAGATTAGTGTATGTGTATATGTTATGAGGTAAAGCAAATAAATAATTACGTTGGTTAGTGTCATTGGGAAGTATAATTTTTGGCTTGGGAAAAAAAAAAGATATAGCTGTAAGATCTGTGAGGTTATGTAAAAACCTCGTAGTTGGCCAGGCATGGTGGCTCATGCCTGCAATCCCAGAATTTTGGGAGGCCTGGGTGGGTGGACTTTTTGGGCTCAGGAGTTTTGAGACCAGCCTGGGCAACATAGTGAAACCCCATCTCTACAAAAACTACAAAAATTAGCTGGGAGTGTTGGCATGCACCTGTAGTCCCAGCACTTTGGGAGACCTGGGTGGGTGGATTGCTTGAGCTCAGGAGTTTGAGACCAGCCTGGGCAAGATGGCAAAACCCTGTCTCTACAAAAACTACAAAAATTAGCTGGGCATGGTGGCGCGCACCTGTGGTTCCAGCTACTTGGCAGGCTAAGGCAGGAGGATCGCTTGAACCCGGGAGGTAGAGTCTGCAGTGAGTTGAGATTGCACCACTGCTCTCCCGCCTGGGCAAGAGACTCTGTCTCATAAAAACCAAAAACAGGCCGGGCACAGTGGCTCATGCCTGTAATCCCAGCACTTTGAGAGGCCAAGGCGGGCAGATCACGAGGTCAGGAGATCGAGACCATCTTGGCTAACACGGTGAAACCCCGTCTCTACTAAAAATACAAAAAATTAGCCGGGTGTGGTGGCAGGTGCCTGTAGTCCCAGCTGCTCGGGAGGCTGAGGCAGGAGAATGGCGTGAACCCGGGAGGTGGAGCTTGCGGTGAGCCGAGATGGCGCCACTGCACTCCAGCCTGCGGGACAGAGAGAGACTCCGTTTCAAAAACAAACAAACAAACAAACAGAAAACAAACAAACAAAACTCTTGTAGTCTCGTATTTAAATTGAAAGTTTTATTATGAACTCATGTGTTGTATCTTACAAGAAAAATAATTTCCTAACATCGTTCATTGAAAAGGTCCAGGAAAAATGACCAACCCAGTAGCAATGAGTAGCTGGGATTACAAGCATGTGCCACCACACCTGGCTAATTTTGTATTTTTAGTAGAGACGGGGTTTCTCCATGTTGGTCAGGCTGGTCTCGAACTCCCGACCTCAGGTGATCTGCCCGCCTGGGCCTCCCAAAGTGCTGGGATTATAGGCATGAGCCACCGTGCCTGGCAGCAAAGAAGCTCTTAAAGACTATAAAGGTCATGTCAAAAAAATTCAGAAGTCAACTTCCAGAGACTCCTGTTAACTAAAAATGGAATATTTTGAGCATCAATAAGTATAATAACCACAAAGGACTGAAACATCAAATATTTTAAATATGTAGAGGATGCTAGGGAACCAATGCATATTCTCAAAACTAGTAAATAAAGGGAAGTAATCATCTTTTCTGTTTCCTTTCCTGTATAAACGTTACTCCAAGGGACCACACAATAATAAGAAATTTCTAACTCATAAATTAAAATGAGTGATAGAATTAAAAGATTAATGTTTTGCAATCCTTGGTGAATTAGCAGATCCAGACAATGGTCCTAAATGAATCTGAAGTAGTCATTAAATGTAACTACTAATTTATAGGAAACACAGAAGAGAGAGGAACACATTAGTCAACAGAATCCAGACTGTACTAACATCTGTAAGACAAACAATCCAGCTTTTAAAAATCAAACGAATAATAAGAAATGAGAGCGAGGAGCTTCCGGGCTGCTGAACACATGGAGGTAGAGGGCGGTGTACCCAGAGAGGACAGGAAAGCTCCGTACCCCTTCCCACATACACCCTGCCTCATGCATCTCTTGTGGCTGGCTGCTCATTTTTCAACATCACCAGTGTTAAATTATGTATCGTCTGATATGATAAAATGAGAAGGCAATTCACCTCTGTGATCTTCCACCTAAACATCTATAATCCAAATCTAATCATGATAAAATATCAAACCTATGAAGACAAAATTGAGAGACACTGTACAAAATACACTTCGACCTGTCAAGGTCATGAACAAGGAAAATCTAAGAAACTGTCATAGATTGGAGAAAACATTATGACTAAATGCAATGTGGGATCCCCAATTGGATCCTGCAACAGAAAAGGACATTTGTGGAAAATCTGGAGAAATCTGAATAAAATCTATAGTTACTAGTATTGTAGTAATGTTCATTTCTTTTGCCCCCCACTTTTTTTTTTTTTGAGACCAAGTCTTGCTCCATAGCCCAGGCTGGAGTGCAGTGGCATGATCTCGGCTCACCGCAACCTCCACCTCCTGGGTTCAAGCGACTCTCCTGCCTCAGCCTCCAGAACATCTGGAATTACAGGCACACACAACTGTACCTGGCTAATTTTTTGTATTTTTAGTAGAGATAGGGTTTCACCATGTTGGCCAGGCTGGTCTTGAACTCCCGACCTCAAGTAATCCGCCCACCTCGGCCTCCCAAAATGCTGGGATTACAGGCATGAGGAACCGAGCTCAGCCCTTTTTTCTCTTTGAGACGGGGTCTTGTGGGTTGACCAGGCTGGAGTGCACTGGTGTGATCATGGCTCACTGTAGCTTCAAACTCCCGAACTCAAGCAATCCTCCTGCCTCCACCATACAAGTAGCTAAGAATATAAGCATGTGCAACCACACCCACCTAATTTTTAAATTTTTCTGCAGCAATGGGGTCTTTCTAGATTGCCCAGGCTGGTCTCAAACTCCTGGACTCAAACAATTCTCCTACCGCAGCCTCTCAAAGTGCTGGGATTACAGGAAGGAGCCACCGCACCCGGCCAATGTTCATTTCTCAATTTTGACAAATGTACTATAATGTAAGATGTTAACATTTGGGGAAGCAGGATGAAGGATAGATGGGAACTCTCTATACTACATTTGCAACTTCAGTAAACCCAAAAATGGCTGGGCACGGTGGCTCACACCTGTAATCCTAGCACTCTGGGAGGCCAAGGTGGGAGGATCCCTTCAGTCCAGGAGTTTAAGACCACCCTGGACAACATGGCAAAACTCTATTTCTATTTCCCTATATTTTTAAGAAGAAAATTTAAAAAATAATTATTCTAAAATAAGACCAAAAAAAAGAAATGAGAGAAAGGGAAGGAAAACCCATACAGAATAGAAAATACATAAAAGGCAACCAATTGGAAAATTGAAATGTGTGAATCTTATTTGTATCTGAATTAAACAAACTGCAAAAAGTAAAAAAAAAAAAAAAAAAAAAAAAAAAATTGTAATACCACAATACCACACTGCACTGACTAAAATAGCTAAAATGAATGAAACTGACAATGCCAAATGTTGGCAAGCACATGAAGCAATCAGAACTCTCATATATTGTCGACAGAGGTGTAAAATGATATAAATGCTTTGGAAAACTTGCCAATCGTTTATTTAAAAGTTAAACAATCATTTACTCTATGACCCAGCAATTTCACTCCTAGGTATTTATCCAAAAAACAGTGAAAACATATGTACATAGAAAGCTTTATATAAGAATACTCATTGCAGCTTTATTCACAATAGCCTAAACGTGGGCAAGGCCCAGGTGTCCATCAAAGGGAGAATGGATAAAAAACTGTATTATGTTCGTACAACAGAATATTACTCAGTAATTAAAAGAAATGATTAGTAGCAAATGTACCAGTAACATACACAACATGAATAAAACTCAAAAGCATGCTGAGTGAGTCCAGGCGCGGTGGCTCACACCTGTAATCCCAGCACTCTGGGAGGCCAAGGCAGGTGGATCACCTGAGGTCAGGGGTTCGAGACCAATCTGGCCAACATGGTGAAACCCCGTCTCTACTAAAAATACAAAATTAGCCAGGCGCGGTGGTGGACGCCTATAATAATCCCAGCTACCTGGGAGGCTGAGGCAGGAGAACTGCTTGAACCCGGGAGGCGGAGGTTGCAGTGAGCCGAGATTGTGCAATTGCACTCCAGCCTGGGCAATAGAGCAAGACTGTCACAAAAAAAAAATAAATAAATAAATAAAAAAGCTGAGTGAAAGAAACCAGAAACAACAGAAGTGTACATACAGTATGATTCCATATATATGCAGTTCTAGAATATGCAAAACCAATCTACGCTGATAAAAAAAAAAATCAGAACAGTGATTGTTTCAAGGGTAAAAAAGGCAGCAGGGTTTTAGATATTAAGCCTTTATGAAATGACGGGGAATGTGAAAAGTGACTAGAATTACGTAGAGACCTAATGAAATACTGAAAGATGAAATGATATACTGTCTAGGATACTTGCTTCAAAATAATCTAGAAAGGTGATGGTTTAGGCTGGGTGCAGTAGCTCACGCTTGTCATCCCAGCACTTTGGGTGGCCGAGGTGGGCAGATCACCTGAGGTCAGGAGTTCAAGACCAGCCTGGACAACATGGTGAAACCCTGTCTCTACAAAAATTAGCCGGGCACGGTGGTGTGTGCCTGTAATCTGAGCTACTCAGGAGGCTGAGGCGGGAGAATCGCTTGGACCCAGGAGTCGGAGGTTGCAGTGAGCCGAAATCAACCCACTGGACTCCAGCCTGGGCGACAGGGCAAGACTCTGTCTCAAAAAAAAAAAAAAGAAAAGATAAAAGAAAAGGTGATGGTTTAGATAAAGTAAGATTGGCCACGAGTCAATAATTTTAAGAGTTAGTGATGGGTAAACGGAAATTTATTACCATTATGTAGTAGTTGGTTACAATGACAACCACATTTTCATCTGAGCACGTACTATGAATATGCCTAGCACATGATGTATTATGAGATCCAAGAGAGAAATTTTGGAGTCTATGCCTATACTAAATTCATAACCCTCTTGGGACTTTCAGCCTAAGTACATCATGTGGAGCCAAGAGCCACCCTCACTGTGCCTAATCTGAATGCCTGACCCACAAAACTGTGGGAGATAATAAAATGGTCATTTTTAAGCATGAGGTTTTGAGGTAGCTGTTACATAGCAATAGATAACCAAACATCATTCTCTCTTGTGTATATCTGAACTTTTCTATAATAACAAGTAAAAAAAAAATAATCTGAAGACCACACAGGAGGTCTTCAGATTACACAGGCACTTAGAACTTGTTATACCTTTTGTTAATGACAAAAAAAAAGTCATGATTTGTGAGATTACACTACCAATAAGCAACACATTTTCATCTGAGCACGTACTACGAATATATCTAGCACATGAGGTATTATGAAATCCAACAGAGAAATTTCAGAGTCTATATCTATACTAAATTCATAATCACTCTCAATTCAGCAAGTACCAAAAGACATGTAAATATGACAACACACACATTAGTTGAAGAGACTGTCATTTGTAAAACTGTATTTTAGAATATTAATTGTTTCTCAACCAACTTTACTGTGAGATAAACAATAAAAACTTTCTACATCACAGACACACCAAAGAAGGCACAAGGCAGTTTTACAAAAAGTTGAATTAATATTATTCAACTCCTGGACCAAACCTCAGCACTTCTGAACCACAATCTCTCACAGAAGAGTCTAGAAATCTACATTTATAAGAAGCTCCCAGGCAGTTCTTATGTACTGAAGTTTAAGAATCACTGGTATAAAAGGGTGTGGCAGAAAGAGCTGCCTTGACTTGTTCAAAGTTCTAAGAATTACAAGACAAAAATAGGCATAGAATTCAGAAATCCTGGTTAACACACCACCTACCACAGCATGAGTAACTCCCAAAAATACAGCTCTGTGACATGACAAAAGTACTGAAAACCATTTAAAGTTATCTGAGGCAAAAAAATCAAGTTTTGTGTAGAAAGCTAAAATTTGGTCATCATGCCTATAGAAGGAAAGATTCACTGGGAATAAATAAGATGGGCCACAAAAAGGAAGTATTAGTAACCCCCAAAAGCTCCCCAAAGTAAAGGACAGTACTCTGAAATGTGATTGTATGGGTGTTGAATACGTGAGAAAAGGATGATGTAATCAGAATGAAGTGATGTGGAGTGAAACTTAGTCAGTGCTTTCAGCATTATGAAGAAGACATGATGCCAGAATAGCTAAAGAAAGCTCATGGTCAGCTTTCCTACAGTGAATAAGCATGACTACCAACCTACCCAAGCTATACTGAATTATCCCTTAAGGAGTTATTTCACAATGTGAATGAATAAATTTGTATTCTGGCTCTAGGTATTCTCGCATTAATTTGGGAAAAATAAACCAGCTTTCTGAAGACCTGATAACCTTGGTGAAATTAACTCAAATCCACAGCTACTTTGAACAGTCTCCTAACCCTTCATTTTTGCATTTAAAGGGGGAAAAAATTTATTCCAAGTCTTACAATTACTGAAGCCATTAAAAGACTGAAATTGTTTAGAGATGGATAGAGGAAGGCTAGTTAGTTGGCTCCCAAGAACTCTAACTGGTTCTTTGATTAATTCATTGTGGCCTAGAATCTGACCCTGAATATTATAAGCCCAGAAACTCATTTTAATAGGACTCCACCAATAGTCAGGCTCAGAGATGCTGATTCACCCTTTCTAAACTTTTAAGAGACTGAAGTAAATATACTGCAGTGCTGTAGGAGGCCCAATTCTAAAGATGTTCTCTGGCTGGGCATGGTGGCTCATGTCTATAATTCCAGCACTTTGGGAGGCCTAGGTGGAAGGATAACTTGAACCCCTGAGTTCGAGACCTGCCTGGGCAACATGGAGAAACCCTGTCTCTATTTTTTTTTTCAATAAATAAATAAAATAAAAATAAAGATGTTCCCCTCATCCTAAGATTCCTGTCTTCTGACTAGTCCATCAAACACTAGCGAGGTACTGCTGGGAAAGGACTTTACAGATGGAATAAAGGTTACTAATCAGCTGACCTTAAAGTAGAGAGACTATCCTGGATTACCCTGATAGGCCCAATGTAATCCACATGAGTCCTTATACATAGTTGAGGTGCCTGCTGTGGTGGCTCACACCTGTAATCCCAGCACTTTAGGAGGTTGAGGGTTGAGGTGGGAGGATCACTTGAGCCCAGGAGTTTGAGACCAGCCTGAATAACACAGAAAGACCCCTAGACGCCTGAATAACATAGAAAGGCCCCTAGACCCCTGTCTACAAAATTTTTCTTTTTCTTTTTTTTTTTTTTTTGAGACGGAGTCTCACTCTGTTGCCCAGGCTGGAGTGCAGTGGCACAATCTTGGCTCAATACAAGCTCTGCCTCCCGGGTTCACATCATTCTCCCGCCTCAACCTCCCGAGTAGCTGGGACTACAGGCGCCCACCACCACACCTGGCTAATTTTTTGTGTTTTTAGTAGAGATGGGGTTTCACCATGTTAGCCAGGATGGTCTCGATCTCCTGACCTTGTGATCCACCCGCCTCGGCCTCCCAAAGTGCTGGGATTACAGGCATGAGCCACCAAGCCTGGCCTACAAAAAAAATTTTTAAATTAGCCAGGCATGGTGGCTTGTGCCTATAGTCCCAGCTAGTCAGGTGGCTGAGATAGGATAGCTTAAGCCTGGGAGGTCGAGGTTACAGTGAGCTGTGATTGTGCCACTGCTCTTTAGCCTGGGTGATAGAGTGAGACCCTGTCTCAAAGTAGAAGAGGAAAGCAGAAGAATCACTCATAAAGATTCAGCACAGGAAAGATAAGGCAATAGGAGAGGTCATAGAGATTCCCTGGATTTCATCAACAACCTCAAGGACTTCCTGTGCTCCTGGCTTTGAGGATGGAGAAAGGGGGCCCAGAGCCAGGGAATGCAGACAGCCTGTGGAAACGGAGAACATGCCCTGATCAAAACAGTGGCATCCTTCCTAAAACCTTAAGGCAGTGAATTCTGCCAACAACCTGAAAGAACCTAGAAGTGGATTCTACCCCAGGGCCTCCAGGTGAGAGCCCAGGCTGGCCAACATCTTCATTTCAGCCTTATGGAACCTGGAGCAAACCAGCTGAGCCTAATGATCTTCTGATCCACAGAACTGTGAGACAAATTTGTGTTGTCTTAAGATATCTAATTTTTGGTAATTTGTTGCAGCATCGATAGAAAATATAGATTAATCTACTATGTGAAATTTTAACTGTCAAGCCTGCCAGGATCCTTTCCTGTAAGAACAACTGCATGGGGGCCAAATGTCAGAAAACTGCTTGAAGTAGGAGATTTAGTTATATGCTTAATATGTTCTGATAACTGACAAAACTGTCTTTTTTTTTTTGAGATGGAGTCTCACTCTGTCGCCCAGGCTGGAGTGCAGTGGTGCGATCTTGGCTCACTGCAACCTCTGCCTCCTGGGTTCAAGCGATTCTCCTGCCTCAGACGCCCAAGTAGCTGAGACTACAGGTGCACATCACCACACTCAGCTAATTTTTGTATTCTTAATAGAGACAGGGTTTCACCTTATATTGGCTAGGCTGGTCTTGAACTCCTGACCTCAAGTGATCTGCCCAACCTGGCCTCTGGAAGTGCTAGGATTACAGGCGTGAGTTACTGTGCCTGGCCAACAAAACTATCTTGACAAAGGTATATATACCCGTCAAGCAGACTGGATATTCACTTTGGCTTATTAAACCACCCACTCCCATGGCCAGGGCTTGGAAGGACACTACGAACACTCTTATTCCTTCTTTAAGTGTGGCATTACAATTAAGCTATAGCCAAGTTTTATTCAAGCTTATAAACCAGTCTGCCTCTTCAGTGATTTTATGTATTAATTCATTTGCTGTGTTCACTTTATAACCTGACTCTCAGAAGGTAACTAATTTCCCCAAGGCAAGGGAATGAACTGCTCAACAAAAACACCACTGTCCACATGAACCACATAAAAATACCATGAGCACACAGTGACAACACATTGGCTATGTTTATCAATGAGTTTAAAAAGCAGCATACCTGTTATCCTCATATCAAAAGTATTTCCTTTGAATAATTTCCAAATTTCAAACAAAAATCTGAGTATATAAAACTATTTTTGTGCTTAAATACCTTGATAGATCCACAAAACCCTAAAAAACTTATTGGATAACAATTACCTATTTCCGAAGGGGAGAAAAGGTAAAGATACTCAGAGATTAAGAAAACTAATTCCCTGAAGTCCAAGAGAGCTTAAAGAAAAATGGAAAAGAAAAACTACTTCCCAGTCTAATTCTTAAAAAAAGTGAACAGAAATTCCCAGCAACTTCATCATTACCATTATTTCATAAGTATGATCGCTTTGATGTTTCTTGTACTCAAAGCCTCGAGTGAAACACTGCAAAGAAAGAAAAATTAAATTAGCAAAAGCTACTTTCTTAAAGGACAGAGGAGGTTTGTGTTATTCTTCTGACAAGTTTGGGTTTTTAAAATTTTATTTTTGGAGACAGGGTCTCGTTCTGTCACCCAGGCCGAAGTGCAGTGGCACCATCATAGCTCACTGCAGCCTTGAACTCCTAGGCTCAAGGGATCCTTGTACCTCAGTCTCCCAAAGTGCTAAGATTACAGGTGTGGGCCACCACACCACTTCTTGACAAGTTTTTTTTTTTTTTTTTTTTTTTTCTGAGACGGAGTCTTGCTCTTTCACCCAGGCTAGAGTGGCGCCATCTCAGCTCACTGCAACCTCTGCCTCCCAGGTTCAAGTTGATTCTCCTGCTTCAGCCTCTCGAGTAGCTGGGATTACAGGCAGCCGGCACAACACTCAGCTAATTTTCGTATTTTTAGCAGAGACGGGATTTCACCACCTTGGCCAGGCTGGCCTCGAACTCCTGATCTTGTGATTCACCTTTCTTGGCCTCCCAAAGTGCTGGGATTACAGGCGTGAGCCACCGAGCCCGGACAACAATTTTTTAAGGATTCATTTAATCTTGTCTGCAGCTGCAATAGAATGGTGGAATCATGATCACAGCTTTTCAGTGGCCCTCATGGAGAAAAAACAAGTCTGAAAAAAATACTTTTTTCTAAGACAACTCTTTGAGGAGAGCATATGCCCTGGAATCACAATCATATAGCCTAAATTTGAATCCTGGCTCTGAAACCGTATTTCAGCCATTCTAAGATAAATATTGTTTCATATTTTAAACTCTGGGCTGGGCATTGTGGCTTGTGCCCATAGACCTAGTTACTCAGGGCAGGCTGAGGGAGGAGGATCATTGAGCCCAGGAGGTCGAGGCTGCAGTGAGCTATGATTATACCACTGCACTCCAGGCTGAACAGCAGAGCAAGACCCCATCTCTAAAAAAAATTCTTTATTTTTTTTTAAAGAAAAATAAAAAGTCCCTGAAGTAGGCCTGGAGTAATCCTAGCATTCTGGGAGGCTGAGGTGATAGGATTGCTTGAGCTCAAGAGTTCCAGACCAGCCTGAGCAACAAGGCGAGACCCTTTCTCCACAGAAAAAAAAAAAAAAAAAAAATTAGCTGGACATGGTGGCACAAGCATGTAGTCCCAGATACTTGGGAAGCTGAGGTAGAAGGATCACTTAAGCCTGGAAGATAGAGGTGGCATTGAGCCATGATCATGCCACTGCACTCCAGCCTAGAGGACACAGTGAAACCCTGTCTCAAAAAAATAAAAAAACTCTCTGAAATCAAGATTCATCTTATAATCGAAAGTACATCACAACTTTCATCAGCCAGTTTTACATTTTAACATTTCTGAAATTGAGGTGCTTCTTATAATCAATGGTGTCTTAGATCTGATAAAATATGGTATTTGCTGTGTGACCCTGAACAAGTTACTTAACCTCTCTTAGCCTAAATTTCTTCATCTATAAAATGGGGATACTAATCATAGGTACTTCATAGGATTACAGTGATGATTTAAGGGTTAATTCATGTAAAGTACTCAAAGTGGTGCCTGGGACAGAGCAAGTACTTATAATTAGTATTATTATTACCATTATCACCCACAAAAATTGTTTCTTCCCTTGTCATCTGTACAGAGATCAGTCTTCAACAAGACAATAAACAGTGTCATCAAAAGGAATAATCTTCCAGTTATGTTTCCTGTAATTTCAATACTTTAAATTAACTTAAAAAAACAGTGTTATGGCCGGGCGTGGTAGCTCACGCCTGTAATCCCAGCACTTTGGGGGCTGAGGCAGGAGGATCACTTGAGGTCAGGAGTTTGAGACCAGCATGGCCAACATGAGAAAACCCCATCTCTACCAAAAATATAAAAAATTAGCTGGGAATGGTGGCATGCACCTGTAACCACAGCTACTCGGGAGGTTGAAGCAGGAGAATCCCTTGAAGCAGGAGAATCCCTTGAACCCGAGAGGCACAGCTTGCAGTGAACCGAGATCACGCCACTGCACTCCAGCCTGGGTGATAGAGCAAGACTCTGTCGTGGAAAAGAAAAAAAAGAAAAAATAGCTGGGCACGGTGGCTCACGCCCTGTAATCCCAGCACTTTGGGAGACCGAGGCAGGCAGATCACCTGAGGTCTGGAGTTCAAGACCAGCCTGACCAACGTGGAGAAACCCTGTCTATACTAAAAATACAAAATTAGCCGGGTGTGGTGGCGCATGCCTGTAATCCCAGCTACTCAGGAGGCTGAGGCAGGAGAATCGCTTGAACCCGGGAGGCAGAGGTTGCGGTGAGCCAAGATCACACCATTGCACTCCAGCCTGGAAAACAATAGCGAAACTCCCGTCTCAACAAAACAACAACAACAAAAAAAACAGTGTTAACTATTAGGGTTTTGTTTGTTTTTTGATACAGAGTCTTGCTCTGTCGCCCAGGCTGGAGTGCAATCTGCGAGGCAAGAGAATCACTTGAACCCGGGAGGCAGAGGTTGCAGGGAGCCAAGATTGTGCCACTACACTCCAGCCTGGTGACACAGCGAGACTTCGTCTCAAAAAAAAAAAAAAGATTCTCCTGCCTCAGCCTCCCAAGTAGCTGGGATTACAGGCACCCGCCATCATGCCCAGCTAATTTTTTTTTATTTTTGTGGAGATGGGATTTCACCATGTTGAACCATGTTGACCGGGCTGGTCTTGAACTCTTGACCTCAGGGGATCCACCTGCCTCAGCCTCCAAAAGTGCTAGGACTACAGGCATGAGCCACTGTGCCCGGCCAAGTATTAGGTTTAAACACAGATGTGGACTAATCAACAGTCTGTCTCATCTAACTGCTCTGTTTCTCAACTTTTCACTGGTAAAACGTATAATGAAAAATTGGGGCCGGGTGCGGTGGCTCACGCCTGTAATCCCAGAACTTTGGGAGGCTGAGGCAGATGGATCATGAGGTTAGGAATTCAAAACCACCCTGACCAACATGGTGAAACCCCGTCTCTACTAAAAATACAAAAATCAGCTGGGCATAATGGTGTGTGCCTGTAATCTCAGCTACTCAGGAGGCTGAGGCAGGAGAATCGCTTGAACCTAAGAGGTGGAGATTGCAGTTAGCAGAGATGACACCACTGTACTCCAGCCTGGGCGACTGAGTGAGACTCCATCTCAAAAAAAAAAAAAAGAAAGAAAAAGAAAAATTGGAAGGAATAGATTTAATAAGATATAGATCTCCTTAGCAGTTGACAGTAATCTCCGAAATATTACATCATAAAAAATAGCATAAAACTAGGCTAGGAGAAGCCAGCATTAGTGAGTTACCTGCAAGCAGAGGAAAAAAGGAGGTGGCCCACATTCAGCACACTTGATATAAGGCTCCATGAGGTAGGAGGAGCAGCCTCGGCAAGGTGGCTTATCAGAGGGATCATCTAGAACAAACAGAAAACAAATGCACATTTCAGACCACCTTACGGTTATCTTAAGTGCAAAAAGGTGAAAATCCCCAAATGACCACACAAGTAGTGAGCTAAGCTGAAAAGTTCATGGAGACAAGATGAGCTCATTACAAATAAAAAAAAGCAAAAATTATGATCCTTTTAACTTCAGGGCAGCATTGTTCCTTTTCACACAGCATTTACGTAGATATGAACCCTGCAGAGAAATTTACAAGCATATGTTTGTTTGTTGATTTATTTATATATTTTTAGAGACAGGGTCTTGCTCTGCCACCCAGGCTGGAGTGCAGTGGCTTGACAATAGCTCACTGTAACCTGAAACTCCTGGGCTTAAGCAATCCTCCTGCCTCAGCCTCCCAAGTAGTTAGGACTACAGGCACATGCCACCACACCTGGTTAATTTTTTGTAGAGACGATGTCTCACCATGTTGCCCAGGCTGGTCTTGAACTTTTAGGTTCAAAGAATGTTCCTGCCTTGGCCTCTCAAAGCTCTGGAATTACAGGTATGAGCTACCATGCCCAGTCACAAACACATTTTTAACTGGAAGTTTCATAATATCCCAAACTTATTTTTCCAGGAGCATAAAATGGACACATACCTGCACATACAATATAAAGAAAATCTGACAAAATGTTAACAATTGCTGAATCTAGGTAGCAAGCATATAAATAATCACTGTAGGCCGGCCACATTAGCTTACCCTGTAATTCCAGCACTTTGGGAGGCCAAGGTGGGTGCATTACCTGAGGCCAGAAGTTTGAGACCAGCCTTGCCAACCTGGCGAAACCCTGTCTCTACTAAAAATACAAACAGCCAGGGATGGGGGCGCAGCCTATAATCCCAGCTACTTGGGAAGTTGAGGCACAGAATCACTTGAACCCGGAAGGCAAAGGTTGCCGTGAGCCAAGATTGTGCCACTGCACTCCAGCCTGGGCGACAGAGCTAGACCCTGCCTCAAATAATAATAATAATAATAATAATAATAATAATAATCAGCTGGGCATGGTGGCTCACGCCTGTAATCCCAGCACTTTGGGAGGCTGAGGCAGGCAGATTGCCTGCTCTTAGGAGTTTGAGACCAGCCTGGGCAACACAGTGAAACCCTGTCTCTACTAAAACTACAAAAAAATTGGCTGGGCACGGTGGCTCATGCCTGTAATCCCAGCACTTTGGGGGGCCGAGGCGGGTGGATCATGAGGTGAGGAGTTCAAGACCAGCCTGGCCAAGATGGTGAAACCCCATCTCTACTAAAAACACAAAAATTAGCCAGGTGTGGTGGTGCACACCTGTAATCCCAGCTACTCAGGAGGCTGAGGCAGAGGAATCACTTGAACCCAGAAGGCACAGGTTGCAGTGAGCCGAGATCGCGCCGCTGCACTCCAGCCTGGGCGACAGAGTAAGACTCTGTCTCAAAAAAAAAACAAAAAAATTAGCCAAGCATGGCGGTATGCATCTGTAGTCCCAGCTACACAGGAGGCTGAGGCAGAAGAACTGCTTGAACCCGGGAGGCGGAGGTTGCAGTGATCCGAGATCACGCCACTGCACTCCAGTCTGGGCAACAGAGAGAGACTCCGTCTCCAAAAAAAAATAAAAAAATAAAAAAACACATCATCATCATTGTACTGTTCTTTTGACTTTTCTATTTAAGTTTAAAACTTTTCATAATAAAAAGTTGGGGCAAATAAGAGAAAACTCCTTTTTTTTTTGAGATAGGGTCTCACTCTGTCACCTAGGCTGAAGTGTGGTTGCACGATCATGCCTCAATGCAGCCTCAACCTCCCAGGCTCAAATGAGCCTCCCACCTCAGCCTCCTAACTAGCAGGGACTACAGGCACAAGCCACCACACCCGGGTACTTTTTTAAAATTTATTTTCTGTAGAGACAAGAGTTTCACTATGTTGCCTAGGCTGGTCTTGAATTCCTGGGCTCAAACGGTTCCAGGAATTTGAGCTGCCTCAGCTTCCTAAAGTGTTGGGATTACAGGTATGAGCCATCACACTCAGCTAGCCTCTAAATACATGTCTCTTCTAAATACATATTTTGGAATATACTATTTTATATTTGGGTTCGGATTTTTCTTTTTTTTCTTGAGACAGGGTCTTCTTGAGACAGAGTCTTCTTGAGACAGGGTCTTAGACTGTTGCCCAGGCTGGAGTGCAGTGGTGAGATCATGGCTCACTGTGGCTTCAATCTCCCCAGGCTCAGGTGTTCCTCCCACCTCAGCCTCCCAAGAGGAGGGACAGACTTGCACCACTGCGCCTGGCTAAATTTTTAATTTTTGTAGAGACAGGGTCTCACTGTGTTGCCCACACTGGTCTTAAGAAGTCCTCCTGCCTCAGCTTCCCAAAGTGGTGGAATTATAGGCATGAGCCACCACACCTGGCTCTGAGTGGGAATTGAAACCCAGGAAGCTTCCTCCCTTTCTCCCATGGTAAGTACATAACACAGCAGATCTTCTACTCCAATGACAGTGGTATGTCTCCAAACTATGAAGACAAGGAGTACAATCCAAACTCTCAAAACTCATAAAAATGCAGATATATGTGTCCCTGGTTGCCCCAAATTCGGCCTCTGGAGTCACGGCAACCTAGCAAAATTGTTCTCTATGATCAATCACAAGAATCTAAGAGAAGAAAAGCTTTGAAGGTAGATGAAGGAATTTAATTTGTTCAGCCTGGAACAGGATTTCTCACATTCTGTAACAGTATTTGCCTCCCTAAAGTCCAAGAAATGTTCTTCAAGGTACCTTTCCCTCTTCCAAGTGAAGATCACTGTTCTCTTTATTTGTTTTTAAGAAGATAGAGAGAGTAGGCACGGTGGCTCAAACCTATAATCCCAGCACTTTCGGAGGCTGAGGCGGGTTGATCACTTGAGCTCAGGAGTTCAAGACTAACCTGACCAGCATGGCGAAACCCCATCTCCACTAAAAATACAAAAATTAGCCAGGTGTGGTGGTGGGCACCTGTAATCTCAGCTACTCAGGAGGCTGAGGCAGGAGAATTGTTTGAACCCGGGAGGCAGAGGTTGCAGTAAGCTGAGATCGTGCCATTGCACTCCAGCCTGGGTGACAAGAGCGAAACTCCATCTCAAAAAAAAAAAAAAAGACACAGAAGAAAATGATGAAAGAAAAAAATGTACTCCTGGCAGTAGCTTCAAATTCAATATATGAAACTGCGCAGCTACTCCATTTCCCCCATTTTAAATTTTAATGCAGAAGAACAAATCTTGCTATGTTGCTCAGGCTGGTCTCAAACTTCCAGCCTCAAGTGATCCTTCTGCCCCAGCCTCCCAAAGTACTGTGATTACAGGAGTGAGCCACTGCGCTGAGCCAAAAATTATTGTATATTAAGTGACAGGTGCCAACTTCTACCAAGTTACCCTCTTCCTCACTTCCTGTTAGATATAAGCTTGCTTCTCTCTTTCCTCCAACTATCCTATTTTTAAAAAAGGCATCAGCCACTGAGCAAAGTAGTTTTTTTTTTTGAGACGGAGTCTTGCTCTGTCGCCCAGGCTGAAGTGCAGTGGCGCGATCTCAGCTCACTGCAAGCTCCACCTCCTGGATTCAGGCGATTCTTCTCCCTCAGCCTCCCGAGTAGCTGGGACTACAAGTGCACACCACCACGACTGGCTAATTTTTTATATTTTTAGTAGAGACAGGGTTTCACCATATTGGCCAGGCTGGTCTCGAACTCCTGAAAAGTGGTCTTTTTTTTTTTTTGAGACAGTGTCTCACTCTGGTTACCCAGGCTGCAGTGCAATGGCTTGATCTCAGCTCACTGAAACCTCTGCCTCCCACGTTCAAGCAATTCTCATGCCTCAGCCTCCCAAGTAGCTGGGATTACATGTATGTGCACTACACCCAGCTAAATTTTGTACTTTTAGTAGAGGGGGGGTTTTCCCATGTTGCCCAGGCTGGTCTTGAACTCCTGGATTCAAGCAATCTACCTGGCGTAGCCTCCCAAAGTGCTAGGATTGCAGGCCCAAAGTGATTTTTTAAATCCTTATGTCAAGAAGCAATTACTGCACGGGCCACGGTGGCTCATGCACGTAATTCCAGCACTCTGGGAGACCAAGGTGGGTGGATCACTTGAGCTCAGGAGTTCGAGACCAGCCTGGGGAACATGGTGAAACCATGTCTCTACAAAAAAAAACCCCACAAAATTAGGCAGGTGCAGTGGTGCATGCTTGGTGGTCCCAGCTATACGGAGGCCTGAAGTAGGAGGATCACTTGAGCTGAGATCGAGTCTGCAGTAAGCCTTGAGCATGCCACTGCACTCCAGCCTGGGTAAGAAAGCAAGACCCTCTCTCAAAAAGAAAAAAAAAAGCAATTACTTTGTAAAAGTAAGTTCTTAACATTCCAGACTAAAATAAAACTGTAAAGTATGTCATCCACAATTAGCATTTTGAAAAATATTTTTCCAACCTTTCTTCTATATAATATAGTACATATATTCAACAAAAGTAGAGGCTGGGCTCTGTGGGTCATGCCTGTAACCCCAGCACTTTGGGAGGAAAAGGCAGGATGATCGCTTCAGCTTAGGAAGTCAAGACCACCCTGGGCAATACTGCAAGACCCTGCTTCTACCAAAAATAATAAAAAGAAAAAATAGCCAGGCACGGTGGCTCATACCTGTAATCCCAGCACTTTGGGAGGCTGAGCCGGGTGGCTCACTAGAGGTTAGGGGTTTAAGACCAGACTGGCCAACATGGTGAAACCCCACCTCTACTAAAAATAAAAAATTAGCTGGATGTGGTGGTGGGCGCCTAATCCCAGCTACTCAGGAGCTGAGGCAGGAGAATCACTTGAACGCAGGAGGGAGAGGTTGCAGTGAGCCGAGATCACGCCACTGCACTCCAGCCTGGGTGACAACAGCGAAACTCCGTCTCAAAAAAAAAAAAGAAAAAGAAAAAGTGGAATATCATACATGTTTTTTCACTTGACAACAAATTGCGGACATGTTTTCATGACAATACACATTGACCTTCCTTGTTCTTTCTAATGGATAAATAACATTCCATTGTATTAATTATATTATATAACCTAATTGTACTCAACTCCCCCCTAGGGAGCCATTTGGAAATCTGAGGAGGTACCTTTTTGTTTCCACAATGATCAGTGCCCCACTGGCATTCTGCAGGCCCCTAAAACAGGGATTCTAGGTATCCTACAATGCTCAATACATTCTAATAAAAATTGACTTTTTTGTGTGTCCTGTGCAACTTTCAAATGTCCCACCAGACATTCAAGTGAATGAAAAATCTCATATGACCTAGAAGCTAATTCCATGTTATATATAAAGCAAAGTATTTTTGAGAATTTTAATATGCACTGAAATTTCCAGACAGGCAATTGTATATAAGTCTAGAGGAGAATGTATTTTGTTTTGTTCAGAACGTTTAGTTATTCTAGCTTGTGGTGTTTCTTAGTCACCAACATGACACGCTTGAATCATTCTGCATTTGTATATGCACAGTGATTCAACATATGGGTTCAAGTATCTAGTACTTAAATCATGTCTTCTATTGTAATTATGTCTAAACATATTGAAATACATATTGCTTTATTATAAATTGCATTGTTTTACCATAGATTACTTCTCTTGTATTTATCTCTTTTATTATAGTTAGAGCATTATTATTTTTAATTTTTGAAATTATGTATGCCAGGCATGGTGGCTCATGCCTGTAATCCCAGCACTTTGGGAGGCCAAGACAGGTGGACCACTTGAGGCCAGAAGTTCAAGACCAGCCTGGTCAAGATGGCGAAACCCCACCTCCAATAAAAATACAAAAATTGTCTGGGCCTGGTGACGCACACCTGTAGTCCTAGCTACTCGGGAGGCTGTGGCATGAGAATCACTTGAACCTAGGAGGCAGAGATGGCAGTGAGCTGAGATCATGCCACTGCACTCTAGCATGGGCAACAGAGCGAGACTATGTCTCAAGAAAAAAAAAGAAATCACATATGTAGACATATTGTCTTATGTATTTTATTTCCAAATAGTAAACTTGGCTGATTGCAAACTCTCCCTCCCAGACTCAGTGATCCTCCCACCTCAGCCTCCCTAGTATCTGGGACTACAGGTGCATGCCACCATGCCCAGCTAATTTTTTTTTTTTGAGACGGAGTCTTGCTCTGTTGCCCAGGCTGTAGTGCAGTGGCGCGATCTCAGCTCACTGCAACCTCTGCCTCCCGGGTTCAAGCGACTCTCCTGCCTCAGCCTCCCAAGTAGCTGGAATTACGCCCACCAACACACCCAGCTAATTTTTGTATTTTCGGTAGAGGCGGGGTTTCACCATGTTGGCCAGGCTGGTCTCGAACTCCTGACCTCAGGTGATCCGTCTGCCTCAGCCTCCCAGAGTGCTGGGATTACAGTCGTGAGCCATTGTGCCCGGTCTTTTGTATGTACATTTCACATCTGTTCCTCAGGATATATATTTTCCTAGAACTAAAATTGTTGAGTGTACAGTTATTGAGCATTTTTAGGTTTTTGATACACAGAGCCCAACTGTCCTTCAAAAGGTATTTCAAAATTTTTTAAAATCTAAGAGAAAGACTTTTTATCTAATTTTTCACTGAGATAACAGGAAACAAGAGAGAGGCTTTTTTTTTTTTGAGGCGGACTCTCGTTCTGTTGCCAGGCTGGCAGGCTGGAAGGCTGGAGTGTAGTGGTGCGATCTTGGCTCACTGCAACTTCTGCCTCCCAGGTTCAAGTGATTCTCCTGCCTCAGCCTCTCAAGTAGTTGGGACTATAGGTGTGTGCCACCATGCCCAGCTAATTTTTGTATTTTCAGTAGAGATGGCGTTTCACCATGTTGGCCATGATGGTCTCAATCTCTTGACCTCGTGATCTGCCTGCCTCGGCCTCCCAAAGTGCTGGGATTACAGGCGTGAGCCACCATGTGTGGCCGAGTGAGGCTTTTTAACCATCATTCAAATTCAATAAAGGGTTAATAAACTTGACTACATTAATAAAAAGAAAACAAAAAACTTTTTTTGGCAAAAACACCATAAGGAAAGTAAAAAAGCAAGTATACTTTAAGAAAATATTTGTAAACATATCAGAAAAAAAGCACTGAAATCCCTAGTATGCAAACAACTTTAAAAAATTGAGAGGGAGGCCGAGGCAGGCAGATCACCTGAGGTTGGGAGTTCGAGACCAGCCTGGCCAACACGAAGGAAAGCCCATCTCTACTAAAAATACAAAAATTAGCTGGGCATGGCAGCATGTGCCTGTAATCCCAGCTACTTGGGAGGCTGAGGCAGGAGAATCGCTTGAACCCGGGAGACAGAGGTTACGGTGAGCCGAGATCGCACCATTGCACTCCAGCCTGGGTGACAAGAGTGAAACTCCGTTTAAAAAAAAAAAAAAAATTGAGAGGGAGAATAAAAGACCAAAGATCCTGCTGCGAAAGACACAAAGACAATTTGGGGAAAAAAAAGAGACATAAAATGGCCTTAAACATATGAAAAAATGTTCAGCTTCACTCATAAGCAAGATAAAATTTAAAACTACCCTGACATATAGTTTCTCACCCATCAGATTGGCAAAAGTTTCAATGCCTGACAATATAATTAGTCAGGCTGTGGGAATATAGACACTTTTTTTTTTTTTTTTTTTGAGAAGGAGTTTCACTCTTGTCGCCCAGGCTGGAGTGCAGTGGCACAATCTTGGCTCACTGCAACCTCTGCATCCCAGGTTCAAGCGATTCTCCTGCCTCAGCCTCCTGAGTAGCTGGGATTACAGGCACGTACCACCAAGCCCAGCTAATTTTTTGTATCTTTAGTAGAGGCTTCACCATGGTGGTCAGGCTGGTCTCGAACACCTGACCTCATGATCCACCCACCTCGGCCTCCCAAAGTTCTGGGATTACATGCCTGAGCCACCGCGCCCAGCCGGGGCACTCTTACGTATCACTGGTGGGAATACAAAATAGTACAACTCATATAGAGGGGCATTATCTTTTGACCCAGCAATCTCACTTCCAGGAATTTTTTACCATGAATATACATTTCCAATAATACAAAAATACACACATCCAAGGTTATATATAATATTAGATGTAATTGCAAAATACTACTTAGATGTCCAAGTATAAGCAATTATTTGAATAATAACATATCCACACAATGAAGTATTATGCAACTATAAAAAACAGAATGAGGACAACCTCTACCAACTAATACAGTATTTCCAGGAGATACTATTAAGTGAGGGGAAAAAAGTACAATCCTGGTGCTGATTGAAGAATTTTTTTAAAAGTACAAAAGAACACATATATATAGTATGCTATCTTTCCTATAAGAAATTAGAGGCCAGGCACGGTGGCTTGTGCCTGTAATCCCAGTACTTTGGGAGGCCAAGGCGGGTGGATCACCTGAGATCAGGAGTTCAAGACCAGCCTGGCCAACATGGTGAAATCCCGTATACAAAAATTAGCCAGGTGTGGTGGCAGACACCTGTAATTCCAGCTACTCAGGAGGCTGAGGCAGGACAATCACCTGAATCCAGGAGGTGGAGACTGCAGTAAGCTGAGATCGTGGCACTGCACTCTAGCCTGAGTGACAAGAGCGAAGCTCTGTCTCAAAAAAAAAAAAGAGAAAAGAAAAAGAAAAAAATTAGAGTAAAAAACAGTCCTCTTTTCTTTGCAAAAAGGATTAAGGGACAGATTAAACCAGAAAACAATGAAGTTGGTAAGTACAAGGGGTTGAGGGCAGGGGATAGTGGAATTATATTGATGTTGGGAGCCAGGGTTCTCACTGAGTAGAGACATGTGAATGAGGAATTAATGCAGACAAGAAAAAAGCCCATGATGATGAATTAGAGGTATCAATGTGAACTCATGATTTCCTCAAAAGAAGTATATGTGTACGTAAATGTGCATGTGTGTATGTATACTGGCATATATGTATATAGCACATAACATGCATATATTTCCTAGTTCTGTCAGCCAAAAGGGCCAAGATGCAAAAATATTCTAGTAGATGAAAAGATCTCGGTCTCTGATATGACTCCCTTGTAAAAGTACCAGGACTCCTCAGAGAAGTGGCTGATTCCAGGGCGGGGGGAGTACAGGATGCACTTGGAGTATTTAGTTATGCCAAAAAGGACGGAGATGCTAAAAAGAAAAAAAAAATGATGAGAGTACGCTATAAGGATGTAGGAGCCCATTTGAAGGGACTCCCAGTGGCCAAATTTGGAATAATCCATGAACCTAGCTAGTTATGTATGCTAATAAATCGTAAATCCTTGAAAAAATAGGAATTCCTGTGTCCATAATAAAAAATAAGTAAAAAAGTGAACAGATAAAGAAAATGCGGTACATATATACCATGGAATACTATGCAGCCATAAAAAAGTAATGAGATCACATCCTTTGCAGCAACATGGATGGAGCTGGAGGTCATTATCCTAAGCAAACTAACACAGAAAGAGAAAACCAAATACCCTCTGATCTCACCTACAAGTATGAGCTAAAAAAACAAGAACACATGGACACAAAGAGGGGAACAGAAACCAGGGCCTTCTTGAGGGTGAACAGTGGGAGGAGGGAGAGGACCCAAAAACTACCTCTCGAGTGCTATGCTTATTATCTTGGTGACAAAATAATTTGTACACAAAACCCCTGTGACAAGAAGTTTACCTATATAACAACCCTGCACATGTACCCCTGAACTTAAAATAAAAACTAAAAATGCTAACTAGTAAATGTGGAGAGAGCACTAGATTTGGCAGGGGGTGGGGGGGGAATCATCTTTTTGCAACCTTAATAGTAAAGATTGGGCCAGGCATGGTGGCTTATGCCTATAATACCAACACACTGGGAGGCCAAGGTGGGGGCATCGCTTGAGCCTAGGAATTCAAGGCTCCAGTGGGCTATGATTGTGTCACTGCAGTCCAGCCTGGGTGACACAGTGAGACCCCATCTCTTAAAAATAAAAAAAATTAAAAAATAAAAAACATATATATACACACACACAGAGACAGACAGTGCACATGCAAATGACAAAGCAGATGGAGTAAAAGGTTAACAAAAGGTATGTGGGTATTGTTTGTATTCTTATTCTTGCAACTTAAGTTTGAAATTATTTCCAAAAAGAAGTTTATTTTGGACACTCCCAGCATTAGAGCAGTCCACTTAGATTTCTCTACATGTAAAATGAAAGAGTTGAACTAGATGTGTCTGAAGACTCCATTCTCTCCTAAATTTATATTAGGAGTGTGATCAAAAAGTAAATTAGAGCTCCTTTAAGAAATTGTTCTGTCAGGCCGGGAGCGGTGGCTCACGCTTGTAATCCCAGCACTTTGGGAGGCCAAGGCTGGTGGATCACCTGAGGTCAGGAGTTCAAGACCAGCCTGACCAACAAGGTAAAACCCTGTATCTACTAAAAATACAAAAATTAGCCGGGCGTGGTGGCAGACGCCTATACTCCCAGCTACTCGGGAGGCTGAGACGGAGAATTGCTTGAACCCGGGAGGTGGAGGTTGCAGTAAGCCGAGATCATGCCACTGCACTCCAGCCTGGGTAATGCAGCAAGACTCCATCTCAAAAAAAACACGAATTGTTGAAGAGGAAACAACACCCAAAAAGTACTTTTCTGATTCTTCTCATTAGGATACTACTAAACATCTAACAATGGAATTTCTATTTCTGCCAAATCTCATATATTCAGAATCAGGGAAAAAGAGCAGTATAATTTTTTTTTTTTGAGACAGATTCTTGCTCTTGTCACCCAGGCTGGAGTGCAGTGGCATGATCTTGGTTTACTGTAGCCTCTGCCTCCCAGGTTCAAGCGATTCTCCTGCCTCAGCTCCCGTGTAGCTGGGATTATAGTTACTCGCCATTACCCCCAGCTAATTTTTGTATTTTTAGTAGAGACGGGGTTTTGCCTTGTTGGCCAGGCTGGTCTCAAACTCCTGACCTCATGATCCACCCACCTCGACCTCCCAAAGTGCTGGGATTACAGGCGTGAGCCATGGCACCTGGCCAGTATAATTTTTTTATCCATAGTTATGGCTACTTGAATTTACTTCATACATACCCCATAATTCTCTAAATTATTCTACCGTGGTTTACTCTTAGAAACAAGTTCCACATCAAGGGGGAGGTGGGATGATCTTTCCTTTATCTTACCACTGACACATTTCTTATCAAGGTGCCTGAAACATGTTATTGGTCTAAACAGAAATCCCATGGCTTTTCTAGGTTTAACTACAGGTTAATCAGAATATGCCTGGTCCATCTCAGCCTCATTTTCTTTTTTTTTTTTTTTCTTTTTTTGAGACAGAGTCTCACTCTGTCGCCCAAGCTGGAGTGCAGTGGCACAATCTCAGCTCACTGCAAGCTCCGCCTCCCGGGTTCATGCCATTCTCCTGCCTCAGCCTCCCAAGTAGCTGGGACTACAGGCGCCTGCCACCATGCCTGGCTAATTTTTTTTATTTTTTACTGGAGACGGGATTTCACTGTGTTAGCCAGGATGGTCTCCATCTCCTGATCTCGTGATCTGCCTGCCTCGGCCTCCCAAAGTGCTGGGATTACAGGCGTGAGCCACCACGCCCGGCTGCTTCATTTTCTTGTAAGACCCAGGGTCATATGTTTGTGTCATGTGTTCAATGGGTAATCAATATGTATTAATTGATTTTATTTTGATACTCATAATTCCCTTAGAATCAGAGTCAAAGGGCTTTATTGCCTAACTTCATCGTTTATTTTTCTTCCTTGATCAACTTCCACTCTAGTTTGCTATTAATAGTCACCTGAAGGCCGGGAGTGGTGGCTCACACCTGTAATCCCAGCACTTTGGGAGGCCGAGGTGGGTGGATCACCTGAGGTCGGGAGTTCAAGACCAGTCTGGCCAACATGGTAAAACCCTATCTCTACTAAAAATAAAAATAAAAAAAATTAGCTGTGTGTGGTGGTGCGCGCCTGTAGTCCTAGCTACTCAGGCGGCTGAGGCAGGAGAACCGTTTAAAGCCGGGAGGCAGAAGTTGCAGTGAGCCAACATCATGCCACTGTACCCCAGCCTGGGCAACAGAGGGAGAGTCCATCTCAAAAAAAAAATAATAATAAGTCACCTGAGACTTGTTCCCACTGTACTTACTGCTAAAGGGACCCAAACGGTCCATTCCCTAATTGGCAACGAGTGCTGCTTTGGTCTTCCTCAGCAGAGCTTCTTCAAGACTTCAGAACCGGCCAACACATACACCAAAGCTTGATGACTCCCTAGGAACAAACAAAAGTGGCACATGGATCAGAAAATCATTCAAAGGGACAAGATAAAGAGAAGATATGCAACATACTCAGCTCTGCCACATCTTAGCTTTGTAATGTTGAAAAATTATTCCACCTCTGAAAACCTGTTTCTTCCTCTGTAGTGGGTATAACAGTGCCTACCTTCCAAAGTTGTGAGAATTAAATGTTATAATCAAATATCATAATCCATATAAGTAATGTAGCATGGTACCTGGTCCTCTATAAATGCTACATATTTTTCTTTTTTATGAGGAAGGATCTGGGTCTATGGGGCACTGAGGGTGGCAGGGGCAAATGCTACATATTTCTAATAAACAACTGTTGGCTTTCTCTACTCAGCATCATTTCTCTCCTTAGCTGCCATCTTTATTTGGGAAACTGACCCTCCCACATTTCATGTGATACTGGTGGGGCTGCCAATCACAATACCCCATTCCCCACCCCTGACAAAAGCTAAAGCAACCAGGTCTCTTCTTCCAGAAATCTGGATCTTGAGTAAGACATGAAAGGACAGAAGGCAGTTGGAGCTTAGTTATTCACTAGAATTCATTCAAAGAATTCAGTCCATGTGCTCTGGCTGTTGAAATCCCTAGCCCCAGGTGGCTCAACTGTTTAACTCTTCTCTCATTTCTCTCTCTTTAATAAACTTTAATAAACTCAACTTTAATCATAAGACTGAACGAGTTTCTGTAACTGGAAACCAAAAAATCCTATCTATTACAACATACATTTGTTCCTCACTCTTTCAACAAGTACGTAACAGGGCCAGGCACAGTGGCTCATGCCTGTAATCCCAGCACTCTGGGAGGCTGACGTGGGAGGATTACTGGGACCCAGGAGTTCAAGACCAGCCTGGGCAACATAGGGAGACCCCATCTCTTAAAAAAAAAAAAAAAAGTTAGCCGGGTACAGTGGCCCATGCTTATGGTTCCAGCTACTCAGGAGGATGAGGTGGAACGCTTGGGCCTAGGAGGTCGAGGATGCAGTGAGCCACCACTGCACTCCAGCTTGGAGGACAGACTAAGTCTCTTTTTCTTTTTTTTTTGGAGACACAGTCTGGCTCTGTTGCCCAGGCTGGAGTACTCATTGCAACCTCTGCCTCCCAGGTTCAAGGGATTCTCATTCTCCATTTGGTTCTCATTTTTTATTCTTGTGTCTTGTGCCTCAGCCTCCTGAGAAGCTGGGATTACAAGCATGTGCCACCACCATACCTGGCTAATTGTTTTGTATTTTTAGGAGAGACAGGGTTTCACCATGTTGGCCAGGCTGGTCTCGAACTCTTGGCCTCAAGTGATCCGCCCACCTCGGCCTCCAAAAGTGCTGGAGTGCTGGGATTACAAGTGTGAGCCACCATGCCTGGCCCAAAGTATCTTCTTTGAAGCAGAAATAAAATAATATTTTACACTAAGTCAAAAAATAATCCTTCTTCTGTACACTCACAGCTTTTTGTTTTTGTTTTTGTTTTTTTTTTGAGACTAAGTCTCGCTCTCGTTGCCTAGGCTGGAATGCAATGGCACGATCTCAGCTCACTGCAACTTCCGCCTCCCGGGTTCAAGCGAGTCTCCTGCCTCAGCCTCCCAATTAGCTGGGATTACAGGCGCGGGCCACCAGGCCTGGCTAATTTTTGTATTTTTAGTAGAGACGGGGTTTCACCATGTTGGCCAGGCTGGTCTCGAACTCCTGACCTCAGGCGATCTGCCCACCTCAGCCTCCCCAAGTGCTGGGATTACAGGCATGAGCCACCGCACCCGGCCCACTCACAGCTTTTTATCTGGCATTTTTCACATTCTACTTTGTGAGTATTACTTCTGAATGTCTATTTTCCCCCACTTCTAAATTAAGTGAAAGCAGGCTGGGTGTGGTAGCTCATGTCTGTAACTCCAGCACTTTGGGAGACTGAGGCAGATGAATCTCCAGAGGTCAGGAGTTTCAGACCAGCCTGGGCAACATAGTGAGAACCCCGTCTCTACCAAAAATACAAAAAAATTTGCTTGGCGTGGTGGCGGGCGCCTATAATCCCAGCTACTCGGGAGGCTGAGGCATGAGAGTTGCTTGAACCAGGCAGGTGGAGGTTGCAGTGAGCCGAGATTGTGCCACTGCACTCCAGCCTGGGCAACAGTGCAAGATCCTGTCTCAAAAATAAATAATAAATAAGTGAAAGCAGAGACTATATCGGATACCTATCTGTATGCTTTTAAAATGCCAAGCATACAGGAGGAATACAATAAACACATAGTAGTGGACTAATAAATGTTAATTCTACAAAAGGTTAATTTATCTTTAGCTTTTCTGAAGTGATTTTTTTCACCCTGGTAATTTTTAGCTTGGAGAATAATTCATCACTAAGTGTGGGCAACATTTCTGCTAACGCTGCCATCAAAGAACTTTCCCTTTTTGGGGTGGGGTAGGTCTCCCTTTGCTGTCCTCTCAGGAAAAGTTGAGCTCTGAAGAAAAATGAGTCTAGCAAGGGTGTATTACGAACGCAGCAATCAAATAACAGCCAAATTTACTGAACTTTTTCAATTTGCTAGGTACCCGTGGGTACCAAGGTGTGGGGATTCTTTGAATCCTCACTCCCACACTTTTGGGGCAAGCTGCTTTTTCAAAAGCAAGCAAGCTCTGAAAGAGTATGTTACTTGCGCAGTGTCTTACAAGGGATAGCTGTGTCATTTCAAATACAGATGTCAAGGCTGGACGCAGTGGCTCACGCCTGTAATCCCAGCACTTTAGCAGGCCGAGGCAGGCAGATCACCTGAAGTCGGCAGTTCGAGATCAGCCTGACCAACATGTAGAAACCCTGTCTCTACTAAAAATACAAAATTAGCTGGGCGTGGTGGCGTATGCCTGTAATCCAGCTACTTGGGAGGCTGAGGCAAGAGAACTGCTTGAACCCGGGAGGTGGAGGTTGCGGTGGGCTGAGAACGCGCTGTTGCACTCTGGCCTGAGCAACAAGTGTGAAACTCCCTCTCAAAAAACAAAAACAAAAACAGACGTCCAGTAAAGGATGCACAGTCAATAGGGACTGATCAACACTCGAAAAAGCACAGTAGGAGGCCGGGTGCGGTGGCTCACGCCTGTAATCTCAGCACTTTGGGAGTCCCAGGTGGGCAGATAACCTGAGGTCAGGAGTTCGAGATCAACCTGGCCAACACAGCGAAACCCCATCTCTACTAAAAATACAAAAAATAGCCAGGTGTGGTGGCGGGCGCCTGTAATCCCAGGTACTCGGGAGGCTGAGGCAGGAGAATCGCTTGAACCTGGGAGGCAGAAGTTGCAGTGTGTTGAGATGGCGCCATTGCACTCCAGCCTGGGCGAAAGAAACGCCATCTCAAAAAATAAAAAAATAGTAGGGCCGGGCGTGGTGGCTCACGCCTGTAATCCCAGCACTTTGGGAGGCCGAGGCGGAAGGATCACTTGAGGTCAGGAGTTCGAGACCAGCCTGGCCAACATGGTGAAACCCCACCTCTGCTGAAAATACAAATATTAGCTGGGCGTGGTGGCCCACGCCTCAGGCACGAGAATCGCTTGAGCCTGGGAGGCGGAGATTGCAGTGAGCCGCGATCGTGCCACTGCACTGCAGTACAGCCTAGGAGAAAAAAAAAAAAAGGCAAAAAAGCACAATATTGCAGTCTGCAGAATCTTCTTTCTCCCCCTTTCACAAGAGACCACATTCTGACACCAACTTCCGTGGAAACACTGGCGCTAGCTCCAAACTAACAATCACCAAATTCGAATCAGTTACCGGGAGAAGGAAGTGAGGCACTTCGCCGGGCAGGAGTCCACGTTGGGAGGAGGAAAGGCGCAGGCTCCCGAGTTGTGGAGCCAACGTTCAAATCCTTACGGGGTGGGACCGGCCTGGGCCAGTCATTTTACCTGCGCCTCAGCTCTAACAGGGTACTGAAATACCTACTTTGGGGGGCCTGCTAGGAAATTCAAATGGGCAACGCTGGTCAGGGGCATCTGGCACAGTGGCCATTCTTGGTAGAGCTACGCGCTCCAGGGCTGAGCGGGAAATGGCGAGGCCGGGGCACTGGGGCACCGCCCAGACGCGGGGCGGGCCCCCGGGGTCAGGCCCGGCCCCACACCGCCCTCCCCCACAGAGCGGCGAGGCCCGCCGCTGCCCGCCCGCCGGCCCGCCAGCCTGCCGCGTCAAGCCCGCCGCCGGGGCCCGCAGCCCGCGACTCCTCCCCCGCCGCACCTCGTGGCCCCCGCTTCTCCCTAGTCCCGCTAGAGGGGCTCGCGCTCCGCCACCCGCCCGCCCGCCCAGCGCTGCCTGGCGCCTCACCTCGCCGAGACCCCCTAATCCGCGCCAAAGAGCCGCCGGTCGCGCGCGCCTCCGGGCTTTGCGTGCGCGCCCCCGGGCGGCGCAGTGGCGAGCGCGCCGCGTGCCGCGCGCCCGCCGCCTCCGCCCCTCGGCCGTGGAGGCCCCCGCCGGGTGCTGAGCGCCCGCCACCGCCCTCTTGGCCTTTTCCCGGTCCCCGCCGCGCGCCTGCTGCTGTCCCCGTGCCCGAGGACTGGGAGGATGGGGCTGAGCCGCTTGCCTGACTTTTGATCCGACCAGTAATCACTTTGCCCGTGTGGCGCGTGGCCCGTTGCCTGAGGCTTCCTGGCGCGTGGGGCTGTTTGGTCCCCTCCGGAGTGCGGTGAGGCGGGCCGAGCCGGGACTGCCTGGGTTTGGGGATAACGTTCCCATCTCCACCCCTGTTGCAGCAAGGGAAATTGAGGCTGAGGGAACTGGGCCCAGGGACGGCGAGCCGTGGCTGCCTCTCCAGTCCGGGCCCCGAAGGGCTGCTCGTGGATGAACCAGACTGATTTTAAGGGGTGAAGAGGGTGCGTTTCAATCAGATGCTTCTGGAACGTCGAAATTGTCTTCTTTGGAAAGAACCATCCCCTCTTTGGGCTTCAGAGGCCCAAATTGAGGCGCAATGATGAGAGGATGTGGTGGTCTACTCTGATGTCAATCTTGAGGGCTAGGTATGTCCCAAGATCTCTTATTACTGCTGTTAATGATGATTCTAATAGCTACCATTTGTCGAGTACTTATTGCATGCCAGACATTGCACAAAGCAGGTTACACATACGGTCTCATTTAAAACTTGTGAGGTAGGCACCTGTTGTTATCCCTATTTTCCAGGTGAAGAAATCTAGGCACTGACATAAATAACTTGGGATCACACTGCTAGGAAGTACTGGGGAAGGGAATTCAAACCATGGTTTATCTGAACTATATAACTGTTACATCTATTTAGAAGTCTGCCTTTGATAAATTTGCCCAACCTTTTTTTAGAATTCACTTACACTTTATACCTGTGTGAACCCTTTCATTCTTTTTTGGTATATGCATAATACAAGTTCATTCCAAAAAAAAAAAAAAAAAAAAGCCCTGCCGGGCGCGGTGGCTCACGCCTGTAATTCCAGCACTTTGGCAGGCCGAGGCGGGCGGATCACAGGGTCTGGAGTTCTAGACCAGCCTGACCAACATGGTGAAATCCCGTCTCTACTAAAAATACAAAAAATTACGCGGGTGTGGTGGCAGGCACCTGTAATCCCAGCTACTCCGGAGGCTGAGGCAGTAGAATCGCTTGAACCCTGGGGGCAGAGGTTACAATGAGCCAAGATCTTGCCATTCCACTCCAGCCTGGGCAACGAGAGCGAAACTCTGTCTCAAAAAGAAAAGAAAAGGAAAGAAAAACCACCTCCCACCAGGTTAAATAAATAATTAACATTTTGGTATGTACCCTTCCAGACATTTTCCTATGCATCACATCAATAAATATATGATAGGATATTTTACATTTGATGTATCCTGAAGATTAATTCAACAAATGTTTAGTGAGTAGGCTTGTTGTAGGTGCTGGGAATTCAGCAGTGAACAAAACAAAGTCTCTGCCTCATGGAGCTCATATTATAGTAGGGAAGACTGTCAATAAGCAATATACACATTACTAAATGATAGATAATGCCCAGTAATGTGGCAAGTTTTATGGAAAAATAAATCAGGATAAAAGGATAAGAGTGATATGGGGATTCTCTTAGTTAGGGTAGATAAGGAAGGCCTCTTAGCTAAGGAGGCACATAAATATCTGATCATTTAATGAGAGAAGGAGCAACATGGATTTCTAGAGGGAAACTATCCTAGAAGAGAAGCAGCAAGTGCAGTGACCCTGAAATGGGGATTTGTTTGGCATGGAGAAAGGGCAAGACCAGTGTGGCTGGAGCACAGCAAATGAGAGAAATTAGATGGAAATCAAGGCAGATCATGTATCATCTGGTAAGGTTTGGATTTTATTGGGAAGTGACAGAATATGACGAAGGGTTGAGAGCAAAGGAGTAGCTTTGCTGTAAAAGGATCACTGTGGGCTGGGAGCGGTGGCTCACACCTGTAATCCCATCACTTTGGGAGGCCGAGGCAGGCGGATCACTTGAGGTTAGAAGTTCGAGACCAGCCTGGTCAACATGGTGAAACCTCATCTCTACTAAAAATACAAAAAAAATTAGCTGGGCATTGTGACGGGCGCCTGTAATCCCAGCTACTCGGGAGGCTGAGGTAGGAGAATCACTTGAACCTGGGAGGTGGAGGTTGCAGTGAGCCAAGATTGTGCCACTACACTCAAGCCTGGGCAACAGAGTGAAACTGCATCTCAAAAAAAAAAAAAAAAAAAAAAAATCACTGTGGCAGCTGTGTGGAGAATGGATGGTAGAAATATTAAAATTGCCCTTTGCCTGGTGAAGTGGTGTGTACCTGTAATCCCAGCTACTCGAGAGACTGAGGCAGGAGGATGGATTGAGCCCAAGTTTGAGACCAGTCTAGGCAACGTATCGAGACCCCCATCTCTAAAAAAATTTTAAATTGCTCTCTAAGGCATAAATTGTCCTTTTACATGGTAGTTGTTCAACAGATAGTTGATTAACATTAGTGTTTCACCTATAGCTGTACAGCTTTACAACCACTCTCAACTTCACATAGTGGAAGTGGGGTCAGTCATTTAGGACATATCTGTGTCTTTGTCATTGAAACTCAAATTTTGAGACTGGCTAAGGCAAATATCCAGATCTGGATGTCATGATTGTCAACAATGAATATCAGTAATCAGTGTTGTAATACTGTAGAAAAATTAGTCCCACATAATACTGAGATCTAGTCGTTAAAAACATAGCATTCAGGGGCCAGGCACAGTGGCTCATTCCTGTAATCCCAGCAGTTTGGGAGGCCAAGGCAGATGGATCATTTGAGGCCAGTAGTTCAAGATCAGCCTGGGCAACATGGCGAAAACCCATCTCTGCTAAAAATGCAACAATTAGCTGGGTGTGGTGGCGCATGCCTGTAATCCCAGCTTCTTGGGAGGCGCAAGAATTGCTTGAACCCTGGAGGTGGAGGTTGCAGTGAGCTGAAATCGCACCACTGCCCTCCAGCCTGTTCAACAGAGCAAGAGTCTGTCTCAAAAACAAAAAAACAAAAATCATAGCATTCAACTACCTGGAAATTACCCTCTCCCTTCAGTTGATGTTAGGCTCTACTTAGACCAATTTAGTCAGTGTGCTTAAGAAAGATGTGGAGAGGGCAGGACACGGTGCCTCACACCTGGGATCCCTGCATTTTGGGAAGCCAAGGTAGGCAGATCACTTGAGTTCAGGAGTTCAAGGAGGCATGAGAACTGGGCAACATGGTGAAACTTCGTCTCTACAAAAATTGCAAAAATTAGCCAGGTGTAGTGGCGCATGCCTGTAGTCCCAGCTACTTAGGAGGCTGAGGTGAGAGGATCACTTCAGCCCAGAGGGTTGAGGCTGCATTGACCCAGTATCACACCACTGCACTCCAGCCTAGGTGACAGAGTGAGACACTGTACCAAAAAAAAAAAAAAAAAAAAGATGTGGCAAAATTAACATGCACAGTGAGAAGAAGGGTAACACTGATTACTGATTAAGGCAGTACTCCTCTGGGTTTTTGTCTTAAGTGGATGTGATAGTGGCATCACTTACACGACCAGCTGAAGGAAGAATAGATTTGGAGGAGAAATTGAAAGTTCTGTTTTGGATCTGTGTTTTGCATTCTGACTGGAAATGACAAATACAAGTCTACAGCTCATTGGAGGTGTCAGAACTAAAACTGTATAACTGTATTAGAATTGTTTATTTGGCTGTGTGTCTTACCTAGACAGACCTTGAGGACAGACACTGTTGTCTTTGTAACCTCAGTGCTCTGAAGTGTATCCTCAAATACTTGTGAAATGAGTAAGTAAAGGCAAAAGTAAAAATGAAGTCACTGGCTGGGTGCAGTGGCTCACGCCTGTAATCCCAGCACTTTGGGAGGCTGAGGCGGGCGGATCACGAGGTCAGGAGATCGAGACCATCCTGGCTAACATGGTGAAACCCCATCTCAACTAAAAATACAAAAAATTAGCCGGGCGTGGTGGTGGGCGCCTGTAGTCCCAGCTACTCAGGAGGCTGAGGAAGAAGAATGGCGTGAACCTGGGAGGTGGAGCTTGCAGTGAGCTGAGATCGTGCCGCTGTACTCCAGCCTGGGCAACAGAGCGAGACTCTGTCTCAAAAAAAAAAAGAATGAAGTCACTTAGGCAAAATGTAGAAGATACATACTCTATGCTTTCACTGAAAGTCTAAGCACCTGAATGTGACTTACAAGTAGGGTGACCATAATTTCTGATTTGCTGAGAATAGCCTGGTTTATATCTGTTGTCCCTACCTAAGTATTAATATTGCCTGGTTTCACTCTCAGTAAAGTCTCCATTTGTACAATAAATTTATATTGTCATTCTTTTTAGAAGGCCCTTCCAGATCTAGCATCTTCCTGTATCTTTATCATCACTGCCCTATCTTAGACTCCATTTGCCAGCCAGGTGGACATACCTTCATTTCTCATATGCACTCTTAACTTCAAGGTTTTTTTTGCCAAGGTACTGCCTACCTCACTTAGACATCACTTCCTTAGGAACACTTCTCCTGACCCCCCAATGGCTGAGTTAAGTCACCCTCTTACATGTTCCCAGTACACCTTGTATTTAACCTGTCATAGCAAAGATGACTAAGTGCCTTGTTCCCTCACTAAATATCTCTGTAAAGGAACCCAAAAAAACACCTTTTGTCCTCTTTAAGCCATAAATTTATATTAATAATATCCAAATCCATGTTGAACCAGTATTTTTGAAGATTGACCTTCAGGATAAACTAATAGCACAATCTTCATGCCCTTTCATTCATAACTAACTGAAAAGGTTGACTTTTGTACCAGGAACCCAACGAAGAAAACTTGTATCTTGTCAGGGTTGGTAACCTGGCTGCCATTGACTGAGACCAAAATATCCCAACAGTTTGTCCTCAGCTGCTAAGCTGCTGTGGTTAGAATCAAACGTAGAGTTTCTGGCCTGGTGCGGTGGCTCATGCCTGTAATCCCAACACTTTGACAGTCCTAGGTGGGAAGATTGCTTGGGCTCAGGAGTTCGAGACTAAACTGGGTGACTTAGTGAGAGTTCAACTCTACAAAAAAATCAAAAAATTAGCTGGGCATGATAGCACACGCCTGTGGTCCCAGCTACTTGGGAGGCTGAGGTAGGAGAATCACTTGAGCTCAGACAGTTGAGGCTGTAGTGACCGTGATTGTGCCACTTTACTCCAGCCTGGGCAACAGAGTGAGACCTCGTCTGGAAAAAAAAAAAAAAGGTAAAGAGACAACCTACGGAATGGGAGAAAATATTCACGACCCCTACATCAGATAAGTGGACAAGGGCCTGAAAAGACATTGCTCAAAAGAAGACATGCAAGTAGCATGGGAGGCCGAGGCGGGTGGATCACCTGAGGTCAGGAGTTCAAGACCAGCCGGGCCAACCTGGTGAAACCCTGTCTCTACTAAAAAAACAAAAATTAGCTGGGCGTGGTGGCGGGCGCTTGTATTCCCAGCTACTCAGGAGGCTGAGGCAGGAGAATCACTTGAACCCAGGAGGCGGAGGTTGCAGTGAGCCAAGATCACACCATTGCCCTCCAGCCTGGGCAACAGCAAGACTCTGTCTCAAAAAAAAAAAAAAAAGAAAAACAAAAGAAAAAGACATGCAAATAGCTAACTGGTATGTGAAAAAAATGTTCAACATCACTAATCATCAGGGAAATGTGAATTAAAACTACCATGAGATATCACCTCACACCTGTCAGAATGATTATTATCAAAAAGCGAGATAAGCATTGGCAAGGATGTGGAGAAAAACCCTGTACACTGTCAGTGGGAATGTAAATTAGTACAGCCATTTTGGAAAATAGTATGGAGGTTCCTTAAAAATTTTTGAATGGAACTACCATATGATCCAATAATCCACTTCTGGGTATATATCCAAAGGAAATGATATCTGCATGTCAAGGTATCTGTACTCCCATATCCATTGCAGCATTATTCACCATAGCCAAGACATGGAAACAGCCTACATGTATGCCAATGGATGAATGAATAAAGAAAATGTGAGATATAGATACACACACACACACACACACAGACACACACACAATGGAATACTGTTCAGCCTTAAAAAATAAGGAAATCCTGTCATTTGCAGCAACATAGATGGACCTGGAGGACATTATGCAAAGTGAAATAAGCCAGGCACAGAAAAACAAATACTGCTTAATCTCACTTATGTGTGGCATCTAAAAAAGTCAAGCTTGTAGAAGTAGCAGAATGGTGGTTACCAGGGGATGAGAGAGAAAGAATTGGAAGATTTTGGCCAAAGGATACAAAATTTCAGTTAGACAGCAGGAATAAGTGCAGGAGATCTATTATACTATATGGTGACTATAGTTAAAAATATATACTTGAGGCCAGGCACTGTGGCTCACACCTGTAATCCCAGCACTTTGGGAGGCTGAGGCAGGTGGGTCATCTGAGGTCAGGGGTTTGAGACCAGCCTGGCCCACATGGTGAAACCCCATCTCTACTAAAAATACAAAAATTAGCCAGGCGTGGTGGTGCATGCCTGTAATCCCAACTACTCAGGAGGCTGAGGCATGAGAATCACTTGAACCCGGGAGGCAGAGGTTGCAGTGAGCCAAGATTGCATCACTGCACTCCAGCCTGGGCAACAGAGCAAGACCCTGTCTCAAAAACAAAAACAAACAAACAAACAAAAATATATATATGCTTGAAAATTGCTAAGAGAGTAGATTTTAGTTGTTCTTACCACACAAAAAAATAAGTATTTGCGGTAATGGGTATATATTTGAGGTAATGGATTTGTTAATTAGCTTGATTTAGCCATTCCACAATGAGTACGTCTATCAACACATGTTGTACATCATGAATATACACAATTTTTATTTGCCAAAAAATGTTTAAATATGCCATAAGTAAATTAAATAAAATATATTTCTTAGAACATTATTTATAAAAATAAAGCAAAAAACCAGATCTGTCCAAATATAACTAATAAACTGACTCTCATTATTTAACACTCAAGAGTTGGCTGGTATCAGGATTTTCATAATACCATGGCCATTAAACAGTTTTCGTGAATCCAGGCCTTCGTTACCCATCTCTTCTGCTTCTTCCTCACCTTACTGACTTCTTTCTCATGTACACAGAGTGCGGAATATCTGTCTCATGAGTCACCAGCCTTTGGGCAGAACCCAAAAAATTAGGTGAACTAGAAATATATTGTTGCTAAGTGGCTCGGTTTATCAGACAATTCTAAAATGCCTACTAGGCTGCCTAGCTGCATACTTTTCTGCCTAATGTACAGGACCTCCATCTTGTGACTGTCAAAACAGGCTCCTAAATTATTTTGCATCATTTGGTGACAGGCAGTCTATACTCTTGTGCAACCAACAGGTGCCCAATAAATGCTTGGAATATGCAAGGAACTTGGCATTGTTTAATATAATTGAAAAAGCAAGCATGGACTTTGAAACTTTCCTGAATTTGAATTCTGTCTCCACTCCTTATCACCTTTAAGAATTTAGGGCCTGGTGCGGTGGCTCATGCCTATAATCCCAGCACTTTGGGAGGCTGAGGCGGGTGGATCACTTGAGATCAGGAGTTCGAGACCAGCCTAGCCAACATGGTGAAACCCCATCTCTACTAAAAATATAAAAAATTAGCCGGGCATGGTGGTGCATGCTTATAATCCCAACTACTTGGGAGGCTGAGGCAGGAGAATCGCTTGAACCCAGGAGGCAGAGGTTGCCGTGAGCCGAGATCCCACCATTGCACTCCAGCCTGGGCAACAAGAGTGAAACTCCATCTAAAAAAAAAAAAGAATTTAGGGAAGTTATTATCTTCCTGCATCTCCTTTCTCCTCCTATGTAAAATGAAAATAATAATGTCTAATTCATAAGCGTTTCATAAGGATATGATGAAAGCCCGATGCAGTAGCTCACGCCTGTAATCCCAGCACTTTGAGAGGCTGATGTGGGTGGGTCACTTGAAGTCAGTAGTTCGAGACTAGCCTAGCCAACATGGTGAAACCCTGTCTCTACTAAAAATACAAAAACTAGCTGGGCATGGTGGCATGCACCTGTAATCCCAGCTACCCGGGAGGCTGAGGCATGAGAATCACTTGAATCCGGGAGGCAGAGGTTGCAGTAAGGCATGATCAGTCTGTTCCCCACTCTAGCCTGGGGGACAGAGGGAGACTCAGTCTAAAAAAAAAAGGTGGTGGGGTGGGATGATATATGTATGTATACTACTACCTTGTTCATGGTGGGAGTCAAATATAATTTTATTTATAGAAGTGCTCCACAGGATGATCCTGGGGCTTATTTAGAAGTTGTTCTACATAGGTTAACTAGTGCTCAGCATAGAATTTTTCATTGTTTAAATCAAAAACTCTTATCTACTGGAAACCTGTAGGTTCAGGAACAACAGCCAATTAAACAGAATTTTTTTTTACTGGCAGTTTCTTCAGCATTTTCCTCACTATAGAATACTAAGGAAAGTGTATGTTATCTCACAGGTCGCAGGACAAATGTGTAGTTGCAATATAGGATGGAGGATCCAGCCTTGCCTCAAATGGAGAGCAAACTCAGGAGCTATGTCTCATTTAATTAATGCAAATAGTGAACAAACTTATGCATTATTAGCAATTAACTATAAGACTGTTCCTTAGAGTACAAAGTACTTTTATTGTAATCAAAACTTAACAACAAGGTTAATCTGATGCATATTTAATAATATATGTAATTGTTATGGTGTTGCATGATAATTAGGCCCTACACGTTAAATTGTTTACATAAATGACTGTAATTGGTTATTTTTACACAGCCAAACACATAAAACTTTTGCCTGCTTATTTTATTAATTTTCTAGATTCTATAATCATGCCAAAGACAACAGTTTATCTGAAATCCTTTACTACTTAATCATGCAGTGACAAACACACTATTCAAAATGACACAGCAGGGTTTCCCTTGGTACTGAAAATAGCTACTATTCAAGGCTTTCTGTATATATTCTGTCATTTAATCCCTAAGAAACCCTCTACGGGTTTACTCGTATTTTATGGTGTTACTCCCATTTTACTGATGCAGAGACTGATACTTAAGAGAATGTAAGTAGGCAGCATAGTGGAGATTCAGACTACTACCACAATCCCTGACACTATACCGTCTCAGAAGGTAATGGATCACAGCAGAGATATGTAAAGTTAGTTTAGGAGACAGAGTGGCTCTGAAAAATACAGAATATATATAGCATATCCAAAGGGAGAATGAATCAACCTGAAAAAGAGAGAGGTTAGTCAGTAATGGAACCGTAATGGGAGGGCTGGGGCTGACTTAGTGCCCATTCAAGGAAGAGAGCCTTGGCCAGTGCATTTCAGGCATTATTACCCCATTATACTCCACTATATTATAGAGATACTTATCAGACTAATGCCATCTAATATTTAAATTTTAAAACTAACTCCTGTTATTCTAATTTCTTTTTTTGAGATGGAGTCTCCCTCTTGTTGCCCGGGCTGGAGTGCAGTGGTGCCGTCCCGGCTCACTGCAACCTCTGCCTCCCGGGTTCAAGCAATTCTTCTGCCTCAGTCCCCTAAGTAGCTGGGATTACAGGCATGCGCCAGCACACCCGGCTAATTTTTGTATTTTTAGTAGAGACAGAGTTTCACCATGTTGGTCAGGCTGGTCTCTAACTCCTGACCTCAGATGATTGGCCTCCCACCTTTACTGCTACTTCTTTCTCTTAAATCTACTTCTCCCTTTCTGGATTAATGGGCTCTTCTCTGTCTTACCTGTTGTCATCCAAGTTTCTGTTCTTCACTCTTCCTTCTTTTGTGTTTTTCCATTCAATGAGTTCAAGCAATCTTGTCTTCTCCTGTGGCTTCCAATTTTCCATCAATCTCTTGCTCACTCCCTCATCTGTTTAACTCTGACCTGAATGTCCCCCTTGGCTTTTTTCCATTTTTTTAGACGGAGACTCCCTCTGTCACCCAGGCTGGAATGCAGTGGCGCCATCTCGGGTCACTGCAACCTCCGCCTCCCAGGTTCAAGCGATTCTCCTGCCTCAGCCTCCTGAGTAGCTGGGATTACAGGTGCTCGCCACAATGCCTGGCTAATTTTTGTATTTTTAGTAGAGACGAGGTTTCACCATGTTGGCTAAGCTGGTCTCGAACTCCTGACTTCAAGTGATCCACCTGCCTCGGCCTCCCAAAGTGCTGGGATTATGGGCGTGAGCCACAGCACCCAGCCTCCCTTGGCTTTTGAATCCAAAACACATAATTAACACATAATTACCAACAGATGAATACCACGAAGGAAATTTACACTATAAAACAGTATAGAAGAATCTGATGGAGTTTAGAAGGTCAGACTGAGGAGGTGACTATTGAGCCAATATCTGAAGGAAGAGTGGAAAGTTAAACCGGCTAATAGTAGTGAAGAAGGGGAAAGAGGATGAGAGAGTAGAAACAATATTCCAGGCAGACAGAACAGCATGGGACTTGAGGCAGGAAAGGAGCTAGTCCATTGCCACTGAAGCTAGAGAAGGGGAAGAGTGGGGCAGAGGAGACTGGAGAGAGGCAGATTATCTAGGGCCTTGGCAGTCGTCTTGAGGGTTTTGTACTTTATCCTGATAGCAGTGGGAATTCACTAAAAGTTTTTTAGCAAAAGAGTAACAAGATCAAATCTGTATTTTGAAAAACTGGTTACAATGTGGAGAATTGTATGCAGATTAAACTGAGGCAAGAGAGTGTATGGGGAGACAGATTCTGAGGATATGGTAGTTCAGGCCAATGATATGCTCCCTAAACCCACTTGTTTTCCTAACATTACTTTAGTAGAAGGCAAAGACGTTAATTCTTACATAGTAAATGTGCGTCGAATATTAGCTATTATTATTATCTATAGCTAGAGATAAAAGGCTTAAAATTAATCTACCAGGAAGAATGAGTTCATTGGAGTGAAAGGATTTCATTGAAAGCATGGAAATGCGAATCAAATTCTTTTCTTTCTAGAACAGAGGGAGGGAGTTAGAGGAGTTAAAAAGTGATACCACAGGCTGGCCGCGTTGGTTCATGTCTGTAATCTCAGAACTTTGGGAGGCCGAGGCAGGCGAATCACAAGATAAGGAGTTCGAGACCAGCCTGGCCAACACGGTGAAACCCCGTCTCTACTAAAAATACAAAAAATTAGCTGGGCATGGTGGCGGGCACCTGTAATCCCAGCTACTCAGGAGGCTGAGACAGGAGAATCACTTGAACCTGGGAGGCGGAGGTTGCAGTGAGCCGAGATTGTGCCACTGCACTCCAGCCTGGGCAACAGTGCCAGACTCTGTCTCAAAAAAAAAGTCCGGGCATGGTGGCTCACGCCTGTAATCCCATAATCCCAGCACTTTTGGAGGCCAAGGTGGGCGGATCACCTGAGGTCAGGAGTTCGAGACAGCCTGACCAATATGGAGAAACCACATCTCAACTAAAAATACAAAATTAGCAGGGCATGGTGGCGCATGTCTGTAATCCCAGCTACTCGGGAGGCTGAGGCAGGAGAATCACTTGAACCCAGGAGGCGGAGATTGCAGTGAGCTGAGATTGCACCGTTGCGTTCCAGCCTGGGCAACAAGAGCGAAACTTCGTCTCAAAAAAAAAAAAAAAAAAAAAAAGTGATACCACAACAGCTAGAAGAGGAGGCCAAACTGTTTTTTTTTTTTTTTTGAGACAGAGTCTCGCTCTGTCACCCAGGCTGGAGTGCAGTGGTGCGATCTCGGCTCACTACAACCTCCGCCTACCTGGTTCAAGTGATTCTCCTGCCTCAGGCTCCTGAGTAGCTAGGAGTACAGGCGCGCGCCACCACGCCCAGCTAATTTTTTGTATTTTTAGTAAAGACGGGGTTTCACAGTGTTAGCCAGGATGGTCTCAATCTCTTGACCTTGTGATCCACCTGCCTCGGCCTCCCAAAGTGCTGGGATTACAGGAGTGAGTCACCGCGCCCAGCCCCCATTTTACATTTTTTTATTTGTGCCCACTGCCTTTTTTCAGAGGATGCAGTTAGCAATTTCAGCCACTGGATGGTGCAAATTCACAAGAGTCCAGTGAAAGTTCCTCAATTACGGTCCAAGGTGCACCTGTTGCTACACTGCACCAAGTGAAGGAGGGTGGGGTAAAGGAAAGACTTTTTGGATCTGAAATTTCAGTATAAACATGGATCGAAGTTCACTAGAAGTTCAGATTGAGGGAAATTTTTAGAATTTGATCACTGACAAATCAGGTCATTGAATAAGGAAAGACAAAAGAAAAGTGTTGTAATAATGAAGAGGAAGAGAAAAAGGAACAGATGATGAAATATGAGGGAAAATAAGTCTAAAGAGATGAATTCAAGTGTTAGCAACAATTATAGTATGACCCTTTACTGGTTTGCATCTCCCTGGTAACTGATAGCAACTTTGATATAAAAATAAAGCTTACTTCATTCTCTTCTAGAAAGTCAGCTATGCTACCCTTAGCTTATCCATTTGGTGGTGTGACATTATCAACAAATATTTTTAGTATCTGCTATGAACATGGTGCTTTGTTGATACAAAGTAATATAGAGATATACAAATTAACACAGATACTGGGCTTCAAGCAGAAGAACCAGTAAGTACATATAAGAAGATAAGTAATTGACTGGATTAAGAAAATGTGGCACATATACACTATGGAATACTATGCAGCCATAAGAAAGGATGAGTTCATGTCCTTTGTAGGGACATGGATGAAGCTGGAAACCATCATTCTGAGCAAATATCGCAAGGACAGAAAACCAAACATCGCATGTTCTCACTCATAGGTGGAAATTGAACAATGAGAACACTTGGACACAGGGCTGGGAACATCACACATCAGCGCCTGTCGTGGGGTGGGGGGATGGGGGAGGGATAGCATTAGGAGAAATACCTAATGTAAATGACGAGTTAATGGGTGCAGCAAACCAACATGGCACATGTATACATATGTAATAAACCTGGACATTGTGCACATGTACCCTAGAATTTAAAGTATAATACTACTACTACTATTACTAATAATAGGGAAGATAAGTAATTCAAGGCAACCTGAGGGCCATTGTGTCAACTCAGAAAATGGAATACTTTTTGAAAGTGGGAGTGGAGTATCAGTGGGATGGGGAGGAAGGGATCATAGGACTCTCAACCTGTCCAGGGCAAACAAAAAATAAAAAGATTTCTTCTGGCCTTTAGTCATAAGTACATGCAGCAACTCTTCCTTGGAAAATGGCTAGTTATGGACATAGACATAGGAAAAGTGCTCTAGGTCAGAATCTGCTGGGCAGTGATTAGAAAGCATCCAAAATATTAATAGGAGGGGGTAGGAGATATGAGGAAATAATGGTTAAGGCCAGTACCACTCCTGAAACCACCGTTGCACTAGCCTGGGAGTACAGAAAAGGAAGGATGTTAATGGCTTGTTCAGGCCTTTCAGAGATCCACAGTCCCAGGTCACTTTGATTTTTGAGATTATGGGTTTATCTAAAAAATGAAGAAATGGCAAAACAGAGATACAAAATATGTTTTATATTTTATTTATATTTATCTTTTTTTTTTTTTTTGAGATGGAGTCTCACTCTGTCACCCAGACTGGAGTGCAGTGTCACCATCTCAGCTCACTGCAACCTCTGCCTCCTGGGTTCAAGCGATTCTCCTGCCTCAGCCTCCCGAGTAGCTGGGATTACAGGCATGTGCCACCACACCCAGCTAATTTTTGTACTTTTAGTAGAGACAGGGTTTCACCATCTTGGCCAGGCTGGCCTCGAACTCCTGACCCCAGATGATCCACCCGACTCGGCCCTCCAAAGTGCTGGGATTACAGGCGTGAGCTACCATGCCTGGCTGTTGTATATTTTAAGTGTTTCTGTTTAACAAAGTAATGCTTTTAATACACACGCAAATATGGCTGTTTACTTAATGTCATTCAGCAATAACTTAAAAAGTTTAAATTGGAGGTTTTTGTGAATGTACCTTCTTTGCCCTAAGCAACTACCTATCTTAATTTTTGGGCCTATCAAAAAGTATTGGGGTGACATCAACCCTTTAAAAAGGTGGAACAGCCTAGGCGCGGTGGCTCGCGCCTATAATCCCAGCACTTTGGGAGGCCAAGATGGGCAGATCACCTGAGGTCGGGAGTTCGAGACCAGCCTGACCAACATGGTGAAACCTCGTCTCTACTAAAAATACAAAAATTAGCCGAGCATGGTGGTGCATGCCTGTAATCCCAGCTACTTGGGAGGCTGAGGCAAGAGAATTGGTTTGAACCCGGGCGGAGGTTGCGGTGAGCCGAGATCACGCCATTGCACTCCAGCCTGGGCAACAAGAGTGAAACTCCATCTCAAAAAATTAAAATTTAAAAAAAGGTGGAACAGCTTCTAGTCACCTCTAAAACTTGAAAATAAACACAACTTCTTGAAATGTAGTAGTAATATATTAGCCAAGAAGAAGAGACAGATTTTTTTTTTTTTTTTGAAATGGAGTCTTGCTTTGTCACCCAGGCTAGAGTGCAGTGACACGATCTCAGCTCACCGCAACCTCAGTCTCCTGAGTTCAAGCGATTCTCCTGCCTTAGCCTCCCGAGTAGCTGGGATTACAGGCGCCTGCCACCATGCCCAACTAATTTTTTGTATTTTTAGTAAAGATGGTGTTTCACCATGTTGACCAGGCTGGTCTCAAACTCCTGACTCAAATGATCCACCTGCCTTGGCCTCCCAAAATGCAAGGATTACAGGCATGAGCCACTGCACCCAGCCAAAGAGACAGATTTAAAGTGGTGTGAAGAATATGAAGTTTTGTATGTGTCTTTTTATTATATGTGTATATATATTTATAATGTCCATAAAGAGATATATTAACCACTGATTACATATTAACCAGTGTTAATGATTATCTCTGGGAAGAGAGATTAGGTATTACTTTTATTCTTTATACTTTTGAGTATTTTCTAAAAGCTTTTATAATGAGAATGTACTTTATTTATTTTATTATATACTTTATATATACATATTTTTTGAGACAGAGTCTCGCTGTGTCGCCCAGGCTGGAGTGCAGTGGCACAATCTCGGCTCACTGCAAGCTCCGCCTCCCGGGTTCACGCCATTCTCCTGCCTCAGCCTCCCTAGTAGCTGGGACTACAGATGCCTGCCACCACACCCGGCTAATTTTTTCTTTTTCTTTTTTTTTTTTTTAGTAGAGATAGGGTTTCGCCGTGTTAGCCAGGATGGTCTCGATCTCCTGACCTCGTGATCCGCCTGCCTCGGCCTCCCAAAGTGCTGGGGTTACAGGCGTGAGCCACCGCGCCCGGCTGAGAATGCACTTTAATAATTATAAAAACAAAGTGTGGTAGCTTAATAAGAAAGAACTTGCAATAGAAACAGCAAATAAGGCTAGGCACAGTGGCTCACGCCTGGACTTTTTACCCCAGCACTTTGTGAGGCCGACGCGGGTGGATCACTTGAGGTCAGGAGTTGGAGACCAGCCTGACCAACATTGTGAAACCCCATCTCTACTAAAAATACAAAAATTAGCTGGGTGTGGTGGCGCATGCCTGTAATCCCAGCTACTGGGGAGGCTGAGGCACGAGAATAGTTTGAACCCGGGAAGCAGAGGTTGCAGTGAGCTGAGATTGTGCCATTGCACTCCAGCCTTGGCAACAGAGCGAAACTGCATCTCAAAAAAAAAAAAAGAAAAAGAAAAGAAACAGCAAATAATTCCACAGGAATAATTGGCACTTCCACAGAAACAGTGTTTTATCAAGTTTTGTATAACTTGGTCTATAATGGTGACACTAGAAATGGTGCCCAGCTCTGAAGTGATCTGCAGATCCACATCCCAAAGCCCACACAGGAGTTCTCCTTTCTCCTCTGCCATCTCTCCCATCTCTGTTTTTACAGATCTTCACTGGAAGGGAATATAGGACTTGAAGTTATTAATGGATTAGGGAGTCAGAAAATCCTCAGAGGGGTCTATGCTTTGTCAGGGGAAACAAATTGTCCCCAAAGCAAAATAATTTTGATTCTGTCTGTGAATTTCTATAAAGTCAGTACAAATGTTACCCAAATTATACTCTTTTTTTTTTTTCTTTGAGACAGTCTCGCTCTGTCACCCAGGCTGGAGTGCAATGGTTCAATCTCAGGTTCAAGCAATTCTTGTGCCTCAGCCTCTGGAGTAGCTGAGATTACAGGTGCGCACCAGCATGCCTGCCTAATTTTTGTATTTTTAGTAGAGACGGGTTTCACCATGTTGTCCAGGCTGGTCTCAAACTCCTGGCCTCAAGCCATCTGCCCACCTCGGCCTCCCAAGGTGCTAGGATTACAGGCTTGAGCCACCGTGCCCGGCCTCCAATTATACTCTTGTAGAAGAGTTGATGAGCGCAGATTTTGCCATAGGTTTTATCTCCTGGGACATCTCATGTTTCAGGATTAAGGGACATTCAGTGGTGGGTGAGGCTGGGAAGGGTGAGGATGCATGTAGGCCTCAGTTCTGGACCAAGAGCTTCTAAGTATATAATGCTTTTAATCATCCTCACCAGTGGTCTTGGGAAAGAGCAGGCATTTTTTTTCTTCCTATTTTATTGTCAAACTAAGTCACAGATGGCAAAATAAACTTGAGGCAACATCGTGGATCAGTGGCAGGATGCAAATAATATACTCATTCATCCAAATGCCAACCTCAGTGCTGTTTCCTCTCTACTATATTTTCAAGGTATGCTCTATGGACATTTAGAGGTTCTTTTTTTTTTCTTTTTTTTTTTTTTGAGATGGAGTTTTGCTCCTGTCACTCAGGCTAGAGTGCAATGGTGAGATCTCGGGGCTCACTGCAACCTCCACCTCCCGGGTTCAAGCGATTCTCCTGCCTCAGCCTCCCCAGTAGCTGAGATTATAGGTGCCCTCCACCATGCCCGGCTAATTTTTGTATGTTTAGTAGAGACGGGTTTCACCATGTTGGCCAGGCTGGTCTCAAACTCCTTACCTCAGGTGATCCACCCACCTTGGCCTCCCAAAGTGCTGGGATTACAGGCGTGAGCCACCATGCCTGGCCCTAGAGGTTCTTTGGAGCTTCTTTGAAACATATCCTCATTATCCATGCTTTATATGTGTTCTCTTTCAGGCTGGACTTGAATATTAAATCGAGCCTTAGGGTGAGATTTTCCCCTGTTGGTATTGTTTTGATAATCACTTTTTGGACAGCACTTGAAGTGAAAGAAAGAAGGATACAGTTTATGTATTTTTTTTTTTAACCAGAGAACTAAGAAAACAGAATTTCTTAGAAACAGACACATTTCACCAAAATGAAATGGAATGGTTTCAGACTCTTAGGAAAAGAAGCAGGGCCTCACCCTGTCTTATCCCTCCTGACATTTCCTTTTTCACCTCAACATTGATTCAAGATCAGGTGGTTTCACTTTCTCACCAAACTCTTATTTAAGCAGGTTAGATTTGACTCATAGCTATTCTCCTGTGAGAAACAGCATTATCATAATTATTTTGCTCTGGAATCTTTGTCCAAAAGGTATGCAACTCTCTATTAAAGTATGATATAATATCAGAGCCACCTTAGGAATTCTGGATCGTCAGAAGACTTCACTTGGGTACTAATGGTCTGTAGTCCCTGAACCCCTTGGGGATAACTTATGAGGAAGGCTTTTGGAATGCGTAGGGTCAAGTTCCCTTCAGCAGTGTGTGGATAGATACATGTAGTACCAGAAGCTAAATTACAAAACCTTATAAACGTCAACCAGGGAGATCAGGAGTCCCACTCTAAGCTATTGAGGGCCAGTGAGTGTGAAGTCAGCTGTGAAGATAACAGAGGAGCTGGAAGCTATGTCACACTAACAGCTGCCTTGTTTCTTAGAGGCTGTGTTTGAGTCTTCTGTCAAAGAGAGTAGTAAGGTCCATTCATAGTGCTTGCAGGGAATACTTTTTGTTCTCGTTTGAGGGGATGGAAAGGTATCCATTTAGATGGATGTATGAAGTGAATTACAGAAGGTTGTGGCTCAGATAGGGGCATGAGGGTAACTCTGCTAAGCCCACACTCTCCCTTCATTAACCAGGAATTGGTGTTTGATTGTAATGTCCCTGCTGAAGATACAAGTGTGAAATTGGCAAGAATGTGCCCATATTAATAGGGAGAGGACTGTGTAGTATCATTCAGTCTTTGAGATAGAGCAGAACTTTTCAGAAGTATGTCTGGTGGATAACAGTGATCTCTGCAGCTTTCTTTGGGTTTGATGAATTGGCAGCATCTTGTCCAACCTAGAGATTGAAAGGAAATATGAAAGTTAAAAAAGGATGCAAGTGTATAGTTCTTCATGTACCAAGAAAAGGGCTGGCTAAGTACAAAACCCCATGTAATTCCAAGTGCACTTCATTTTGCCTCTTTGTTAATCGATAATTACACTGAGAAAGTATGATCAAGGTGCACATAGGTATGAGAACCAATAATTGCTTGGAACCTATAACCCACTAGCAAAGTAATTAAAAGATCTGGATCATAGTTCTGTTTCTAACAGCTGTGTAACCTTGGGAAGTCACATAACCTCTTCAAGCCTCAACTTAAGTATGAGTAAAATGTAGATACTTGCCCTGGCTACTTTCCAGGATTTCTGTAAGGCTCAAATGAGATAATGTATATAAGATTGCTATCTTAGTACTATTTTTTTTTGAGACAGAGTCTCGCTCTGTCACCGAGGCTGCAGTGCAGTGGTGTGATCTCAGCTCACCGCAGCCTGTGCCTCCCGGGTTCAAGCGATTATCCTGCCTCAGCCTCCTGAGTAGCTGGGATTACTGGCGTGTGCCACCATGCCTGGCTAATTTTTTGTATTTTTAGTTGAGACAGTTTCACCTTGTTGGTCAGGCTGGTCTCAAACTCCTGACCTCATGATCCATCCACCTCGGCCTCCCAAAGTGCTGGGATTACAGGCATGAGCCACCACGCCTGGCCCTATTTTTATTCCTTTATCATTTAGTAGCTTATTGTGTTCATAGAAGTTCAATCACAGTTGCAGCTACCTGGTTATCTCTAATTCTATTCTGGACTAGACTTTGTAGTCCCTTCAGGCCTATTTCTTCCAATGTTCAGGAGAAATGATAATTTTTTTTTTTTTTTGGACACAGGGTCTCACCCTTTTTCCCAGGCTGGAGTGCAGTGGCTCGATCATAGCTCATTGCAGACTTCAATTCCTGAGCCCAAGTGATCCTCCCACCTCAGCCTCCCAAGAAGCTAGGGCTACAGGCACATGCCACCAGCTGGCTTTTTTTTTTTTCTCTCTTTTTGAGACGGAGTCTTGCTCTGTCACCCAGGCTGGAGTATAGTGGCGCAATCTCGGCTCACCACAACCTCTGTCTCCTGGGTTCAAGCAATTCTCCTGCCTCAGCCTCCCGAGTAGCTGGGACTACGGGTGCACACCACCATGCCCCACCAATTTTTGTATTTTTAGTAGAGACAGGGTTTCACCATTTTGGCTAGGATGGTCTCAATCTCTTGACCTCGTGATCCACCTGCCTTGGCCTCCCAACGTGCTAGGATTACAGGCGTGAGCCACCGTGCCCGGCCCAGCTGGCCTTTTATAGATATATAGATATATAGATATATATATATATATATATATATAATTATGTATAATATATAATTATATATAATATATTATATATAATTATATATATATAATATATTATATATAATTATATATAATAAATATATAATTATATATATTTATATATAATGTGTGTGTGTGTGTATATATATATATATATATATATATATATATATATATATATACTTTTTTTTTTAATAGAGACAGTGTCTCGCTATGTTGCCTAGGCTGGTCTCAAACTCCTGGACTCTAGCAAGTCTCCTGCCTCTGCCTCTGCCTCCCAAAGCACTGGGATTGCAGGCATGATGAATCAGGCCTGGCCTTAAAAATCTTAAAAGTAAGATTCTTGACTCCAATCTAAATGATCTGATTCAGTTTATATGGGGCCCAGAGGTATGTGTATTCAATAAGCACCCTATTGTATCATGTCTGGACTGATGTTAGGAAAACAGTAGGATAAAATCCTACCTATTTCCTGACATAAGAAGGATTGCCCACATTTGCTTCATAACTGAAGCAGCTCCCTGTTCCCAGCACATTAAAAAAAATATTTTTTCACAGTCCTCTTAGGGACGAATCTCCTAGCACTTATATATTAACCCCATTTTCTGTTTTTCTTTTTTTCTTTCTTTTTTTTTTGAGACAGAGTCTTACTCTGTTGCCCAGGCTGGAGTACAATGGCACAATCTCGGCTCACTGCAACCTCCACCTCCCAGGTTCAAGCGATTCTCCTGCCTCAGCCTTCCGAGTAGCTGGGAGTACAGGCATGTGCCACCTGGCTAATTTTTGTATTTTTAGTAGAGACAGGGTTTCGTCATGTTGGTCAGGCTGGTCTCGATCACCTCAGGTGATCCACCTGCCTCAGCCTCTCAAAGTGCTGGGAATAGAGGTGTGAGCCACCACGCCCGGCCCCTACCCCACCTTCTTTAAGCAAATGACATAAACCACACAGAGAACACTTTCCTTCTGGGGCTGAGAGTCAGGCTTGGATTCAGCTGTCCCAGGTGGCTGGCCTCCCTTCTTTTGCCATCTCCACAACCACTGGCATTGGCACAGCTTCCTGGCTCCTAGGCATTGATACTGAAGGGAGAAAATGACTGGTATTAATATGAAGTGGCTGGTAAGCATTTGGTTTTCTTCCAAACCTCTTGTTGGGCAACTTAAAGGAAGCCATCTCTTCTAAATAAAATATTCAGTCCTATTGGACCTATCCTTCCTAGAAAATGTCTAAGTACAGCAGAGGAAAGGAACTGCATTTAGTGAGCACCTGTGTGCCAGGTGCCTTTCACACAGAATCTCAATCTTTATAACTACCATGAGAGGCAAATATCATGAGACTTATTTTACACATGAGGCCACTGAGGTTAGAACAGTCAAGCAACTTTCCCAACACCACTCAGCTAGTGAGTGTGAGTGGCACATCTCCTCAAATTCCAAAGTCTATGCTTTTCTCCTTATGCCAAGCTGCCTCTGGAACAGAAGAAAGTCTTTATGGGTCAAGTTCAAGGATTCAATACAACAGCAAACTTACAGGACATGGGACTTCAAAAATTACAAATACTATAATGGCAACTCCACTGAGCAACAGGGTGACAGCAATCAGAATTTTGACCACAATACTCCATTTCTGTCTCTTCTCTAGGTTCTCATCTGTGTCTAAAGGAGAGAGGGGAGTGGAAGAGGGAGAAAAGAAAATTTGAGAGAGGAAAGAGATTGATCCTTTGACCTGAAGTTCTTCTGGCTCACAAGACTATTAGAGGCCCAGACTAACCCAGAGGCAGAGGCAGAATTTCCAATTCAAACTCAGGGCTGGAGGGGGTGTGAGGGTGAGCTGAGCATCATGGGCTCTGCTCTAACTTCTTTTGCACTCTCTTCCCACTGAGTCACCTTCCCTGGAATTGGGGATTTTCCATAATCACATAGGGCTGATTCTTACACTGCTCGCAGGAAGAAAAATCTCGGGTACACATGGAGCTCTAAACTTCTTTTACTGTCAGCTTTATCAGGGTTCCTACCATTTTGCTCTGACACATTTTATGGGATTAGAAAGTCGCCTTTCCTATGTTTCTCCTGGCTTTCATAGAATATAAGAGGAAGAAATGTAAAAATTAGCACTGCTTCTGGGTCAGAAGCTCAATCTGGCGGCAAATGGCTAATATGCATTTTTTTTCTCACTCTGGCACTCAAGACTGGCATGCAGTGGCACAATCTTGGCTCACTTCAGCCTCAATCTCCCAGGCTCAAACCATCCTCCCACCTTAGCCTCCTGAGTAGCTCAGACCACAGGCGAACGCCACCATGCCCGGCTAATTTTTAAAATTTTTTTATACAGACAGAGTCTCATTATATTTCCCGCTGAGCTTGAACTCCTGGCCTCAAGTGATCCTACAGTCTTGGCCTCCCAAAGTGCTGGAATATTACAGGTGTGAGCCAACTCACCTGGCCCTAATGTGCATCTCATTATTACTAATATCACATTTTTCCCCTGGTAGAAACTAGGATGTAACCCAAATTGGAATCTTACAGAATTTTAGTCCTGGCCAATTTAAGGAGGACTGTTGCTAAAAAAACAGTGAAGAAGGCTGTGTGCGGTGGCTCATGCCTGTAATCCCAGCACTTTGGGAGGCTGAGGTGGGTAGATCACTTGAGGTCAGGAGTTTGAGACCAGCCTGGCCAACATGGTGAAACCCGTCTCTACTAAAAATACAAAAATTAGCCAGGCATGGTGGTGCATGCCTGTTGTCCCAGCTACTCAGGAGGCTGAGGCAGGAGAATTTCTTGGATCCGGGAGGCAGAGGTTGCAGTAAGCTGAGACTACGCTACTGCACTCCAGCCTGGGGGACAGAGTGACACTCCATCTTAAAGAACAAAAACAAAAAAACAGTGAAGATGAAAGTATGCTGTTGGAGGCCCAGCGCAGTGGCTCACACCTGTAATCCCATCACTTTGGGAGGCTGAGGCAGGCGGATCACAAAGTCAGGAGTTCGAGACCAGCCTGGCAAACATAGTGAAACCCTGTCTCTGCTAAAAATACAAAAATTAGCCGGGCGTGGTGGTGCATGCCTGTAATCTCAGCTACTCAGGAGGCTGAGGCAGGAGAATTGCTTGAACCCAGGAGGGGGAGGTTGTGGTGAGCTGAGATCACATCGCTGCACTCCGGCCTGGGTGACAGAGTGAGACTCCATATCAAAACAAATATATGCTCTTGGGGACGGGCGTGGTGGGCAATGCCTGTAATCCCAGCAGTTTGGGAGGCTGAGGCGGTAGGATCGCTTGAGCCCAGGAGTCTGAGACCAGCTTGGACAATGTGGTGAGACCCTGTCTCTACAAAAATTTAAAAATTAGCTGAACATGGTGGCACACACCTGTAGTCCCAGCTACTCAGGAGGCTGAGGTGGGGGGATCACTTGAGCCCCAGAGGTCAAGGCTGCAGTGAGCCATGTTTGCACTACTGCACTCCAGTCTGGGCAACACAAGACCCTGTCTCAAAAAAAAAAAAAGAAAAAGAAAAGCACTTGGTTGGTGTCATCACTCTTATAATTGCTTAGTGTTTAAATATTGTCCATCTATACATACAGTGGTTAGAATTACCTACTACAGAAATACAGTTTTTTCTGTCCCTAATTCTGGCGACAGGGTGAGCTCATTTGCGTGGAGATAAATGATCATTGATGGTGTCAAATTACAAACATTTCTGGGACCTTTATAGAGAAGCTAATTTTGTTGTTGTTGAGACAAAGTCTCACTCTGTCGCCCCTGCTGGAGTGCAGTGGGACAATCTCGGCTCACTGCAGCCTCCACCTCTTGGGTTCAAGCGATTCTTCTTTCTCAGCCTCTCAAGTAGCTGGGGTTACAGGTACCTGCCACCACGTCCGGCTAATTTTTGTATTTTTAGTAGAGGCGGGTTTTCACCGTGTTGGTCAGGCTGGTCTTGAACTCCTGACCACAGGTGATCCGCCCACCTCGGCCTCCCAAAGTGCTAGGATTACAGACATGAGCCACAGCACCCGGCCTAGAGAAGCTAATTTTTTAAAATAAAAAATTGAATGATTTTTCAATGTACATTCAGTAACTTCTCAACCTCAAGAAAAATATCAGTAGATCCAGACTAACGCTGGGGCTAAAAATGTTTCTTTTCTGTTCCCATTTTACTCCTACTTATTCTGTACTTTGTCATTTCAAAGCTAGAAAAATTACCGGTACTTGTAGTTTTCTCTCCTTCTTTATTCCCAGGAGTTATAGAAGGGGCAGTGGTGGGAAAAGTCTCTGATGAAGCCCCCAGGACTTTACATTGTGAGATCCCTGGTAAAAAAGCTATAAAACAAAGTAGAAAAGATGAAACTTTAGGGGAAAACTTTATCCTGCCTTTGGTTTTATCTGATGAAACCCTGCCCAGCTGATAGTAAACTTCCAATTGTGGTCCCATTAACCTGTCTGTCCATAGGTTTAGGGTGTGAGCACAAAATAATGCCAAGAGTAAATGAGGATAGAGACACTAATAAGAGATATGGATTAAATGCCCATGGGACTTTTAACTAACATAGGATCAAAGTGAAGGAGTCATGCCAATGATATCATTGCCTATCATTATTTAGGCCATAATAATAATAAAGATGAAGGCCATAAAAACTGTTGACAGTTTCCTTCTTTAAAAAGAGATGGCTCCAAAGTCCAAGGAAGAACATGAAATATCACAGTTAGCCTTAATGACTGCTGCAAGTGTGTCTAGTAGAATCTAGATCAACTACTCTGAGAGGGGACTGGGGAAAGCAGGAGGAGCTGGAAGAAGGAAAAGCCACCCAGCTTCATGTACTCCTTGATTTCATTCATTCAGCAATTTTTTTTTTTTTAAGACAGGGTCCCCCTCTGTCACCCAGGCTGGAGTGCAATGGTGTGATCTCAGCTCACTGCAACCTCTGCCTCCCAGGTTAAAATGATTCTCATGCCTCAGCCTCCCAAGTAGCTGAGACTACAGGTGCATGCCATCGCACCCGGCTAATTTTTATATTTTTTGGTAGAGATGGGGTTTCACCATGCTGGCCAGGCTGGTCTTAAACTCCTGACCTCAAGTGATCTGCCCACCTCGGCCTCCCAAAGTGCTGGGGTTACAGACATGAGCCACTGTGCCCAGCCTGGCCTTGCTTTCAAAGGATCTCTGGGCTACTGTGTGGGGAATGGGTTGGGGTGGGCAAGGGTAGAAGGAGGGTAACCTGTTAGGAGGCCATTGCAAAAGTCCAGATGAGAGATGATGTGATTCACACCAGCAGTGGAAGTGATGGGAGATGGATAGAGTCTAGCTGGAGTCTGGAAATAACCTCACTCGTCTCCAGAATTGACCTAATCCAATTCAGACAGTGTGGTTTCTGTTCTATTTTTAGTGGTCTCATATCATTGCTTATTAAATTAAGGTCTATAAATTCTACTTGACTTTTCTAAATTACTCTTCCATGTCTTAAGTCCATGAGAAAATGATAGTTCTTTACCTCAGAGGCCAGTGGCCATAGTACCAGGCACTGTACATGAAATCATAGGGGAAGAGGTGATCCCCGATTCCAGTTTAATCAGGAAGACAGTGTTGGCAGACATTGGCAGAGACAGACATAAAGTCAACAAGTTCAAAAGAAAAAACAAGAACATTTTCATCATAGTGCTAGTCAGTTCTTCGAAGTGATAACTTACATGTTTATAAGTCACATTAGATAAAAATAAACAAATCTCACTTTGGACAAGTCACCACAAGTTATCTGTGTTTTTTTTTTTAATCTGTAAGATGGTAATAGTAAAATAATACTTGCTCTACCTATTTCACAGGGGTGTTGTGAAGATCAGAAACAAATAAAAATGAGAAAGCATGTGTGTAAACACTTTGCAAACTGAATGATATTATGATTGAAAGAGGGGGAAAAAGATGACCTAATGAGTCATCTGTCTCCACCAGAAGGAAATTTTGAAATATTGATAACAGCCGTCTTTTCCTTTTCCAAATTTCTTAAATAATAACAAATAGTCTCCATTTACCTTTTTCTACATTCCATGTTGACCCACATCTTCTGATGAGCATTTGTATTGCAGAACATTCTCACCCTTACAGTTCCAAATTTCTATTTTACTTGAGGACATTTTCATGAACTGTCTTCTGACCATTTCCAGGACATCCTCCTATGCAGACTGTCTGGGACAACAGGCGCACACCACTACACCCGGCTAATTTTTGTATTTTTAGTAGAGACGGGGTTTCACTATGTTGGCCAGGCTGGTCTCGAATTCCTGACCTCATGTTCTGCCCGCCTCGGGCTCCCAAAGTGCTGGGATTACAGGCATGAGACACCGCGCCCGGCTCTAATTTTTATTTCTACCCTGTTTGAGGTTTATCACTTCTGGTATTGAGTGGAGATTTAAATTCAGAATAGGAAGTTTCAAACTTGTAGAAGGGATTATGTTTCAAAAGTTCATACATAAATTGGTTGTTTTGGACCAAGTGAGGTGGCTCACGCCTATAATCGCAGCACTTTGGGAGGCTGAGTTGGGCTCAAGTGATCTCACTTGAGGACAGGAGCTTGAGACCAGCCTGGCCAAAATGGCAAAACCCTATCTCTACTAAAAATACAAAAAATTAGCTGGGCATGGTGGTGCTGTAATCCCAGCTACTCGAGAGGCTGAAGCACGAGAATTGCTTGAACCTGGGAGGCGGAGGTTGCAGTGAGCTGAGGTTGCACCACTGTACCCCATCCTGGGGGACAAAGCGAGACTCTGTCTCAAATAAATAAATAGGTTTTTTGGGATTCATCATTATGGTTTCATAAAAATGTATCATGAGTGATGATTAGGTCCCCAAACTAATCTACAAATATCCATTTAATCTTTTTGCATAGCTCAAATAGTACAGAGTATTAGCTTAAATTCTAGATGTGGGAACCAACTACTATGTTATGAAGGAAAGAGGAAGAGTTTCTTTTTCTCTGGGAGGCTAACCAAGTGCAAATTTTTGAATTAGGTCAGGTTGATCTTTGGCATCTCTCCTCCCCTTTAACCCCTCAGTTTTCCTTGTCCCAATTTCTAAGAGCTAATGTCCTTAATTGCCCCAAGTCTCACAATGCCTAGCACTATATTCACTCCACCCAGAGTGCTCCAAACTCCAAAATGACTTAAGTCCACTTTTCCCCAACACAGCTGCCATGGACAGCAAGGTGTCACATGTTAAGAGGGAAACAATTGGATTTAATTAATTTGCATTAATATTCAAAGTTCAAAACCCTGCCAGAGTCTTTTGAGTTTGTTTATTTTTTCAGATGGAGTCTCGCTCTATTGCCCAGACTGGAATGCAGTGGTGTGATCTTGGCTCACTGCAACCTCCGCCTCCCGGGTTCAAGTCATTCTTCTGTCTCAGCCTCCCGAGTAGCTGGGACTACAAGCGCGTGCCTCCATGCCTGGCTAATTTTTTTATTTTGTTTTGTTTTGTTTTTTGAGACAGAGTCTCGCTCTGTCGCCAGGCTGGAGTGCAGTGGCGTGATCTCAGCTCCCTACAACCTCTGCATCCTGGGTTCAAGCTATTCTTCTGTCTCAGCCTCCTGAGTAGCTAGGACTACAGGCACACGCCACCATGCCCAGCTAATTTTTGTATTTTTAGTAGAGACGAGGTTTTACCATGTTGGCCAGGATGGTCCTGATCTCTTGACCTCATGATCCGCCTGCCTCGGCCTTCCAAAGTGCTGGGATTACAGGCGTGAGCCACCGCACCTGACGCTTTTGAGTTTTTAAGAGTTTTTCTGTAACATCCTGAGAGCCTATCCACTTATTTCCCAGTTTTAGTCTAGAGTTTAAAGTTTTTTCCATTATTCTGCTTGTGGATCCCCAATTTCTCTAAAAATGTCAAGTTTTATTTTATTTTTCCAGTAATGTAGCAATAGCATCTAGGGGACTGCCAGTTTATAAAGAGGAACCGGCTACACTAAAGAAAAAAAAAAACTATATGAAAAAAAGAAAGGGTGAGAAAAGGAAAGGAGGGCAGAAGGAGAGAAACTTCAGGCTGAGGTTAAGAACCACTGTCCAGCAGCTGTGGGGGAATAGGCATTCTCCCCCAGTGTGGATATGCACAATGGAACCAACCTCTAGTGAGGGTAATTTAGCAGTAACTATCAGCCTTTGATGCAACAATCCTGCTTCTTGGAATCTTATTGATAAATTGATAAATCTTATTGATAAATTGCAGGTATACAAGAAGAATATATATAGATACTGAGTAATAGTGAAAGAGGGGAAAAGAATTTATTAAAAGAAAAAAGAGAAAAAAGAAGAATATATACGGTCATTGTTTTCGGAATTGTTTGTATTTGCAAAAGATTGGAAACGACCAAAATATATATCAATAGGGGGCTAGTAGAATATAGAAGAGACATGGCCGGGTGCAGTGGCTCACGCCTGTAATCCCAGCACTTTGGGAGGCCAAGGCGGGCAGATCACAAGGTCAGGCGATCAAGACCATCCTGGCCAACACGGTGAAACCCCATCTCTACCAAAAATACAAAAAATTAACTGGGTGTGGTGGCGAGTGCCTGTAGTCCCAGCTACTCGGGAGGCTGAGGCAGGAGAATGGCGTGAACCCGAGAGGCGGAGCTTGCAGTGAGCTGAGATCGCACCACTGCACTCCAGCCTGGGCAACGGAGCGAGACTCTGTCTCAAAAAAAAAAAAAAAAAAAGACTATGGAAGAGACATACTATGGAATAATGTAAAACTGTTAAAAAGAATGAGGCAAATATAAAAAAGTATGGGGTAAATATATACGTATTGAAATGGAACGACCTATAAGATATATTATTAAATGGAAAAGCAAGGGATTGGCCAGGCGCAGTGGCTAACGCTTGTAATCCTAGCACTTTGGGAGGCTGAGGTGGGTGAATCACTTGAAGTCAGGAGTTCAACACTAGCCTGGCCAACATGGTGAAACCTTGTCTCTACTAAAAATACAGAAATTCACTGGGTGTGGTGGTGGGCACCTGTAATCCCAGCTAATTGGAAAGCTGAGACAGGAGAATCACGTGAACCTGGGAGGAGGAGGTTGCAGTGAGACGAGATCGCGCCACTGCGCTCCAGCCTGGGTGACAGAGTGAGACTCCATCTCCAAAGAAAACAACAACAACAACAACAAAATAACAATAACAACAAAAAACAAAAACAAGCAAAAGCAAGGGGCAGAACAGTGTATATGGTATGTTACCATTTATGTTTTTAAAATATGCACATTCATACATTCTTAGAGTATCTCCGGAAGGAAATATAATAAGTTGATAATAGTGGTTCCATCAGGGATAGAGAACTGGAGAATTGAGAGACAGGAGTAGGAGAGAGACTTACTTTTCACTATAAATCTATACTGTTTGAATATTTTACTGTGTGCATGCAAAATGAAATTTAAAAAAAAAAAAACCTGGCCAGGCACGGTGGCTCACGCCTGTAATCCCAGCAGTTTGGGAGGCCAAGGCGGGCAGATACTTGAGGTCAGAGATCAGGACCTGCCTGGCCAACATGGTGAAATCCTGTCTCTACTAAAAATACAAAAATTAGCCAGCCATGGTGGCAGACACCTGTAATCCTAGCTACTTGGGAGGCTGAGGCAGGAGAATCACTTTAACCTGGGAGGCAGAGGTTGCAGTGGGCCAAGATCGCACCACTGGACTCCAACCTGGGTGACAGAACGAGACACCATCTCAAAAACAAAAACAAAAAAAAAGAAATTTTAAAAAACTGTTGAAAGAAGATCCATCAGAAATGGAGATCACATGAAAATCACAGAGTATCAGGGCTAGAAGGGATCTTAGAGATTATAAAACTGACTCTCAGAGAGCACGTAGATTTGCCCAAGGGGAGGATAATTCATTTTCTTTTTTTTTTCTTTTATTATTATACTTTAAGTTTTAGGGTACATGTGCACATTGTGCAGGTTAGTTACATATGTATACATGTGCCATGCTGGTGCGCTGCACCCACTAACTCGTCATCTAGCATTAGGTATATCTCCCGATGCTATCCCTCCCCCCTCCCCCCACCCCACAACAGTCCCCAGAGTCTGATGTTCCCCTTCCTGTGTCCATGTGATCTCATTGTTCAATTCCCACCTATGAGTGAGAATATGCGGTGTTTGGTTTTTTGTTCTTGTGATAGTTTACTGAGAATGATGATGTCCAATTTCATCCATGTCCCTACAAAGGACATGAACTCATTGTTTTTTATGGCTGCATAGTATTCCATGGTGTATATGTGCCACATTTTCTTAATCCAGTCTATCATTATTGGACATTTGGGTTGGTTCCAAGTCTTTGCTATTGTGAATAGTGCCGCAGTAAACATACGTGTGCATGTGTCTTTATAGCAGCATGATTTATAGTCCTTTGGGTATATACCCAGTAATGGGATGGCTGGGTCAAATGGTATTTCTAGTTCTAGATCCCTGAGGAATCGCCACACTGACTTCCACAATGGTTGAACTAGTTTACAGTCCCACCAACAGTGTAAAAGTGTTCCTATTTCTCCACATCCTCTCCAGCACCTGTTGTTTCCTGACTTTTTAATGATTGCCATTCTAACTGGTGTGAGATGGTATCTCATTGTGGTTTTGATTTGCATTTCTCTGATGGCCAGTGATCATGAGCATTTTTTCATGTGTTTTTTGGCTGCATAAATGTCTTCTTTTGAGAAGTGTCTGTTCATGTCCTTTGCCCACTTTTTGATGGGAGAAAATTTTCGCAACCTACTCATCTGACAAAGGGCTAATATCCAGAATCTACAATGAACTCAAACAAATTTACAAGAAAAAAAACAAACAACCCCATCAAAAAGTGGATAATTCATTTTCTTGTAGCTTTTCCTGCTACGGAGTTCTGGCTGCCTTCAAGGATGTCAACTAAAAGTTAGTGCCTGCCCCCTTCCTCTTTTCCAATCTCACCTTTGCCTTTTAGAAGAGATCCAGTCTGAAACTTGGATGTGGGGATTAGGTGACAGCTTGAGGAGGCAGAGCTGTTTCTGCGGGGAGCAGCAATGATTCTCAGGTTCTTCAAAATATGCTTGACCTTTGGCCTTCTCTCCAAATATACAAGGTTGACTTTTACTTTGCTGTCAGAGCCAAGGCACTGCAGGGTAGCTATAGTCCGGTTTTGAATGAATGTTGTCCTTTTGGTTTCTGTGTGAGTTTCTGGAAGGAGAAGAACCAGATAGAAAAATGGAGCTGGTTTTGTTTTTTGTTTGGTTGGTTTTTTTGAGACGGTGCCTTGCTCTGTCACCCAAGCTGGAGTGCAGTGTCGCAATCATGGCTCACTCCAGCCTCAAACTCCCTCGATCTCCAAGCAATCCTCCCACCTCAGCCTCCTGAGTAGCTGTGACTATGGGACTACAGGTGTATGCCACTTTGCTCGGCTAATTTTTTAATTTTTTAAAAGACAGGGTCTTGCTGTGTTGCCCAAGCTGGTCTCGAACTCCTGGGCTCAAGCAATCCTCCCACCTTGGCCTCCCAAAGTGCTGGGATTACAGACATGAGCCACCGCACCCGACCTTGAAGCGTTTGCTCTTGTGGTCCAGGCTAGAGTGCAATGGCACGATCTCTGAGTTTTGCTCTTGTTGCCCAGAGTTTTGCTCTTGTTGCTCAGGCTGGAGTGCAATGGCGCAATCTCAGCTCACTGCAACCTCCGCCTCTCTGGTTCAAGTGATTCTCCTGCCTCAGCCTCCCAGGTAGCTGGGGTTACAGGCGTGCACCACCACATCCAGCTGATTTTTGTATCTTTAGTAGAGATGGGGTTTCACTATGTTGGTCAGGCTAGTCTCAAACTCGTAAGCTCAAGTGATCCACCTGCCTTGGCCTCCCAAAGTGCTGGGATTACAGGTGTGAGCCACCATGCCTGGCCAAAGCTGGTTTTTAATCTGAACAGTGCCAAGCTAACCCATTTCCATTCATGACCCCTGCTAAACTCCACTGCTGTACTTTCTCTCCTTTTAGTTAACTTCTTCAGTTTGTGTTCATAGTACTAATAGACAAGTCCTGCCTTTCTTCTGCCATGGTTCCCATGAAGGTTGGTGACAGCAGTAAATTTAGCACAGAGAAATGCTCATAGATTTTTCTTTAATGCAGAGAGGGGTAGGTTCTGCCTCCTTCTCTTTTTTCATCTCCATCCATTTGAGTAATATAAGCATGCCTTAGGTAATGACAGTTAATTTAAAGATTGGTTTCCAGAAAGCCCCCTGGGAGGATACATATCCTTAAAATAGGATATTTGAGATATGGGCTAGGAAGTGGGAAGATGAGATATCTTTTAAAGGTAAAAATTTTTTGGAATGGCAATATCATTTTCCAGAAAGGACCCATTCCCTACCTTGCATTTGCAATTCTCTGATGCTTCTCACGTCTTTTGGGAAGATCCCAGGCAGCTGTTCCAGTCGGCAACTGCTATCTCTGAGGTCTGGGGGTGAGCAGAGGGGGAGGAGGGGAACCGGGGAAGGTTTGGGGAAAATCAGAATTTACTGGTACTTACTTTTTAGAATTCTGGGCAATGGAGAAGATATGAAAGATTGCAGTTCCTGCTCATAAAACTTGCAACTTGGGAGATCAAACACTCTCTAAAAAGACTTTACTTTTATTTATTTATTTATTTATTTATTTATTTATTTATTTATTGAGACGGAGTCTCACTCTGTCGCCCAGGATGGAGTGCAGTGACGTGATCTCCGCTCATTGCAACATTCACCTCCTGGGTTCAAGGGATTCTTCTGCCTCAGCCTCCCGAGTAGCTGGGATTACGGGCATGCACCACCATGCCCAGCTAATTTTTGTATTTTTAGTAGAGATGGGGTTTCGCCATTTTGGCTATGCTGGTCTCAAACTCCTTACTTCAGGTGATCCACCTGCCTTGGCCTCCCAAAAGTGCTAGGATGACAGGTGTGAGCCACCACGCCCGGCCCTCAAAAAAGAACACCCAGCCAAATACATACAAAGTAGTAGTTGACCTAGTATAAAGAATACTGTGTACCAATCTATTACCCTTAGGACAAAGAAAGGTCAAATAGAGTTAAGAAAATTTACTAAGTTAATGAAAGTCTAACCAACCCATTTCCTTAAATACTGCTTATTTTCTCTTCTCCCTCCTATTCTGTCTTCTTTCTTGTATTAAATAAAGCTTTTGGAGATTTATATTGTCTGACCTTGGTATCTCTATAGGTTTCCACAGAACCATAGGTCTTAGTTATTTATGCTTTTTGGCACATAATTCAAAGGGTTGTGACATTTTTATAATTTGTCAAATTCGTTACTGCTGCACTTTGTGCCATTTGGTCTTAATTCTGATTAGCTAATTTTATTTTTTTATTTTAATTTTTTATTTTTTGAGACAGAGTCTCATTCTGTTACCTAGGCTGGATTTCAGTGGTACGATCTCAGCTCATTGCAACCTCACCTCCCAGGTTTAAGTGATTCTTATGCCTCAGCCACCCGAGTAGCTGAGATTACAGGTGCATGCCACCATGCCTGGCTAATTTTTGCACTTTTAGTAGAGATGGGGTTTCGCCATGTTGGCCAGGCTGGTCTCGAACTCCTGACCTCAGGTGATCCACCAATCTTGGCCTCCCAAAGTGCTGGGATTACAGTCATGAGCCACCATGCCCAGCCTTGATTAGCTAATTTTAGAGATGAAATGTTTATGAAACTTTGAAAACTCATATTTTAAATAAGCAGTTACCAAAGAGCAGCAAATGATGCCATTCCACCCAATATCACCCTTTCCCTCAGCTCTCCCCACCCAAGAATATCACCGTCTAGCTATTTACATGTACCAACTTAAAAAAGGCAACATCTTATGAACAGTATGAATTTGGGAACCTTAGGTGATGACAATACTGAAACTCTAAAGAAAGCCATCCAACAGTGAAAGGACTTTTAATGTTAATTACATGAACAAGACATAAGAATGCATCACATTCTCTGAAGACCTCTCATCATGAAACAGACAGCTATCTCTCTGGAATGAATAAGTTGCAGTCCTTCTTAGAGGCGAGTGGATACATGGGATTAACTCTGGAAAGTATTGCTTGCTGGATATCAGCTACATCTCTATCTGGTGGAAGAGACCCCGAAACTCTTTCTAGGCCTCTCTCTGTATTTTCCAGGAGATTAGGCTAGAGAATTACATACCTTTCTTGTTGGCATCATAGGATGCAATGATTAGGCTGAAGACCAAGATGGTATCCATGTTAGCTTGAGCACATGCTCATTGCAGACAGACCACTGCTCATCTGTCACAGCCCTTGATAGCTCTGCCTCTAGTTGCTTTCACCACACGCAGCTGGAACCAAGTTTGACCCTGAGAGACTCTGATTCCACCCTGATTATTTTGCCCCATTTCCTGAAGACCCAGGAATAGATCTAATTGGAGAAAGGGCTAATTCTGCTTATTAATAATTCACTCAGACTTCTTCTGACTTCGCTGCCGGTGCCGACATAGAGAACTAGATTACCTAGAGGTTTCTCGAGCAGGAAGGCCATAAACGCCCATTGATATGCTTTACAAATACTTGCAGATAGACACGTAGACATTTACATGCATGCTCACTGACACAGGCACAGAGATTTATATACTTTCATGAAAAGATGTGGAGATTTCTAGTAAGGAATATAATTTCTAGAGCAGGAATTATAGAAATAGAGCAGGAAACTAGGACTAGGAGTCAGTACAATTGAGTTCTAGTACAGGCCCTTTTATGAGCTATCACCTTGAGAAAATTACTTGACTTCTTGGGATCTAAATGTTCTCTTCTATAAATTGAGAGTCCTGAACCATATGATCTCTTTTTTTTTTGAGGCAGAGTCTCGCTCGGTCGCCCAGGCTGGAGTGTAGTGACACGATCTCGGCTCACTGCAAGCTCTGTCTCCCAGGTTCACGCCATTCTCCTGCCTCAGCCTCCTGAGTAGGTGGGACTACAGGCGCCCACTACCATGCCTGGCTAATGTTTTTGTATTTTTAGTAGAGACAGCGTTTCACCGTGTTAGACAGGATGGTCTTAATCTCCTGATCTCGTGATCCACCTGCCTCGGCCTCCCGAAGTGCTGGGATTACAGGCATGAGCCACCGTGCCTGGCCTTTTTTTTTGTGAAATGGAGTCTCGTTCTGTTGCCCAGGCTGGAGTGCAGTGGCATAATCTTGGCTCACTGCAACCTTCATCTCCTGGGTTCAAGTGATTCTCCTGCCTCAGTCTCCTGAATAGCTGGGATTAAATGTGTGTGCCACCCTGCCGGCTAATTTTTATATTTTTAGTAGAGACAGGTTTCACCATGTTGGCCAGGCTGGTCTCGAACTCCTGACCTCAAGTGATCTGCCCCCATCGGCCTCCCAAAGTGCTGGGATTACAGCCGTGAGCCACCCCAGCCGGCCCTGAACCATATGATCTCTAGAATTAATCCAGTTATATATATAAACTCACATTAGCACAGACATACCTATTGAGTTTTGCACATCTTCACACTCCTGAATAGTGAAGTGAGTATTGGTGGACAACATTCTGATGACCATTGGGCTGAGAGGTTGTGAGGAAGAGCTAAATACGGCAGGTGAGTGGTACTGTCTGTGGCTTGGGAAGGTTTTCCTAGACAGATAACTGTTGTTGAAGATTTTTCCAAATTTGTATTTTTTTAGTGTCTAGTGTAATAATCTGTAGACTTTGTCATGGCATAGATAGATGGAGCATAAAAGAGAATGAAGGGCCGGGCGCGGTGGCTCACGCCTGTAATCCCAGCACTTTGGGTGGCTGAGGCGGGTGGATGACCTGAGGTCGGGAGTTCGAGACCAGCCTGACCAACATGGAGAAACTCCATCTCTACTGAAAGTACAAAAATTAGCTGGGCATGGTGGCGCATGTTTGTAATCCCAGCTACTTGGGAGGCTGAGGTAGGAGAATCGCTTGAACCTGGGAGGTGGAGGTTGCAGTGAGCCGAGATTGCACCATTGCACTCCAGCCTGGGCAACAAGAGCGAAACTCCGTCTCAAAAAAAAAAAAAAGAAAAGAAAAAAAAGAGAATAAAGATCTACCCCATCTTTATCAAACTCTACAGCTTCTTTGGTCTTGTTTTATTTTGGAGATGGGCTATGTTTTGTAGAGACACAGTCTCACTGTGTTGCCCAGGTTGGTCTCAAACTCCTGAGCTCCAGTAATCTGCCCACCTTGGCCTCCCAAATTGCTGGGGTTACAGGTGTGAGCCACTGCACCCAGACTAGAAAACTTTTTAAAAAAGTTTTGCTATGAGAAAGAAAGCAGAGAAATGAGGCCACTGACTAGAGGGAACATAAATGCCTCACATCTTTATTGGTCCAAGGAAATCTTTATTCATCCTCCCCACCCTCTTGCCTCTGGCTGCCTGCTTCTCTTAGCAGAGGAGGTGGTTAGGGCAGAGGGGCTCCATTGCCTTCCTTGGGTTTTGTGATTTTTGCTTACTATTTCCTTAACATGATGACATGATTCTCTGCTCCCCTGAGGTATTATCACCTTCCCTCCTGTTGCTCTATTTGAAACTCTCTGTACATTAGTTCCTAGATGCCACGGTACAATGCTGCCACCTTGGAGCAGGAGTAGGAATTGATCTGAGGGCTTGCTGTTCTCATCCAGTGTCACAAGGTGGCAAAAGAGCTCACTTTTCCCAAAAGAGACCTTGTGCTTGGCGAAAGATGAAGTCTAAGAGTTTTCTTTGATCACCTCGCAGACCCTACCCTTTTCTTTTGTAACTTAAAGACTCTAAAGTCAGCCTGGGCCAGGCACGGTAGTTCACACCTGTAATCCCAGCACGTTGGGAGGCCAAGGCGGGTGGACACTTGAGGTCAGGAGTTCAAGACCAGCTTGACTAACAAGGTTAAACCCTGTCTCTACTAAAAATACAAAATTAGCCAGGAGTGGTAGCGCATGTCTCTAATCCCAGCTACTTGGGAGGCTGAGACAGGAGAATCATTTGAACTCAGGAAGCAGAGGTTGTGGTGAGCCAACAGCACACCACTGCTCTCCATCCTAAGCGACAGAGCAAGACTCCATTTAAAAAAAAAGTCAGCCTGCATATTGGAGTAGGCCATACTGTCGGGGGCAGAGCGGTGGAAGAGCTGCAGTCAAAATATCCAGGAGTAGGCCGGGCACCGTGGCTCACGCCCATAATCCCAGCACTTTGGGAGGCTGAGTCAGGTGGATCACGAGGTCAGGAGTTCAAGACCAGCCTGGCCAACATGGTGAAACCCCATCTCCACCAAAAATACAAAAATTATCTGGGCGTCGTGGCACATGCCTATAGTCCCAGCTACTTGGGAGGCTGAGGCAAGAGAATCACTTGAACCCGGGAGGCGGAGGTTGCAGTGAGCCGAGATTGCACCACTGCACTCCAGCCTGGGTGACAGTGCGAGACTCCATCCTCCCCCACCAAAAAAAAAAAAAATCCAAGTGTAGACAAATAGATCCATGTTTCTATTATTTCTAATAGACTATTTCTCTACTCCTAGATATTTTGACTGACTTTCTAAGCATTTGGAATATCAGTGGAGCAGAGTATATCTCTTCTGATCTCCTTTTCCCACAACAAAAACATCAAATTTAGCAGGAAAAAAGTTATGAGTTTTATGACATATGCAGTTCAGAGATATGGCGTTGGAAGAGAGTAGGAACTAGGACCAAATGGATGAATCAGGATGGGTCTGCAGAAGGAGCACTTGACAGGAAGCCAGGAGGCCTACCCTAGGCTCTTTAATTGACTAAATCAATTTGAACAGGTCACTTGTCTTCTCTTGGCCTCTATTTCGGTTTCTGTAATGAGGTGGTTAGACAAAATGGCTTACAAGGCCTCTTCTAGCTTTAAAATTATTGTACCTGCACACTATGCTACTCTTTTTTTTTTTTTTTTTCGAGACAGAGTCTCGCTCTGTCGCCCAGGCTGGAGTGCAGTGGCGCGATCTCGGCTCACTGCAAGCTCCGCCTCCTGGGTTCACACCATTCTCCTGCCTCAGCCTCCCAAGTAGCTGGGACTACAGGTGCCCGCCACCACGCTTGGCTAATTTTTTGTATTTTTAGTAGAGATGGGGTTTCACCGTGTTAGCCAGGATGGTCTTGATCTCCTGACCTCGTGATCCACCTGCCTTGGCCTCCCAAAGTGCTGGGATTACAGGCGTGAACTACTGCGTCTGGCTTATGCTACTGCTTTTTAAAGGCTGCATGCCATTTTGTTCATTTGTTTTGGTTTGTTTTTAAATTTAAAAAATTTAATAATGGAGGCAGGGTCTCAGTATGTTGCCGAAGCTGGTCTTGAACTCCTGGCTCAAGCAGCCCTCCCACCCCAGCCTCTCAAAGTGCTGGGATCATAGGGATCAGCCACCAGCATGGCCATTTTATTTCTTTATTTCTTTTCCTTTATTTTTTTTTGAGACGTAGTCTCGCTGTGTCCCCCAGGCTGGAGTACGGTGGCGTGATCTCAGCTCACTGCAACCTCCGCCTCCCAGGTTCAAGCCATTCTCCTGCCTCAGCCTCCCGAATAGGTGGGATTACAAGCGCCCATCACCACGCCTGGCTAATTTTTGTATTTTTAGTAGAGACGGGGTTTCACCATGTTGGTCAGGCTGGTCTCAAACTCCTGACCTCAAGTGGTCCACCCGCCTCAGCCTCCCAAAGTGCTGGGATTACAGGCGTGAGCTACTCGGCCTGGCCGCGGCCGTTTTTTAATTGTGGAATATACCATATATACAGGAGAGTATATAGAACATAAGTATATTTTCAATAATAATAATAATACTGAAAAGGTGAACATATGTTACCATCACCCAAATTAAGAAATTGAACATTGCCAGCATCATGGATGCTCTTTACATGTCTGTGCCTCTGGTCCTCCGGTCTCTTTCCTCCTCCCAATCTTTATTTTTCCATGTTTTGTAAAATCATTGAACTATCAGCCGGGCGTCGTGGCTCATGCGTGTATCCCAGCACTTTGGGAGGCTGAGTTAGGTGGATCACCTGAGGTCAGGAGTTCAAGACACGCCTGACCAACATGGAGAAACCCTGTCTCTACTAAAAATACAAAATTAGCCAGGCATGGTGGCAGATGCCTGTAATCCCAGCTACTCGGGGGGCTGAGGCAGGAGAATCACTTGAACGCGGGAGGTGGAGGTTGCAGTGAGCCGAGATCGTGACATTGCACTCCAGCCTGGGCAACAAGAGTGAAATTCCATCTCAAAAACAAACAAACAAAAAAATTGAACTCTCTATATATGTATCACTAAAAATATTTTGTTTACTTTTGAATGTTATATAAATGGAATCAAACTCTATGTATTTTTTTTTTTTTTGAGATGGAGTCTTGCTCTGTTGCCCAAGCTGGAGTGCAGTGGCATAATCTCAGTTCACTACAACCTCTGCCTCCCAGGTTCAGGCGATTCTCCTGCCTCAGCCTTCCAAGCAGCTGGGATTACAGGCATGTGCCACCAAGTCCGGCTAATTTTTGTATTTTTAGTAGAGACGGGGTTTCGCCATGTTGGCCGGCCTGGTCTCGAACTCCTGACCTCAGGGTGATCCGCCCACCTCAGCCTCCCAAAGTGCAGGGATTACAGGGATGAGTCACCGTACCTGGCCTAATTTTTATTTATTTATTTATTTATTTATTTACATTATTTTTGGAGACAGAGTCTAGCTCTGTCACCCAGGCTGGAGTGCAGTGGCACAATCTCGGCTCACTGCAACGTCCACCTCCCGGGTTCAAGCAATTCTTCTGCCTCAGCCTCCCAAGTAGTTGAGACTACAGGCACACACCACCATGCCCGGCTAATTTTTTTTTTTTTTTTTTTTTTTAGTAAAGACTAGTTTTCACCGTGTTGCCCAGGCTGGTCTTGAACTACTGAGCTCAGGCAATCCGCCTGCCTTGGCCTCCCAAAGTGCTAGGATTACAGGCGTGAGCCACCGCGTCTGGGCTGGAAATTTCTTTTATGTGTTCTCCCAGTCACTCCTCACCATCAAAAGTAAATATTATCAGCTGGACACTGTGGCTCACACCTGTATTCCCAGTACTTTGGGAAGCTGAGGCAGGTGGATCACCTGAGCTCAGGAGTTCAAGATCAGCCTGGCCAACATGGTGAAACACCGTCTCTACTAAATATACAAAAATTAGATGGGCATGGTGGCTCATGCCTGTAGTGCAGCTACTCAGGAGTCTGAGGCAGGAGAATCGCTTGAACCCAGGAGGCAGAGGTTGCAGAGCCGAGATTGGGCCACTGCACTCCAGCCTTGGTGACAGAGTGAGACTCTGTCTCAAAAAAAAAAAAAAAGGAGGGGCCAGGCGCAGTGGCTCACGCCTGTAATCCCAGCACTTTGGGAGGCCAAGGAGGGCAGATCACCTGAGGTCAGGAGTTGGAGACCAGCCTGGCCAACGTGGTGAAACCTCGTCTCTACTAAAAATACAAAAATTAGATGGGTGTGGTGGTACGCACCTGTAATCTCAGCTACTCGGGAAGCTGAGGCAGGAGAATTGCTTGAACCTGGGAGGTGGAGGTTGCAGTGAGCCAAGATTGCACCACTGCCCTCCAGCCTGCAGTTACAGAGCAAGACTCCATCTCAAAAACAAAACAAAAAAAAGAATGTATTATCCAGATTCTTGCCATCACAAATGAGTTTTGCCTATTTTTTTTTTTCTAGAAATGGGGTCTCTCTCTCTCTGTGTGTTGCCCAGGCCAGATTTGAACTCCTAGGCTCAAGTGATCCTACCATCTCAGCTTCCTGACTAGCTGAGACTACAGGGGCATGCACCTGGCTTGTTTTGCCCATTTTTTTGTTGTTGTTTTATTTTGACAGGGTCTTGCTATGTCACCCAGCCTGGAGTGGAATTGTGTGATCAAGACTCACTGAAGCCTCCAACTCCTGGGCTCAAGCAATCCTCCCACCTCAGCCACCCAAGTAGCTGGGACTACAGGCGTGTATCACTTGCCCAGCTAAATTGTTTATAATTTTTGTGAGATAGGGTCTCCCTATGCTGCCCAGGCTGGTCGCGAACTCCTGGCCTCAAGTGATCCTCCTGCTTTAGCCTCTCAAAGTGCTAGAATTATAGGCATGAGCCACTGGTACCTGGCCTGTTTTGCCTGTTTTTGTAGCAGGAAACATACATTTTTTGCTCAACATTATGTTGGTAAAATCCATCCGTATTTCTTCATGTAGCAATCATCTGTTCATTCTCATTGCTTTATAATATTTCATTGTATGAATGTATCACAATTTATATATTCATTCTGCTGTTGAGAGACATTTGTGTTGTTTCCAGTTTGTAGCCATAATGAGCAATGTTTCTGGGGCAGTTTTGAAAGTTTCTCCAGGGTATAAATCCAGAAGTAGACGCTGGTTATAGGGTATGTAGGGTATGTACAACTTTACCAATTAATGCCAAACTGTTTTCTAAGGGATTGTCCTCATTACACTCCTACTTGTAATATATGCAGGTTCCTACTATTACACATGCTTGCCAAAGGGGCCAAAGAATCTTTCCTGTGTGATGCAATAATAAGCCTGAGTGGGGCCAGGCATACTCACACGTGCCAGCCCTTTGGTTGGTACTCAGAAGCTCAGGCCACAGTCATTTGCTCCTTCCAAGTAAGGGTAAAGGATTCATAATATCCCAAGGTCCCTGATCACATGCTCCATTAACCTGGAAATATTGGGGCGGATGGGTTGGTGAACTGAATTTTCATTTTATTATTATTATTTTTTTAGATGGAGTCTTGCTCTTGTCACCCAGGCTGGAGTGCAATGGCGCAATTTTGGCTCACTGCAACCACCACCACCTGGGATCAAGTGATTCTCCTCCTTCAGCTTCCCGAGTAGCTGGGATTACAGGTTCCCGCCACCACGCCCAGCTAATTTTTGTATTTTTAGTAGAGACAGGGTTTCACCATGTTGGCCAGGCTGGTCTTGAACTCCTGACCTCAGGTGATTCACCCACCTTGGCCTCCCAAAGTTCTGGGATTATAGGTGTGAACCACAGTGCCCAGCCACTGAATTTTTTATTTATTTATTTTTTGAGACGGAGTCTCGCTCTGTCACCCAGGCTGGAGTGCAGTGGTGCAAACACGGCTCACTGCAACCTCCGCCCCTCGGGTTCAAGTGATTCTCCTTCCTCAGCCTCCCTCATAGCTAAGACAGGGCCTCCACTCTGTTGCTCATGGTGGGTGCAGGAGGCAGTGAATTTAGTAATGACACAATTTTTTGTTTGTTTGTTTGTTTGAGACGGAGTCTCACTCTGTCTTGCCCAGGCTGGAGTGCAGTGGTGTGATCTCGGCTCACTGCAACCTCCGCCTCCCGGGTTCAAGCAATTCTCCTTTCTCAGCCTCCCAAGTAGCTAGGACTATAGGTGTGTGCCACCACACCCGGCTAATTTTGTATTTTTGGTAGAGACGGGGTTTCATCATGTTGGCCAGGTTCATCTTGAACTCCTGACCTCAGGTGATCCACCCACCTTGGCCTCTCACAGTGTTGGGATTGCAAGCATAAACCACTGTGCCCAGCAATCACAATTTCTGAATTAATTGAGGATCCATAAAGCATTCTGTTCTGTATCGATTACTAATAGGAAATGAAAGGAAAGGAACATGGAGAGAAAGGGGAAAGTAATATTTTCTGTGTGCCTACTATCTAACAAGCTCTGTGCCAGAAGCTTAACATGTTGGTTACATCATTTAATCCAAAACACCACCTTAGAAGGTAGGCTTTATATCCTGAATATAAGATAGATATATATAATATAGATAAGGAAACTGAGGCTCAGAAAGGTGTCAGTTCCTCAAGGCCACAGAGCTAATTAGCGACAGAGTCAGGATTTAAAGCATAGCCTGATTAAAGAGCTCAAGCTGTTTATAATACAGAGCACAGAGAAGGTAGAGTTGCTGCCGCTCTTGAGACTGACACTGCCAATACCAAGAATCGGTTCTTCTCAGTTTTGCTTGCCTGTATTCACCCGCAAAACTATGTTATTCAACTGATTATGACCATCTTGTTCATTGATTGAAGCTACATTTCCTTTTCATGGATTTTTTGTTGTCTTTATTCTTTCTTCTTTTTTTTTTTTTCTTTTTCCAATAAGAAAATTGGGCACATCAGCACAATAGGTCCACTGATAAACAAGACTTGTGTTGGAAAATAACTTTCTACCTGCAGGTCTAGGAGTTAACCAGAGGTGAGATGATATATATATATATATTTTTTTCTGAGACGCAGTCTTGCTCTGTCACTCAGGCTGGAGTGCAATGGCATGATCTTGGCTCACTGCAACCTCCGCCTCCCGGATTCAACGGATTCTCCTGCCTCAGCCTCCTGAGTAGCTGGGATTATAGGTGCCTGCCACAACACCCAGGTAATTTTTGTACTTTTAGTAGAGACAGGGTTTCTCTATGTTGGTCATGCTGGTCACAAACTCCTGACCTCAGGTAACCCTATTGCCTTGGCCTCCCAAAGTGCTGGGATTACAGGCATGAGCCACCACACCTGGCCCAGAGGTGAGATTTTTTTTTTAAAAAGACGTGACATTGTGGCCAGGTGCAGTGGCTCACGTGTGTAATCCCAGCACTTTGGGAGGCTAAGGCGGGTGGGATCACAAGGTTAGGAATTCCAGATCAGCCTGGCCAAAATGGTGAAACCCTGTCTCTACTAAATATACAAAAATTAGCCAGGCGTGGTGGCAGGTGCCTGTAATCCCAGCTACTTGGGAGGCTGAGGCAGGAGAATTGCTTGAACCCGGGAGGCAGAGGTTGCAGTGAGCTGATATCGTGCCACTGCACTCCAGCCTGGGTGACAGAGTGAGACTCCGTCTCAAAAAAAAAAAAAAAAGACATGACATTGTGAAATCTTCTGCTCTAAGATATCACATACAGGAAAATTTTAAGACAAGGTATTAAAAGGATAAAAAGAAATTGAATGATGGCTCAATTTTTCTTGACGATAAAGGCTCTACAAAATTATTAATGTTATATTTTATTATGTATTGTGTTTCATATATAATAACAACAATAGAGAGTGAAGGTAGAAGACAGGTAGAGGCCTAAATATGTAGCAGGAAAAACCTGAACCTGATATAGGAATGATGGAGACACTAGGGAAGTCTAAAGAGAAGGTAGGGATGGGGCAGGAAATCAACTTACCAGGAGCACCGTCATGGCTTTAGAGGAAAGTGAAGTCAGGGATGGCTAGGCTATAAAGCTGATCAACATAAAATGTCAGAATCCTACGACTGGGCAAAATCCAAACAAGTCATCTTGTCCATTTTCCTGTTTTTAAAGAGCCCTTTAAAATTTCTCCAGGTATTTTAGTTGTGAGGTGTGTAGGACTTAGAAAGGGATCTTAAAAACATATATATTGGAGGTGTCATGGAGGAAGAAGTTAAGATTTGGTAACTGGCTGAAGTATAGAGACTGGAAGTGTTTGCCATTGGATAAGGAAGGAGTGAGAGCAGAAATGCCATGTGAAAACCCTGTGTCCATGTGAAAACATCGTGGGGAGTCTCTACTACTCATGCTGTCCTTCATTGTGCAATTCTACCTTTCATCATTAGGACCAGACTTATGAAGTGGCCTTCCTGAGGAGATTTTCTGACCTTATGGTATGAAGTTCCTTCAGGCTCTTAATTCTGGATAAACTGGAGTGATTAACAAGAGCAAAGAGACATAGTATTCAGATAAGGACTTTGTGTCTTATTTTTCTTTTATATCACAACTGGAGCCACAGTTGTGGGCAAGGCACTGACTTTCTTGATGAATTCTGTCCATCTGTAAAGCAGCTATATATCCCACTGGAGGCTTTGCCTCTCAGAGACAACGTGAAGACGGATAAGCAGGCATCAGGAGCAGAGTGGCCTCTCAGGTACAGAGCTAATCTTTATTTCAGTCAATGAAGCGCTTACTAATAGAAATACCTAGTCCTACTTGAAGAGCTATAAAAGGGGGTAGCAAACTATAAGAGATGGTCTCTGCCTTCAGGATTTAACTGGAGAGCTAAAACCAGTATGCAGACAAAAAAATATATCCTAATTAAATTCTGAACTGTGGGCCAGGCATGGTGGCTCACACCTGTAATCCCAGCATTTTGGGAGGCAGAGGTGGGAGGATCATTTGAGGTCAGGTGTTTGAGACCAGCCTGGCCAATATAGTGAGACTCTGTCTCTGCCGGAAATACAAAAATTGGCTGGGCATGTGATTCCAGCTACTCGGGAGGCTGAGGCAGGAGAATCACTTGAACCCGGGAGGCGGAGGTTGCAGTGATCTGACAGCACGCTACTGAACTACAGCCTGGGAGACAGAGCGAGACTCTGTCTCAAAAAAAAAATTCTGAACTGTGTGGTATGACCATATTGCTACAAGAATTCAAAGGAGAGAGAGATCAGTGAAAGCTGGAGAAGTAAGAGAAATCTTGGAGAAAATGGGACTTCCAAGGACTAGAAAGATTCAGAAAAATAGGAGAAAAGTTGGACAAGTCTGCCACCATAAACAAAGGTATAAGGATAAGAATAAGCATGGCAAGTGCCAGAAGCCAGATTAAAGTATGACTATTGGTGGTCAGCAGGAAATAATATCCCAATAATTCCTCTATTCTCTGTCCTAAAAATTGATCACTGACCTTGTTATCTACGAATTTGGATTCATGGTCAGACAGCCCCAGGACAGGGGGCTCTTCATGGTTCTATTTTCTTTTCTTTTTCTTTTTTTTTTTTTTTTGAGACGGAGTCTCTCTCTGTCTCCCAGGCTGGAGTGCAGTGGCCTGTTGGCTCACTACAACCTCTGCCTCTCGGGTTCAAGCGATTCTCCTGCCTCAGCCTCGTAAGTAGCTGGGATTTTAGGTGCCCGCCACCATGCCAGGCTGATTTTTGTACTTTTACTAGACATGGGATTTTGCCACGTTGGCCAGCCTGGTCTCGAACTCCTGACCTCAGGTGATCCGCCCGTCTTGGCCTCCCAAAGTTTTGGGATTACAGGCATGAGCCACCATGGCTGGACTCTTTTCTTTTTTTTGAGATGGAGTCTTGCTTTGTTGCTCAGGCTGGAGTACAGTGGTGCAATCTCGGCTCACTGCAACCTCTGTCTCCTGGGTTCAAGTGATTCTGCTGCCTCAGTCTCCCAAGTAGCTGAGACTACAGGCACGTGCCACCATACCCAGCAATTTTTTTATTTTTTATTTTTATTTTTTTGACAGAGTCTCACTCTGTCACCCAGGCTAGAGTGCAGTGGCACGATCTCGGCTCACTGCAACCTCTGCCTCCTGGGTTCAAACAATTCTCCTGCCTCACCTCCTGAGTAGCTGGGATTACAGGCGCCTGCCACCATGCCCAGCTAATTTTTTGTATTTTTAGTACAGACAGGGTTTCACCATATTGGCCAGGCTAGTCTTGAACTCCTGATCTCAGGTGATCCACCCGCCTCGTCCTCCCGAAGTGCTGGGTTTACAGGCATGAGCCACCGTGCCCTGCCGCAAATTTTGTATTTTTATTAGAGACAGGGTTTCACTATGTTGGCCAGGCTGGTCTAGAACTCCTGACCTCGGGTGATCCACCCGCCTTGTGTTCCCAAAGTGCTGGGATTACAGGCGTGAGCCACCATACCCAGCCCATGGTTCTATTTTCTATTAAGGCACTTTGTTTCCTCCCTTGATTCAACTCAAACCTGACTTGAGAGACTTTCTTGTCCTAAGAGTGACAGGTATTGAAGGCCTTGTTGTTCAACAGAGACTCTGGCACACAAAGAGGGGAACAATAATGATAAATCTTAAACGACTGTTCTCAAACTTTAGGGTGATTAATTATTAGGGATGCTTTAAAAAAAGAAAAAGTCGGCCAGGTCCAGTGGCTCACGCCTGTAATCCCAGCACTTTGGGAGGCCAAGGCGGGTGGATCACAAGGTCAGGAGTTTAAGACCAGCCTGACCAACATGGTGAAGCCGCGTCTCTCCTAAAAATACAAAAATTAGCTGGGCATGGTGGCACGCGCCAGTAATCCCAGCTACTTGAGAGGCTGAGGCAGAAGAATCGCTTGAACCCGGGAGGTGGAGGTTGCAGTGAGCCGAGATCGTGCCACTGCACTCCAGCCTGGGTGACAGAGCGAGACCGTCTCAAAAAAAAAAAAAAAAAAAAAAGAAAAAGAGAAAGAGAAAAGAAAAAGTCAACCAGGTGTGGTGGCATGTCCCTGTAGTCCCAGCTACTTGAGAGGCTGAGGTGGCAGGATCGCTTGAGCCCAGGAGTTGAGGCTGCAGTGAGTAGTTGTGATTAAAAAAAAAAAAAAGGGCTGGGAATCTGCATTTTTAACAAGCACCCTGGTGGTTTTTTTTTTTTTTTTTTTTTTGAGACGGAGTCTCGCTCTGTCGCCAGGCTGGAGTGCAGTGGCGCGATCTCAGCTTACTGCAAGCTCCGCCTCCCGGGTTCGCGCCATTTTCCTGCCTCAGCCTCCGGAGTAGCGGGGACTACAGGCGCCCGCCACCACATCTGGCTAATTTTTTGCGTTTTTAGTAGAGACGGGGTTTCACCACATTAGCCAGGATGGTCTCGATATCCTGACCTCGTGATCCACCCGCCTCGCCTCGGCCTCCCAAAGTGCTGGGATTACAGGCGTGAGCCACCGCGCCTGGCGCACCCTAGTGTTTGTTTCATCAGGTGGTCAGTGGGACATGCTTTGAGAAACGATGCCCTAATCTAAATATTTGACCGAAAAATGCCAAATGAAGCTGTCTGGACAGTGGCGCATATAATGTTTATATATATCTGGGTTTATCAATTTTTGAGAATTTATCTTTTCTCATCTATGGCTATTACAAATTCATATGGCTATCATCTAAAGAGTGTGACACAGACACTCTGTTTTAATGTGCTAGTTTTGTCTTCTTAAATAGACTATAATCACCTTGAAGACAGGGACCTCTCATACTTTTCTGACTTTACCCACAGGAAGATAA